>NC_000008.11:38041920-38344951 GCF_000001405.40 Homo sapiens
ATTTGAGGTTACGGTGAGCTATGATCACGCCACTGCACTTCAGCCTGTGTAATAGAGTGAGACCCTGTCTCAGAAGAAAAAAAAAAAGCAAACCACACAGGTGGCCATGATGCTGGACCGCTAAGCAATCTATTCCTCTTTGTGTTGAGCCTTCATTGCAGGCCATCACCCAAACCATCTCCTCTTCCCCCTCCAAGTGTCCTGCAGGCCAGGCTTTGGGAACACTCTTCAGAGGAGCCCACACCTGCCCTGCCCTACCCAGCACTACCATGTGAATATCCTTAATTTTCTGTAGTACTTGCAATAGGATGGACTCATGTGTCTGTGCCCAGCAGTACAAAACCAGGCAGGAATGAGAATAGCAGAGGGTACAGTCGGGCTCAGTACTCCCTTTGGTTTGGAAGTGGACAGTGTGGAGGTCTCTTGCCTTAAGGAGCATGTGTGTGAGTGTGTGGTGTAAACAGATTTCTCTCTTCTGCCCTTCTGAACACAAGGGTAGAGTGGGCCTGCCTTAGTTTACTATGGCTGCCATAACAAAATACCACAGATTGGGTGCTTTAAACAAAATGAATTATCTCCTAGTTCTGGAGGCTGGAAGTCCAAGATCAAAGTGCCAGCAGGGCTGGGTTCTGAGGCCCTTCTCCTTGGCTTGCAGATGGCCACCTTCTCCCTGTATCTGCACATGGGCCTTCCTCTGTCTGCATCCAAATCTCTTCTCATAAGGACCCCAGTCAGACTGGATTAGGGCCCCACCCTAACAGCCTCATTTTAATTTAATCATCCCCTTGAAGACTTTATCTCCAAATACAGTTGCATTCCGAGGTACTGGGGTTGGGCTTCAACATAAGAGTTTTGGGGGCAGGCCGAGCATGGTGGCTCATGCCTGTAATCCCAGCACTTTGGGAGGTCAAGGCGGGCAGATCGCTTGAGGTCAGGAGTTCAAGACCAGCCTGGCCAACATGGCAAAACTCTGTCTCTACTGAAAATACAAAAAATTACCCAGGCGTGGTGGCAGGTGCCTATAATCTCAGCTACCAGGAGGAGGCTGAGGCAGGAGAATCTCTGGAACCAGGGAGGCGGAGGCTGCAGTGAGTTAAGATCATGCCACTGAACTCTAGTCTGGGTGACAGAGTGAGACCCCATCTCACACACACGAAAAAAAGTTTTTGGGAGAGATGCTATTCAACTATTCAGCTCATAACAGGGCCATTCCCCTTTCCAACTGGGACAGCAATCACTACTGTTTGTAATGGGAGGCATTTCAGAAGGTCATTCCCTATTGGTAATGAATTTCAGGGACAGCTTCACCCATAGGGTGCATTTGAAGTGTTTGGGAGGAGGTTAAGGAAGGGGAGGAGCTTGGCCAGCAATCAGAATAATTAGCTCAGCTATTTTGTTCTGAAAGTCTCTGTCAAAGCCAATTTTCTTTTCTTTTCTTTTCTTTTTCTTTTTTTTTTTTTTTGAGATGGAGTCTTGCTCTGTTGCCCAGGCTGGAGTGCAGTGGTGCGATCTTGGCTCACTGCAACCTCTGCCTCCTGGATTCAAGCGATTCTCCTGCCTCAGCCTCCTGAGTAGCTGGGACCACCCGGCTAGTTTTTGTATTTTTAGTAGAGACAGAGTTTCAACACGTTGGCATGCTGGTCTCAAACTCCTGACCTCAGGCGATCCACCTGCCTCGGCCTCCCAAAGTGCTGGGATAACAGGTGTGAGCTATCACACCTGGCCTGAAGCCAATTTTCAAAGAAACTGACCTATTCCCTCCCATGCCAGGGCCTCAGAGGGAGAGGCTGCCGATCGTCCCCATCTGGTATCCAGCAGCTTCATAAGACCCCTGGCCCCTGAGAAATGTTGGGATCTTGGTTCTCTTTGTGGAGGTCAGCGGTTGCGGGGCAGAGGTAAAGAAAAGTCTTGGACTGAGTGTGCTCTGCATCTCTCACCAGGATTTCCACCCCGGCAGTTCTGTCCTGCTTGTTAAATAGACCATCCAGCCAGAAAAGCCACCCAGACACATGTGATTCCTCCCTGGACTGTGTGGCGAGGAGGGAGGGAAGACCGAGATTCTGGCATGTCGGCGTATTTACCTCCAGGTTAACAGGGAGCTGCCTCAGAGCTGGAGTTCAGATTGTCCAGGGTGTTTTGCTCACTGGCTGTTGGCTTGGATCTGAGCAGAAGCATTTGGACCTCCCCCACCCCGGCCCTGTTGTGAAATGCTCTCCCTCTCCCTGGAATGGGAACAGCAGTTCTAGGAATTCCATCCTCGTACTCTCACTAAGCCTCACGTCCCCACATCCAATGGAAGAATGCTTCTGCCAAAGGAACCCCAGGGGAAAGTGAGGGCCATGCGCGGCTCAGTTTACAGAAGTCCTATCCAGCCGCAGAGTATGGGCACTGGAGGGCTATGGGGAAGCGCTCAAGGCAGGGAACATCCTGTTCTGACAAGCACCCAGAAGTCTAAGACCTCCTAATTTTTCCAGCTGAGAGTGTTAGCTAAGGGGTGGTAGCCTGGTCTGCCTTACTAATTTTATTTTATTTTGTAGAGACAGGGTCTCACTCTATCACCCAGGCTAGAGTACAGTAGCATGATCCCAGCTCACTGCAGCCTCAAACTCCTGGGCTAAAGCGATCCTCCTGCCTCAGCCTCTGGAGTAGCTGGGATCATAGGCGCACGCCATCATGCCAGGCTACTTTTTAAATTTTTTGTAGAGATGGGGGTCTCACTGTGTTGCCCAGGCTGGTCTCAAACTCCTGGCCTCAAGCAATTCTCATGCCTTGGCCTCCCAAAGCATTGTGATTGCAGGCATGATCCAGCCTTGCTAATTTTAAACAGTAGGAGGCATTTAGGATTGGAGTCGAGGTGGGTTAGGTTGGCCTCTGGACGGCTGTGAGGGGACAGCCTTTCTGGGCCTCAGTTTCCTCTTCTGCAAGGTGAAGCTCCTGCGTGGGGAGTTGTAAGGGGGAATAAGACCTAGCACGTCAGGCTGTGAGCACAGACCGGAGGGGATGACAGATGGCAACGATTGCTGTATGCACCTCGCCCGAAAATCTAAGCCTTCATTCATGCAGCACTCCAATGCTCCTTGGCCTCCAAAAATGCTTCCTGTTCCCGGCTTGTGACATCTTTCTTTGGTTGCGTATGTTCTCCCAAGTGATTTTCTCTTTAACAGCAATTATGTGAGTGTCACTTTATTCTCACACAAAGAATCTTGATGTTCTTTATTTTATTTAATCTTCACGATACTCCTCTGAGGTGTGGATTTTGTTATTCCCTCCCTCTTATAACTGAGGAATGAAAGTGCAACTTGGAGTTCAGGGACTGACATGTGGCAAGCTCAGGTTTGAGCCCAGAACATCTGCCTCCAAGCACTATGCTATTTGTACATTAAGTACCTGCCAACAAGGAGATCCTAAAAATAAATGGCACGTGCCTGGTGCTTTCAAAATAGTTTGAATGAGCCTAGTACAATGCCGTTGTTTTACAGGTGAGGAAACTAGAACCTAAGGGAATGTCTCTATGGCTTTATTTATTGTAATCCCAGAACTTTGGGAGGCCGAGGTGGGGGGATTGCTTGAGCCCACAAGTTCAAGACCAGTCAAGGCAACATGACAAAACCTTGTCTACAAAAAAAAAAAAAAAATTAGCTGGGCATGGTGGTGCATGCCTGTAGTCCCAGCTACTTGGGAGGCTGAGGCAAGAGGCTCACTTGAGCCCAGGAGGCAGAAGTTGCAGTAAGCCAAGATCACACTATTGTTCTCCAGCCTGGGCAGCAGACCGAGACTCTATCTCAAAAAATAATAATAATGATAATTAATTAATAGAAATATTTCCTTACTTTTTTTAGAGACAGATCTTGTTCTGTCTCCCAGACTACCGTGCAGTGGTAAAATTGTAGTTCCCTACAACCTTGAATTCTGGGTTCAAGCCATCCTCCTGCCTCAGCCTCCTAAGTAGCTGGGACTGCAGACATGCACCACAACACCTGACTAATTTTTTTTTTGTTTGTTTGAGACAGAGTCTTGCTCTGTCACCCAAGCTGGAGTGCAATGGTGCGATTTTGGCTCACTGCAACCTCTGCCTGGGTTCAAGCAATCCTCCTGCCTCAGCCTCCCAAGTAGCTGGGATTACAGGCGTCTGCCACCACGCCCAGCTAATTTTTGTATGTTTAATAGAGACAGGGTTTCACCATGTTGGTCAGGCTGGTCTCAAACTCCTGACCTCAAGTGATCCACCTGCCTTGGCCTCCCAGTGTGCTGGGATTACAGGCGTGAGCTTCCCCACCCGGCCTACACCTGGCTAATTTTTAACTTCTTTTGTAGAGATGGGATCGTGCTTTGTTACCCATGCTGGTCTTGAACCCCCCCATTGCTTTATATATTGAAAGCAAACTACTGTCACCACAAAGCATGCCTTGAAAAAAAAATATCATTCCTATATTTGGTGCACATTTGGAGTTTAAAATCCTGAAGGATACTGGCTAACAAACATGCTGAAGTTTATGATGGTTCTTGGTTTCCGTGGGCCTAAAAAGGAGGGAGGACACCCTCACCCTGTCCCTTCCAAGTGTCTCTCCTGAGTTGCTTACCTGTCCTCTGATTTATCCCTGCTTTGACTGATAATTGGTTGCTGGTATGGATGGAACTGAATAAATGGTGAAATTATGTCACCTGGACCCTGCAGGTCATGATAATAACTAGAATTGTATGGGGCTTACATTGTGTCAGCCACTGTTCAAATCCACACAGTAATCCTATGAAGTTGGCACTACCATCATCATCATCATCATTGTCGTCGCCAATCTGGAGAAGCAGAAACTGAGGCACAAAGATTTTAAGTCATAACTTGCCCAGAGTCATGAGAGCTAGCAAATGGAATGACAGAGCTGGGTTTCCAAAGGATTTCAGGTAGAATGAGCCTCAGTTATTGTCCCCAGATAGTTCAAGACCGAACCTTGAACTCTACCCCCAGCACACAACGGGCTGGATCCCAGCTACACAAATGGTTTGAGGTGTAGGGGTGCTCCTCTCTTCTTCCCTTGCCCTGCTGGGAGGCAGGGTTCTGGGTTTCCCTGCTCTGCATCTCTGGGTTGGCAATCAAGGTCAGCCTTAGCTCACCTCCCTCACCCCTCGGGCACTGGAGAACTGGGGTGAGATGGATGTTTCTCTGGGCCGGGGGTTTAGGGTCAGGCTGCTTGGAAGCAGGAAGATGGAGGACTTGGGATCTGTGTCCCTTGGTGATCTCCTCTTACGCCTGTCTGTGGACTTCACACACTTGGCTGTAATCACTTGTTTACGGGTCTTTCTCGACTAAATTACATAAGGTTTGGATCTAGGCACTTTCACTACATCTGACTTTTTTAAATCCCTAGCACCTCGCATGGTGCTAGTACAAAGTAGAGGTTCAGTGAGTAAGTAAATGAGACCAGCACACCTACTTTCAGGAAAAAAGGATTGAGCAAAGACCGGCAAATATGTGGGTAAGGATTAACATTTTTGTCCCTGGATTGCAGTAGTCTCTATACTTGAATACAGTTCATGGGAGTTAAGGTGTAGTGTAGGGTTTTGGGTTTTGTTTTTTTTTTTTTTTTGAGACAGAGTCTCACTCTCTTGCCCAGGGTGGAATGCAGTGATGCGATCTCAACTCACTGCAACATCTGCCTCCCAGGTTCAAGCAGTTTTCCTGCCTCAGCCTCCCAAGTAGCTGGGATTACAGGCACATGCCACCACGCCCAGCTAATTTTTGTATTTTTAGTAAAGACAGGGTTTTGCCATGTTGGCCAGGCTGGTCTCGAACTCCTGACCTCAGGTGATCCACCCACCTTGGCCTCCCAAAGCACTGAGATTACAGGCATGAGCCACTGCGCCCAGCCTGAATCACTTTTTTGATAAATGAGGTTTTTTTTATTTCTGTATTTTCTCTCTTCCTCTCCCCTCATTGTCCCAATAAAATTACATTTCAAAGTTTTAAAAATCCAGCCAGGTGCAGTGGCACACACCTGTAATCCCAGCTCCTCAGGAGGCTGAGGCGGGAGGATCACTTGAGCCCAGAAGTTTGAGTCTAGCCTGGGCAACATAGCAAGATTCTGTCTTTAAGGAAAACAAAAAACAAAAACAGGCTGGGTGCAGTGGATCACTTGAGCCCAGGAGTTCCAGCCCACCCTAGGCAACATGGTAAAACCCTGTCTCTACAAAAAAGTATATACAAAAATTAGCTGGGTGTGGTGACACTTGCCTGTAGTCCCAGCTACTCAGGAAGCTGAGGTGGGAGGATCACCTGAGCCCAGGAGGTCCAAGGTTGCAGTGAGCCATGATGGCACCACTGCACTCCAGCCTGAGTGACAGAGCAAGACCCTGTTTCAAAAAAAAAAAAATTTAAACTAAAATTAAAAGTAAACATTTGTTGTTTTTATTATGATGATTCTTGAGCCAAGTACTATCTATAATAATAGCATTTCCACTTTTATATATATATATTTTTTAAAAAAAGCAGAGTTAATAATTGCTTTGTTTTAAAAATGTGCTTAGTTTTCATTTAGGTTTTCCCAAACCTTCCAGAAGCTCTCTAAAATGCCTCACAGTAAGGTCTTGCACACAGTTGGACTTCTAGATTTATCTGCCCATTTTTTCCCTCTCTCCTAAACTAAGACAAGATTTGGAGTAACAGTTTGGCTGCTCCAGCCCTGCCACACAACTGTCAATGTGGGGTTCCCTGAAGCCCTAGTCTTTCTATAATTTTGGCAGAACACATCTTACTGTATTCTTTCTGAAATGTCTCTATGGCCAGGTGCAGTGGCTCACACCTGTAATCCCAGCACTTTGGGAGGCTGAGGCAGGAGGATCATTTGAAACCAGGGGTTTGAGACCAGCCTGGGTAACATAGCGAGACCCTGTCTCCAAAAATAAAATTTGATTTAATTTAAAGAAAAAAGAGAGGCCGGGTACGGTGGCTCATGCCTGTAATCCCTGCACTTTGGGAGGCCGAGACGGGTGGATCACCTGAGGTCAGGAATTCAAGACCAGCCTCGACATGTAGAAACCCCATCTCTACTAAAAATACAAAATTAGCCGGGCTTGGTGGTGCAGGCCTGTAATCCCAGCTACTCGGGAGGCTGAGGCAGGAGAATTGCTTGAATCTGGGAGGCGGAGGTTGCAGTGAGCCGAGATTGCGCCATTGCACTCCATCCTGGGCAACAAGAGCGAAACTCCGTCTCAAAAAAAAAAAAAAGAAAAGAAAAGAAAAAAGAGAAGTATCTCTGTTATACTTTTACTTGATTTGTGTTTGGCAGGGGATAAGATGCAGGTTGAAGTGAATTTTCTGTCAGATTGTGAAGGCGTCAAGGCACCGTTTGCAGGCTTCCAGTCTTGCCATTTAAGACATTTTACGCCCTTCTCATTCCCTGTCCTTGTGTATACCTGAAAATCCTATAAAGGATTTTCTCTTTATCGCCAGTATTGTGAATTTCACAATGATGTTAACTGAGTGTTTTGAATTCATTGCACTACTTACTGAAAGGGGAGCTTCAATTTCAAGACATCTCTTTCAATTCAGGAAAATTTCCGTCTTCTTTTTTTTTTTTTTTTTCTTGAGACAGGTTCTCGCTCTGTCCCCCAGGCCGGAGTGCAGTAGCGTGATCTCAACTCACTGCAACCTCCACCTTGTGGGTTTAAGCAATCCTCCTGCCTCAGCCTCCCGAGTAGCTGGGATTATAGACACACACCACCATGCCTGGCTAATTTTTGTATTTTTAGTAGAGATGGGTTTTCACCATGTTGTCTAGGCTGGTCTTAAACTCTTGATCTCAAGTGATCTACCCACCTCGGCCTCCCAAAGTGCTGGGATTACAGGCGTGAGCCACCACACCTGGCCTTTCTTCATATTTTTAAAGTAAATTCCCTTTTATTAGTTTCTCTTTTCTCCTTCTGGACTTCCTGCCATCCAATATTGGACCCCTAATTTATTATCTTTTTGCCTATTGTTCATCTCTTTGTCCTTTTTCTTTTTTCTTTTTTTTTTTGAGATGGAATGTTTCTCTGTCCCCAGGCCCGGAGTGCAGTGGCACAATCTCGGCTCACTGCAGCCTCCGCCTCCTGGGTTCAAGCGGTTCTCGTGCCTCAGCCTCCTGAATAGCTGGACTACAGGTGTGCACCACCACACCCAGCTAATGTTTTGTATTTTTAGTAGAGACGGGGTTTCACCATGTTGGCCAGGCTGGTCTTGAACTCCTGATCTCATGTGATCCACCCGCCTCAGCCTCCCAAAGTGTTGGGGTTGTATACGTGAACCACTGCACCCGGCCTCTTTTGTTTTTCTTTAAGATTTTCTGCTTCCTTTATTACCTGTTTCCTCCTGTTGATTTGCTTAGATCTCGCCTTAAATGCTACAAGCCTTTCTCAGAAATGTGTGGGAACATTTGACTGGTTGGTTTTTTAAATTTTTTAAAATTTAGTTTTTGACACAGGGTTTCACTCTGTCAATCAAACTGGAGTATAGTGGTGCAGTCTTAGCTCACTGCAGCCTTGGACCTCCTGGGCTCTGGTGATCCTCCCACCTCTGCCTCCTGGGTAGCTGGAACTACAGACGTGTGCCACCACGCTTGGCTAATTTTTGTCTTTTTTGTAAAGACAGGGTTTTACCGTGTTGCTCAGGCTGGTCTCAAACTCCTGGGCTCAAGCAATCCGCCTGCCTCGGTCTTTTCTTTCTTTCTTTCTTTTTTGAAAGACAGGGTCTCGCTCTTTCGCTCAGGCTACGGTGCAATGTCATGATTATAGCTCACTGCAGCCTCAACTTCCTAGGCTCAACTGATCCTCCCACCTCAGCCTTCCAGAGTGTTGGGATTACTTACAGGTGTGAACCACTGCACCGGGCCTGGCTGTTTTTATTTAAGGGTGGGGAACTCAGGAGCTGACCAGGAGTCCCTTGTGTGGCCCAGAGACTGATGGGTTCCATCTGGTGGCTAGCTGGTTTTATTCACTGTGGACCCCCATGCCACAATCAGTTTCTGTAGGTCTTTATCTTCACTCTTTATTCTGAAGCAGGGGAGAGGAGAGGGCTTAAGGCTCACCATTCAGGAGGTCAACTTTAATTTCTCTGTCACCCCTCTCCTTGGGGCAAGGGACACCTGGCACCCCTCTGGTAAGTTTGCTTAAGAGAGTAAACCTCAGGGCAGCTGCTAGATGCTGGTAAGAACCTGGGGTTTCCATTTTCCATACAGACTTCCAAGCAGTCTCCCTGTTATCAGCCCCCATCCCCAGATTCCATGCTGTGCCTAATTCCTGAACCTTCCTGGGGTTCTCTGGGGCAAACGGAGAACTTGCTCCACCCCCACCTCCCTGCATTTCAGTGTCACCCGCTTCCTCCCCATGAGATCGTTGACCGCTCCTGTACTTGCCTCTGTCTTTACCTGTTGTGATTTGGGGTGACAGTTGGAGCTCTCCCTGCATCCAGGTTGGAGAACGTGCTTGTACTTCTCATTCTTGGTGTTTGGCATGACTTTTGAGAGGAGTAGGAGAAAAATGTCATGGCTCTGCCATCTTGAAGTCACTTTGATCCTCAAAAGTACTTCATACTCTTTGTAGTGACCTAGTGGAGGTGGGTCATTTACCCCAGTGTACAGAGGGGTCCAAGACAGGCCTGCTGATGACATAGGACCTCAGTTAAAGAGGTTTTGTTTTCCTTTTATTTATATTTTTTTTTATTTTTTTGTGACAGAGTCGTGCTCTGTCTCCCAGGCTGGAGTGCAGTGGCACGATCTCGGCTCACTGCAACCCCCGCCTCCCAGGTTCAAGTGATTCTCCTGCCTCAGCCTCCTGAGTAGCTAGGATTAGGTGTGTGCCACCATGCCCGGCTAATTTTTGTGTTTTTAATAGAGGCGGGATTTCGCCATGTTGGCCAGGCTGGTCTCGAACTCCTGACCTCAGGTGATCTGCCTGCCTCGGCCTCCCAAAGTGCTGGGATTACAGGCGTGAGCCACTGCGCCCAGCCTGTTTTACTTTTAAAGATGAGGTCTCGCTGTGTTGGCCAAGCTGGTCTGGAACTCCCAGCCTCAAGTGATCCTCCAACCTTGGCCTCCCAAACTGTTGGGATTTACAGATGTGAGTCACTGCGCCCAGCCGTAGCCCCCACCTTTGGCTAAAGAGTTTTATGTGGAGGCCACCCTAGCGTGATGCCACTCCACCTGCTGAACACACACACAGGTTTCTGTCAGACCACACCTGACCAGCAGCCCTGAAGGGACCTTGGCATCCATCCCACCCACTCGTGTTTCCATTTCCTGACCTTGTACATGGGCCAAGTGTCCCCAGCACCAAGTAGCTCTGCAGCAGGTGTCTTCAGCCAGGCTTTAAGGTTTGTCTTTTTTTTTTTTTAGACAGGGTCTCGCTCTGTCTCCCAGACTGGAGTCCAATGGTGCAACCACTGCTCACCACAGCCTCAATCTCTCAGGCTCAAGCGATCCTCCCATCTCAGCCTCCCGCGTAGCTAGGACTCCAAGCGCATGCCACCATGCCTGGTTAATTTTTTAAAAATTTTAGTAGGCCAGGTGCAGTGGCTCATGCCTGTAATCCCAGCACTTTGGGAGGCCGAGGCAGGCGGATCACCTGAGGTCAGGAACTCAAGACCTGCCTGGCCAACATGGCAAAACCCTGTCTCCACTGAAACTACAAAAATTAGCCAGGCATCTGTAATCCCAGCTACTTGGGAGGCTGAGGCAAGGAGAATTGCTTGAACCCAGGAGGCAGAGGTTACAGTGAGCCGAGATCGCACCACTGCACTCCAGCCTGGGCAACAGAATGAGACTCCATCTCAAAAAAAAAAAAAAAATTGTAGATAAGGTCTTGCAATGTTGCCCAGGCTGGTCTCAAACTCCTGGGCTCAAGTGATCCTCCCACCTCAGCCTCCCAAAGTGCTGGGATTGCAGGTGCGAGCCACCTCACCCAGCCTTCGGCTGACTTTCTGCATGCTGCTGTTTACTCCTCACAGACCCCTCCCCAACTGAAATCTCTGCTTTTATTAGGTAAAATTAGGATTCTTATTTTTAAGTAACTGTGGTAGCCATAGAACAAAGGGCACAGAGGCTTTTTCTTTCACTTTTAAGTATAATTAATGATTTAATTTTTTTTGAGACAGAGTCTTGCTTGCTCTGTTGCCCAGGCTGGAGTGTAGTGGCATGATCTTGGCTCACTGCAACCTCCGCCTCCCAGGTTCAACAATTCTCCTGCTTCAACCTCCCAAGTAGCTGGGATTACAGGGGTGTGCCACCACGCCCAGCTAATTTTTGTATTTTTAGTAGAGACAGGGTTTCACCGTGTTGACCAGGCTGGTCTTGAACTCCTGACCTCAGGTGATCTGCCTGCCTCTGCCTCCCAAAGTGCTAGGATTACAAGCATGAGCCACTGTACCTGGCCTGTTTTTTTGTTTTGTTTTGTTTTGAGACAGGGTCTTGTTCTGTCGCCCAGGCTGGAGGGCAGCGGCGCGATCTCAGCTCACTGGAGCGCAGTGGCGCCATCTCAGCTCACTGCAGCCTCTGCCTCCCAGGTTCAAGCGATTCTCCTGCCTCAGTCCAGAGTAGCTGGGATTACAGGTGTGTGCCACCACGCCTGGCTAATTTTTGTATTTTTGGTAGAGACGGGGTTTCACCATGCTGGCCAGGCTGGTGAAAGCAAGATCTTCAAGAAGTATTTGTATTCCCATGTTCATAGCAGCATGATTCACAATAACTGAGAAGTGGAAGCAACCCAGGTGTCCATCAGTCAGAGGAAAGGATAAGCAAAATGCGCGCACACTCTCAATGGGATATTATTCAGCCTTCAGCAGGAAGGAAATCCTATCACATGCTACAGTGTGGAGGGACCTTGAGGACATTATGCTAAGTGAAATAAGCCGGTCATGAAAAAGCAAATCCTGTATGATTTCACTATATAAGATACCTAGAGTAGTCAAATTCAGAGAGACAGAAAGTAGAACCCTGCTTGCCAGGGCCTAGAGGGAGTGGGGAAGGGGAGTTGTTGTAGAGTTTCAGTTTCACATGATGAAAACGTTTTGGAGATGATTGGCGGTGATGGTAGCACAACACCCTACCGAAAATGTTTAAGATGGTCAATGTTATGTGTATTTCACCACAATTTTTAAAAAGTCACCAGGGGCTGATGACCTTTAAAGAGGCTCTCCAGATGGTTGCTGGCCCCTGGGCGCTTCTTTGAGACTGTTGAATCTTTAACTCTTAGGTTTCACGCTATGATAAACAAACCAACAACAACAAAAAAAGTGTGGCTCATGTCTGTAACCCCAGCACTTCGGGAGGCTGAGGCCAGTGGATCACTTGAGGTCAGGAGTTCAAGACCAGCTTGGCCAACATGGTGAAACCCTGTCTCTACCAAAAAATACAAAAATTAGCCGGGCGTGATAGCACATGCCTGTTGTCCCAGCTACTGGGGAGGCTGAGGCGGGAGGATTGCTAGAACCCAGGAGGCAGAGATTGCAGTGAGCCAAGATTGTGCCACTGCATTCCAGCCTGGGTGACAGAGCAAGACTCCATCTCAAAACAAACAAACAAAAAGCAAAGTTGGGGGGAAACAAGAAGGGGGGCACTCTTGCCGAGTCTCAAAGATTAAGAAACAACAGAAAAAAAGTGGTCCCATCTGGAGCCAGGATGTCCAGCCACTTGTCCACTGAGTCCCCACCCCGCTGCCTGGACCCTGGGGTCTCTGGGCTTCCCTCCCCTCTGGGGAGGAGAGATTGTACAACCCCAAGCCTTGCAGAGTGGAGCAGTGCCACATCTGGCCTCTAGAACCAAAACAAATCTGGGTCACTTTTTAAAAAAAAGAGTTAGAAATTGGTCTTCCCTTACCTCCCCTCACTGTCACCCCAGCCCTGCAAAGAGAGGGCACCACTGCTCTCCATTTGTAATCTGGGCTCATAGGCACTCAGACCTAGAAGGTGCATGGGTCTTTATTTTACAGATGAGGAGATGGAGGCCCAAAACAGGGGGTGCAAGGAGCAAGGTGCATAGGGTCACACAGCTGACTGGGAACGGAGCCCAAATGCACCCTGGTTCTTTACACCCCTCCTCCTAAGAAACAGCTGTGCGCTGGAGTCCCATAGGCAATGAGCAGGGCTGTCAGCTTCAGTATCACTGCCTCTCCTGCAAGGGGACAGGAGAGTAAGACCAGTGACTGCCTGGAGGGGCCACAGCCAGACTAGAGGAACACAGCCAGCAGGTGAAGTTTATCTTTAGGTATCTCTCTGCATTCCTCTGCCCTTCAGCATCTCACGTCATCCTCAGCACAGAGCCCCGTTTCAGGAACTCACACTCAGACTCCGAGATGGAAATTGGTTCCTTTCCAGGGGTTTACAGAGTCCAGTGCTGAGCATCAAGAAATGAATCTCAATATGTACAACTATTATGGATCCATAAAAATTAAAAATCAAAAAAGTAAAATAAAGTGTAAGAAATGAATCTCAGCTGTTGGAATGCTACTCATCATAGCCCCTAAGTGAAGGAGAGATTTCAAGGTTATTGCTAAGGAAGGGCATTCCTGAAGTCCTTAAATCATGATTCCCAAACTTGGGTTATTCATATTTTATCTGCACAATTATTACCATACCTTGCATTCCACTTGTACAGATATTTAATATTTCTTTATATCACCTTAGCTTTTGAATTTAATTTACATTATTTTATTATAGAATCTATAATATATTATTATATTATTGTATATTAAAAGGAATTGCTATCACTACTATATATGGAACACCGGATTCACTTGCCATAAATAGAAGGTAGCTATAAAAAGATACAAAGGGGCCGGGCACGGTGGCTCACACCTGTAATCCCAGCACTTTGGGAGGCCGAGGCAGGCAGATCACGAGGTCAAGAGTTTGAGACCAGCCTGGCCAACATGGTGAAATCCCGTCTCTACTAAAGATACAAAAAATTAGCTGGGCATGGTGGCACGCACCTATAATCCCAGCTACTTGGGATGGTGGGGTAGAATTCCAAGGTCAGTGACACACTGGCAGGACACACTGGGGGCCTCACAAAGGAGGGGCTCAGCAGGAGAGCCCACCCTTCACTCCTGCCTCTGGCTCTTCTCCGCAAAGCCCAGGCATTTCTCTCTTTTTTTTTTGGAACTGTCTTTTTGAGATAGGGTCTCACTGCAGCCTGGACCTCCTGGGCTCAAGCAATCCTCCCGTCTCAGCTTCCCGAGTAGCTGGGACTACAGGCACGTACCCATCATGCCCGACTCATTTTAACATTTTTGTAGAGATGAGGTCTCTCTAAGTTGTCCAGGCTAGTCTCAAGCTCCTGGGCTCAAGCAGTCCTCCCACGGTGGCCTCCCAAAGTGCTGAGATTACAGGTGTGAGCTACCACACCTGGCAAAAGTTCTTATTTTTACTACTCTGGTTGAATCACAAGTATTTTCTGTTTGGTCATTTGTAAAATGCAGCTATTCTGGGTATCCCACAGGAGTGCTGTAAGGACAGGACTGAATAATGACTAGAAATGCATTTTTTCCACCGTGGTATGTGATTGTCATGGGTAATTAACACTAAGCCCAGGTGGGTGAGTGAGCTGAGGGGCTATAGGGACAGAGCACAGTGTGCACAGAGCTCTGGGAAGACACAGGTGCAGTTGGTGGCCTGCAGACCCCTTCCATTGGATCATTCCATGTGAAGGGGAGTTGGGGCCGTTTGGAGGTAGCAGAGTTCTGGGTGGCAGCCAGGCCCCCAAATAAGCCTCACTACTCTGGCTTTTTTTTTTTTTTTTTTATGAAAAGGAGTCTCGCTCTGTTACCCAGGCTGGTGTACAGTGGTGCAATCGGCTCACTGCAACCTCTGCCTCCCAGGTTCAAGTGATTCTCCTGCCCCAGCCTCCTGAGTAGCTGGGATTACAGGCTACCACCACCACGCTGGCTAATTTTTGTATTTTTAGTAGAGACGGGGTTTCACCATGTTAGCCAGGCTGGTCTCGAACTCCTGACCTCAGGTGATCCACCCATGTTGGTCTCCCAAAGTGCTGGGATTATGGGCATGAGCCACCGCACCCAGCCTCCTCTGGGTTTTTCAGGAGAATCTGCTGCCTCTACTGCAGCCACGCCTTTAAAAAGTGGAAAAACCGGCAGGCAAGAGGCTGCAGATGGCTTGACCAACCTCCCTGTTCCCTTCTAGGTACCAGGATCATCTATGACCGGAAATTCCTGATGGAGTGTCGGAACTCACCTGTGACCAAAACACCCCCAAGGGATCTGCCCACCATTCCGGGGGTCACCAGCCCTTCCAGTGATGAGCCCCCCATGGAAGCCAGCCAGAGCCACCTGCGCAATAGCCCAGAAGATAAGCGGGCGGGCGGTGAGTGTCGGGGCTTGGCCAGGCTCTACCTTGGGAAAGGGAATGTATGAGGCTCCTGGAGTCCATCCACTGGGGGCAATTCCAGGGAGGAGGAACAACAGGGACTCTGCCCTACCCTCTAAGGAGCAGCTCAGAGCCCAGAGGGTGAGAGTAGGGGTGGGGAGGTTGAACTCTTCATTGGTAGCAACTTTCCCCCTGAAAGGGGCCCAGGCACCTCAGGAAAGGTGATCTGGCACCTTTGGGTCATGTAATTAGCGGGGAGTTTGTTTGAAATGGCAGCGGCTGCACACAGCAACTTTCGTAAGCATGTGCCTCTGTATAATTGTCTCTGAAGCATTTCCACTTGGAACACACCCATGATGTTTGTGGTGCAAGAGACAAGTTATCAAAGACACAGTGTACTTGTCCTTTGGGAAATTATATGTCTACAAGATAAGAAATACATCCGGGATGCCTCCTGTTGGGCTGTTGGTCCCCTAGTGGATCTTCATGAAGGCAGGTAGAAACAATGCAGCCAGTTGTCTCTGCCGATTTGACATTTGGTAGCTGGGTCCTTCCTGCTGTCCCCACCTCCCGAGTAATTAGAGCAGCCACTGTGGTAGTGGTGTAAGTGAATGCACTCTTTGTGGCATCCTGACTGGCTTGGCAGAGTGTTGGAGTTCTCTGCTGCAAGATGATGCAGCATAAGCACTTCCGGGCAACTATAATCAGATTGGAACCCGCCGACCCTTCACCCGGAAGGCCGTACCCCAGGCCCAGACAGGAAGCAGCAGGGACCTCAGCTTGGCTGGCTCTGCTAACAGCAGCAGAATTAATCTCCCCAGGGCCTGCAGGACATGATTCATAATTACCTTGGGAACCTCACAGTACAAGACAGACAATAGTTGCCTGTGTCTTAGTCTGTTTTTTTATGGCTGTAACTGAATACCTGAGACTGGGTAATTTATGAAGAAAAATGGTTTATTTCTTACAGTTCTAGAGGCTGGGAAGGCCAAGGGCATGGTGCCCGCATCTGCTGGGCTTCTGGTGAGGGCCTCCTGCTGCATCATAACATGGCGGAAGGCATCACAGGGCAAGAGGGGCACATGAGAGAGAACCAAGCTGCCTTTTTATAACACTCTTGTGATAACTAGCCCACTCCTGTGGTAACCCATTAATCCAGGAATGGGCTAATCCATTCATGAGGACAGAGCCTTCATGACCCAATTACCTCTTAACGGCCCCAACTCTTAATACTGTTACATTGGGGATTAAGTTTCTGTATGAATTTCAAACCATAGCATTCCAGCCCTGGACCCCCCAAACTCATGTCCTTCTCATATACACATATATTAATTTGGTCCCCATATCCCCAAAGACTTAACACGTTGCAGTCCTAGCTCAAAAGTTCAAAGTCCAGAATTTCATCTGAATCAGACAAGACTCACAGCATGATTCATCTCAAGCTTAATTTCCTTCCAGCTGTGAGCCTGTGAAACTAAACAAGTTATCTACTTTCAAAAAATAGGGGCTGTCCCTGGCCCCTAAAAACATCAGCTGGTGGCCAGGCACAGTGGCTCATGCCTGAAATCCCAGCACTCTGGGAGGCTGAGGCAGGATGAATACTTGAGGCCAGAAGTTCAATACCAGCCTGGGCAACAATGCAAGACCCCATCTCTACATAAAATTTTAAAATTAGCCAGGCATGGTGGTGCATGCCTGTAATCCCAACTACTTGGGAGGCTGAGGCCAGAGGATCATTTGAGCCCAGGAGGTCAAGGCTGCAGTGAGCTATGATTGCGTAACTGCACGCCAGCCTGGCCAAGAGAGTGAGACCCTGTCTCTAAAGAAAAAAGCAAAAACAACAAGAGTCAGACGAAATGATATAGTCTGGATATTTGTCCCTGCCCAAATCTCATGTTAAATTGTAATCCCCAGTGTTGGAGGTAGGGCCTGGTGGGAGGTGTTTGGGTCGTGGGGACAGATCCCTCACAGCTTGGTGCTGTCCTCATGATAGTGAATGAGTTCTCTCGAGATCTGGTTGTTGTAAAGTGTGGGAGCGCCACTCCACCCTCTCTCTTGCTCCTGCTTCCTCCATGTGACATGCCTGCTCCCGCTTTGCTTTCCACCATGACGAAAAGCCCCCTGAGGCCTCCCCAGAAGCCAAGCTGAGGCCGGCGTCATGCTTGTACAGCCTGCAGAACCGCGAGCCAGTTAAACCTCTTTTCTTGGCTGGGCACGGTGGCTCGCACCTGTAATCCCAGCACTTTGGGAGGCTGAGGAGGGTGGATCATCTGAGATCAGGAGTTCGAGACCAGCCTGGCCAACATGGCAAAACCCCGGGTCTACTAAAAATACAAAAATTAGCTGGGTGTGGTGGTGGGTGCCTATAATCCCAGCTACTCTTTTGGGAGGCTTAGGTAGGAGAATCGCTTGAACCCAGGAGGCGGAGGTTGCAGTGAGCCGAAATTGGGCCACTGCACTCCAGCCTCGGAGACAGAGTGAGACTCCATCTCAAAAAAAAAAAACAAAAAAACAAAAAAAAACTTATTTTCTTTATAAATTACCCAACCTCAGGTATTTCTTTATAGCAATGAAAGAATGGCCTCATATACCAAGCATTCACCCATTGTTGACCTGGCCCTCTGTCCCCTCTCTCCCCAGGTGAAGAGTCACAGTTTGAGATGGACATTTAAAGCACCAGCCATCGTGTGGAGCACTACCAAGGGGCCCCTCAGGGCCTTCCTGGGAGGAGTCCCACCAGCCAGGCCTTATGAAAGTGATCATACTGGGCAGGCGTTGGCGTGGGGTCGGACACCCCAGCCCTTTCTCCCTCACTCAGGGCACCTGCCCCCTCCTCTTCGTGAACACCAGCAGATACCTCCTTGTGCCTCCACTGATGCAGGAGCTGCCACCCCAAGGGGAGTGACCCCTGCCAGCACACCCTGCAGCCAAGGGCCAGGAAGTGGACAAGAACGAACCCTTCCTTCCGAATGATCAGCAGTTCCAGCCCCTCGCTGCTGGGGGCGCAACCACCCCTTCCTTAGGTTGATGTGCTTGGGAAAGCTCCCTCCCCCTCCTTCCCCAAGAGAGGAAATAAAAGCCACCTTCGCCCTAGGGCCAAGAGTTGGGCCCCGTCTGAGCTTTTTTCAACTCTGTTTGGTAACTAACACCAGCTGCTATCTGTACAGTGCTGCTGCTTTTTTTTTTTTTTTTTTTTTGAGACGGAGTTTCACTCTTGTGGCCCAGGCTGGAGTGCAATGGCGCAATCTCAGCTGATTGCAACCTCCACCTCCTGGGTTCAAGCAATTCTCCTGCCTCAGCCTCCCGAGTAGCTGGGATTACAGGTGCCCGCCACCATGCCCAGCTAGTATTTTTTTGTATTTTTGTAGAGACAGGGTTTCACCATGTTGGCCAGGCTGGTCTCGAACTCTTGACCTCAGGTGATCCACCCGCCTTGGCCTCCCAAAGTGCTGGGATTACAGGTGTAAGCCACCGTGCCCAGCCTTGTACAGTGCTTCTAAAGCGTGGGCCTGTCCTTATTTGATTCTGACTCTGATCCTGTGGGTAAGTAGAACAACTGTTATCCTCACTTTACAGCTGAGAAGACTGGCACAAGAACAGGTAAAATCGTGCAGCTGCTGAATGGCACATGGGACTGGATTTGAGTCCTGCTACTCTTTTTTTTTTTTTTTTCCGAGACGAAGTCTTGCTCTGTCTCCCAGGCTGGAGTGCAGTGGCACAGTCCTAGCTCACTGCAGCCTCAAACTCCTAGGTTCAAGCAATCCTCCTGCTTCAGCCTCCTGAGTAGCTGGGACTACAAGTTCACACCACCACCTGGCTAAGTTTTTTGTGAGTAGAGATAAGGTCTTGCTATGTTGCCCAGGCTGGTCTTGAACTCCTGGTCTCAAGTGATCCTCCCACCTCAGCGTTCCAAATTGTTGGGATGACAGATGTGAGCCACCACGCCCAGCCCATACCCTGGTATTCTTGATCTCTTGTTTTTCAGTAGCAAGGCAGCTGCCTCGCTTCTGTGCTTTCTCCCCCTTCTCTCAACCCCAAGCCTGTCGAGTTTGGCACCTTCCCGTCAGGGCCCATTCCATGCAAGAGTCAAAGGGAAGAGCCCCTGCCTTGGCCAGTGTGGCATCTGATCTGCGGGCACTCGACCTTTGCCAATTGATCGCTTTGTGTGAGCTGTCATGTGTGGCACAAACACAGACAAGCTCTCTGCCTTGAAAATTTCATTGAAATGTAAGATTTGCCCGAAAGTAAAGGTAGCATAGGCTGGGCACAGTGGTTCAAGCCTGTAATCCCAGGATTTTGGGAGGCTGAGGTGGGAGGATTGATTGAGGCCAGGAGTGGGAGACCAGTCTGGGCAACGCAGTAAGACCCCGTCTCTACAGAAAATTTTTTAAGTAGCCAGACATGGTGGTGCACACCTGTGGTCCTAGCCACTCAGGAGGCTGAGGTGGGAGGAACACTTGAGCCCAGGAGTTCAAAGCTGTGGTGAGCCACGATTGTGCCACTGCACTCCAGTGACAGAGTAGAGGCTTCATGGAGGTGATGCTACAGCTGGACCCTGGGAATGAGTGGGTTGGGGGAGGCAGGGGCCCAGTGTTGCCAAGCTCAGATGGTCTTGGGGAGCTGGGGTGTTCAGGGAAGAGACATAGTAGCCTGCTTTGGTCAGAGCAGGCAGTTTGTATGGGTGAGAATGACTTTAACAAATGGCCAAAGAAGGGTGAGGTTTCTGAAGGTCTTGAATGGTAACTAGGCAGAGATCTTTGCTGAGAAGCAATAGGAATTTCTTATTACAGGGTATGCTGGTGGGTGGATGGCCTATGAACAAGAGGCAGTGGCTGGCATTTACTTAACAAGCTCCGAGCACATAGCACTTGTCCACCTGCTGTTTGGAGAGCAGCAGACCTTCAGTGGCCAAGTTGCTTGCTTGGCCTTTTCTATAGCTGGGTTGCAGCCCCCTTCCCTCACAAGGACTGAAAGCAGCTGAGTCCAGGTGCATGGTGATGTGTGGCAGGCCTGGCCTTTGGCACGTTGCCTCCAAGCACGCAGCAAAGTCTGTCCGTATGGATGGAAAAGAGAGGCTAGGGATGGGCCACCACTGGTGCAAAGAATAATGAAAGCTTCAAGTAGGCTCAAAGGAGAGATTGGGTCAGCCTTCCCAATCCCGTAACTTTCCAATAAAAGCATCATGCTCCAAGGCCAGGCACAGTGGTTCCTGCCTGTAATCCCAAAGCTTTGGGAGGTCAAGGTGGGAGGATCACTTGAGGCCAGGAGTTCGAGACCAGCCTGGGCAACATAGTGAGACCCCATCTCTACTACCAAAAAAATTTACAAATTAGCTAGACATGGTGGTGCACACCTGTAGTCCCAGCTGCTTGGGAAGCTGGGGAGGGAGGATCACTTTAGCTCAGGAGATCGAGGCTGCAGTGAGTTATGATTGCACTACTGCACTGCAGCCTGAGCAACAGAACAAGACCTTGTCTCTTAAAAAAAAAAAAACGCGGCCAGACGAGGTGGCTCATGCCTGTAATCCCAGCACTTTGGGAAGCCAAGGTGGGCAGATCACTTGAGGTCAAGAGTCTGAAACCAGCCTGCCCAACATGGCAAAACCCCGTCTGTACTAAAAATACAAAACTTAGCCAGGCGTGGTGGTGCACGCATGTAATCCCAACTACTCGGGAGGCTGAGGCACGAGAATCGCTTGAACCTGGGAGGCGGAGGTTGCAGTGAGCCGAGATCGCACCACTGCACTCCAGCCTGGGTGACAGAGTGAGACACTGACTCACAGAAAAAAAAAAAAATCTCACTCTGACATCCCACCAGAGGTCTTGCCAGCCTACAGGTCCATTTCCCTTCTTGGTCTTACGTCTCAGGGTCTAAGAGACAGGTAAATAAATCATTAAAAAATGATGTATCTGATAGTTCAGGGGCCACAGTAAGATAATTTTTCAGGCTGAGCATGGTGGCTCATGCCTGTAATCCAGCATTTTGGAAGGCCAAGATGAGGATCACTTGAGGCCAGGAGTTTGAGACCAGCCTGGGCAACATGGCAAGACCCCCATCTCTATGAAAAATAGAGATAAAAAGAAGAAATAAAAAAGTGTGTCCCTTTCCCACTGAGCAAAAGCATCCTCCTGAGGACCCCAGGTGTGTTTTGAGTGTCAATTCTGGCCGGGTGCTGTGGTGTGGCCATGATCGACAACACAGTCCTTGTCCACAAGGAAGTTAAAATCTTAAGGAAAGCGAGACTGTTGTGGTCCAGCTGAACATGCCTGTGCATTGAGACCTAAAGCTCATAGAGATGCTCACTCTAGGGGACCATCACAGTTTGGCCCCTGCCACCCTCCAACATCACCAAAACCACTGTTGTTGCAATTGGGGAACACTCTGACAACTGTTGGACAGATACCACATGCCAAGACCCAGAAGAGACAAATGCATGTTTTTAGCTATGTTGTGTATTCTCAAAGAGCTTACAACCTGATCAGGAGACGAGAAGTATTCCAAGTAGTAAATGGTCATTGGAAATACAAAGCAATACTTATGTGCTTGTCCATTGAATGGAGGGGAGGCTGTGCATGTCCCAAGTTAGAGGAATCTGAGGTTTGAGAAGCCTTCACGAAGGAGGTGTGGCTTGATAGGACTGGTAGGATTCCTGCGTCATGAATGGCGTAAGGTACAGGAGCCCCCAGGAATAGGTCAACTGGAGAAATGTGGATGCTGTTAGGCTTTCTGTGCACAAATGAAGAGGCTGGCCTAGCAGTGGAGATGGGAATGGGCTGTATTGAGAAGAAAGACTGACACCCTTGGGTGAGGTAGAGGGAGGAGGGATGTGTTGAAGGTTTCTGGTCCAGGAGATCCAGGCAAGAGGTCAGAAAGGAATTGCTGGTTTAGGAATTATGCAGAGTGAACAGCAAGGAGACCAAAGATGGAACTGTGGGGAATGTTCCCAGTGAGCATGAGTGGAGTGTGGGGAGCTGAACTGCTGGTGATTTTCCAACCTCCAGGCTGCTATTGACACAGCTGTGGGCATCGCTCCAACTCCCAGGTAGCCAGACAGGTATCGACCAGGCCGCCTTTTTCCTGGCGCCTTTCAGTGCGACATCTATCAAGATGACTCAAGGAAAAGCCTAAGGACATGTGGCCAATCAAGAAGGCTCATACTTGGCTGGGCACGGTGGTTCACGCCTGTAATCCCAGCACTTTGGGAGGCTGAGGCAGGCGGATCACCTGAGGTCAGGAGTTGCAGACCAGCCTGACCAACATGGAGAAACCCCATCTCTACTAAAAATACAAAATTAGCTGGGCGTGGTGGCGCATGCCTGTAATCCCAGCCACTTGGGAGGCTGAGGCAGGAGAATCGCTTGAACCCCGGAGGCGGAGTTTGCAGTGAGCCGAGATCACGCTGTTTGCACTCCAGCCTGGGCAACAAGAATGAAACTCCATCTCAAAAAAAGAAAAAAAAGAAGGCTCATAGTCTTGCCACCTAAAAACCAGTACTTCCAGAAGGGTGGGATTCAGCAAAAGACTCCAAGTGGTCTTTTCCAGGTAAATCCAACCTCTGGTTTTTTTGTTTTGTTTTGTTTTTTTGAGACGGAGTCTCACTGTCACGCAGGCTGGAGTGCAGTGCCACAATCCCGGCTCACTACAACCTCTGCTGCCCTGGTTCAAACAATTCTCCTGTCTCAGCCTCTCAAGTACCTGGGACTACAGGCATGTGCCACCACGCCCAGCTAGTTTTTCTACTTTTAGTAGAGTCAGGGTTTTGCCATGTTGACCTGGCTGGTCTCGAACTCCCAGCTTCAAGTGATCACTGCCCTCATCAGCCTCCCAAAGTGCTGGGATTAAAGGCATGAGCCACAGCTCGGGCCCCAACTGAACTCTGATTTAACAAGCATTTACTAAGCGTCTAGTAAATGCTAGATCTTGAGGCAATACAAGAGAATTTTTAAACAAATGCCTGAGAAAATGTGACATAATCCAAGGAGGCATGATTAGGTACAAATAAATGGAGTGATAAATGTGACAGGTCAGCAAGACAGGGACGATCAGTGACAGTGGGAAGAATATGTAGACTATAGAAGAAATTGAAGTTGGGCGCAGTGATTCATGCCTGTAATCCCAGCATTTTGGGAGGCTGAGGTGGAGGTGATCTCTTGAGGCCAGGGGTTCAAGACCAGCCTGCCCAACATGGTGAAACCCTGTCTCTACTAAAAATACAAAAATTAGTTGAGCATGGTGGTGGGCGCCTGTAGTCCCAGCTACTCGGGAGGCTGAGGCAGGAGAATCTCTTGAACCCAGGAGGTAAAGGTTTCAGTGAGCCAGGATTGCACCACTGCACCCCAGCCTGGGCGACAGAGTGAGACTCTGTTTAAGAAAAAAGAAAAAGGACTGGGTGCAGTGGCTCACGCCTGTAATCCCAGCACCTTGGGAGGCCAAGGCAGGCGGATCACCTGAGGTCGGGAGTTCGATACCAGCCTGACTAACATGGAGAAACCCCGTCTCTACTGAAAATACAAAATTAGCTGGACGTGGTGGCGCATTCCTGTAATCCCAGCTACTCGGGAGGCTGAGGCAGAAGAATTGCTTGAACCCAGGAAATGGAGGTTGCAGTGAGCTGAGATCGTGCCACTGCATTCCAGCCTGGGTAACAGAGTCAAAAAAAGGAGAAGGAATTGCATTCACAAAAGTGTGTCTAGAATGAATCCAGCATGTGTAAGATACTAGGATATTTTTAGTCAGTTGTGTGTTGCTGGGTTGGGTAGCACGTAGTAGGTTTAGATAGCATGGGATTTAATTGTTGGAACCAAAAAAAAAAAGCATGAATGGAATGTCAAAAGAAAAAAAAAGATGGAATGTCTTCTGCCTGTCTGGAGCTTCACTAAAATCTTATTTAGGATCTCCATAATTTATGAGGTTAGTATTTTTATTCCTGTTTTACACATGACCATGGCTAGTGAGGGCCAGAATTAGAATTCCAACTCCTGTATTTTCAGCCCCAAAACCTATCAGGTTTTGTTTTGTTTTGTTTTAGAGACGGGGATCTTGCCATGTTGCCCAGGCTGGTCTTGGATTCCCGGCCTCAAGTGATCTTCCTGCCTCGGCCTCCCAAAGTGTTGCGATTACAGGCATAAGCCACCATGCGCAGCCTCCAAAACCTATGCTCTTAGTGCCACACTGTGAATAGAACTGAAGTCTGGGCTGTTCTGACTCTGAGCTATAGGCAACTGGGATACTGGTTGGAGATGTCAGAACAGGCAGTGACAGGTGAGTGTCAAGGTAAAGCAGGTAGAGGAGAGACCTGGAGCCAGGAAGTCATTCAGGTGTTTGGTGAGTTGCTTAGAATTCATGGGTTTGGGGAAGTGAGGTAGTGAAAACAAAGGAGTATAAGGTTGATAGCCTTTTCTCATTTACTCAAGGGCTATTTGTTGAGTGCCTACTGTGTGCCAGGCACTGTTTTAAGCACTAGGGGTAGAGTGGATAACACAAAGCCCTGCCTTCAAGGAGCAGACCTTCCAATGATGCAGCAGCCATGTGTGCACTCTGCTTTCATTGCAGACATCACAAACCTGACCTCCTCGAAATAAGGTGCAGAATTGAGCATGACCAACACTTCCTCTCCGCAAGCAGAGGACATGTGCTCCTTGCTGTGGGACAATCAGTCCTGCATGGAGGAACAAGCACCCCAGTAACAGCATAGACGGAGATAACTGAATAAAGCCCTGTTTTTTCGTCAGCAGGAAAAGGCAAGGAACCCGCTTTCTGCCGGTTAACCGGGGGGAAAGTGCAACCCTTAAGGATTAGGTTTTGCTGAGTTTAACACACTCCAGAGAGTATGCTGCAGGGAGAGTAGGGAAGAGAAGGGCTCTTGGGCCACAGCAAAGTGAAGGTGAATCCCTCCAACCCCCAGCTGCAAATCAGAGGCCGTTTCCTATGCAAAACAGCATAGGAAGACGTTTTTCTAAGGAGGAGCCTTAAATCCGTCCTTGTTTGTTCCTTGGTCTTGGGTTCTGCGCGGAATGATGTTGCAAGCCTCGTCTTTGTGCTGCCGCCTGCTGGTAGAGTTCATTAAAGCAAGGAAGGCTGGGTACGTCTAGGAAATGGTTATTGCACTCCGTTAGGTGAAGAAAAGTGAGGATGCCATATGTATTCAAGACTTAAGCACATTTCTCCACATTTTTTCTATCGAGATCATGCAACTGTATCCTCATTGTCTGAAAGGAATACTTAGGAAGAAGTTTTCCAGACACAGTGGGCAGGATTGTGTTGTGGGGCAGAACCAGACATAGTATAGAATCTGCCTGCGATGCCCAGACTTGGTTTGGGACAAGCTAGTTATAGCCCTGCTTCCTCCCTTCGACCAAGCGCAGCCATGCACATGGTCATACTGCCCTTTGATCCTCGACCCATCTCTCTGGCCAGCAGCCGCCAGCTGACTCTATCTGCCAAGGAATTCCAGCCAGGAACACTGTTTACTCTTGTCTGGCATTTCTCAACCCGAGCTTCTACCATGAGGTTGCATTTGAACATTTTCCTAGGTACTGCACTACCTTCCAAAAACAGTCAGGACTCTGGGCTGTTCAAAACTTCTTCCTTAGCCTCTATAGGATAGGTTTCAGATTTGCATAGGAATCCTGGATATTCAGGTTATCCTCCAACTCCTGGGACAGTTTCAGCTTTTTTTTTTTTTTTTTTTTTTTTGACACGGAGTTCCGCTCTTGTCTCCCAGGCTGGAGTGCAATGGCACAATCTCGGCTCACTGCAACCTCCGCCTCCCAGGTTCAAGCAATTCTCCTGCCTCAGCCTCCCAAATAGCTGGGATTACAGGTGCCTGCCACCACACCTGGCTAATTTTCGCATTTTTAGTAGAGATGAGGTTTCACCATGTCGGCCAGGCTGGCCTCGAACTCCAGACCTCAGGTGATCCGCCCTCCTCGGCCTCCTAAAGTGTTGGGATTACAGGCGTGAGCCACCGTGCCTGGCCTAGTTTCAGCTTCTGAGCCTTTCAGGAAGCAACCAAAAAACCCATTCACAGCTCCCCAGCCTCTTCACTCCAATGAGGGACATCTACAGCATAGGAGAAAGCTCTGATGACCTACACAGCGACACTGATACCCAAGTAGTCTTTTACGTTTTTAAATGTGATTTTTAATTGTTTTATTATAAATTGACAAATTACAATTGTATACATTTATGAGGTACAAAGTGATGTTATGACATATGTATACAGTGCAGACTGATTAAATCAAGCTGTTTAACATATCAATCACCTCAAATGCTTACTTTTTTTTTCTTTTTTGAGACAAGCTCTTGCTCTGTCACCCAGGCGGGAGTGCAATGATGTGAGCAGAGTTCATTGTAGCCTCACCTCCTTGGATCAAACAATCCTCCTGCCTCAGCCTCCCATGTAGCTGGGGCCACAGGCATAAACCACTGCACTTGTCTACTTTTTTTTATTTTTTTGTAGAGACAGGGTCTTGCCTTGTTGCCCAGGCTTGCATAATCATTTTTTTGTGGTGAGAACATTTGAATTTTATTCTCGGCAATTTTGTGTATTTTTCTCTTTTTTTTTCTTTAAATTTCTTTTTTTTTTTTTTTTTTTGAGACGGAGTCTGGCTCTGTTGCCCAGGCTGGAGTGCAGTGGCGTGATCTCAGCTCACTGCTAGCTCCGCCTGCCAGGTTCACACCATTCTCCTGCCTCAGCCTCCCAAGTAGCTGGGACTACAAGTGCCCGCCACCTTGCCCGGCTAATTTTTTGTATTTTTAGTAGAGATGGGGTTTCACCATGGTCTCGATCTCCTGACCTCATGATCCACCCACCTTGGCCTCCCAAAGTGCTGGGATTACAGGCGTGAGCCACTGCACCTGGCCCTTTTTTTTTTTTTTTTTTTTTCTTTGAGACGAAGTTTTGCTCTAGTCGCCCAGGCTGGAGTGCAATGGTGGGATCTTGGCTCACTGCAACCTCTGCCTCCTGGGTTCAAGCGATTCTCCTGCCCCAGCCTCCCGAGTAGCTGGGATTACAGGCACCCACCACCACACCCAGCTAATTTTTGTATTTTTAGTAGAGATGGGGTTTCACCATGTTGGCCAGGCTGGTCTCAAACTCCTGACCTAAGTTGATCTGCCTGCCTCAGCCTCCCAAAGTGCTGGGATTACAGGCATGAGCCACCATGCCCAGCCACTTTAAATTTCTTTAAAAAAAATTTTTTTTTTTACTCTTAATCCCATGACAGATTACTCTTGGCAATTTTGAAATACATAATATACTATTATTAACTATAGGACATCCAAATACTCCTTAAGCCTGATGAACTTTGCCACAGTCTTATTTAATTCACTAACAGATTATGTTAGTAATGCTGGTCTGATTTGGGATAAATAGCATGACTTCCTCTCTATTTTCCTCCATAGATGGCATCTATCTATCTGTCTTGTTCCATTTTGTGTTGCTATAACAGAATACCTGAAGCTGGTTTATCTGTAAAGAAAAGAGGTTTATTTGGCTCATGATTCTGGTGGTTGGAAAGTCCAAGGGCATGGCACAAGCATCTGCTTGACTTCTGGTAAGGACTCATGCTGTGTCACAACAAGGCAGAGAAGAAGAAGAGGAAGTGGGTATGTGCAAGAAAGGGGCCAAACACCTTACTTTAAAACAATATGAGCTCGAGGGAACTAATCTATTCCTGTGTGAACTAACCCAGTCTCCAGAGAAAGACATTACTCTATCCTAGCCCTGTGTGGGGGTGAGTGCCCCTAGTCCCAGCTACTCGGGAGGCTGAGGTGGGAAAATTGCTTGGGCTCAGCTTGGAATTTGAGGCCAGCTTGGGCAACAGAGTAAGACTCTATCTCAAAAATAAATTTTAAAATAGGCCAGGCACAGCGACTCATGCCTGTAGTCCCAGCACTTTGAGAGACTGAGGCGGGAGGATCACTTGAGCTCAGGAATTCCAGACCAGCCTGGGCAACATAGTGAGACTTTGTCTCTACTAAAAATAAAAAATAAAAAATTAGCCAGGTACAATGGTGTGCACCTGTAGTCCCAACTACTCAGCAGACTGAGGATAACTTGAGCAACTACTCAGAGGCAGGAGGATCACTTGAGCCAGGTAGATGGAGGCTGCAGTGAGCTATGATTGCACCACTGTACTCCAGTCTGGGCAACAAAGCGAGACCCTGTCTCAAAAATAAATAAATGAAAAAACACATGTTAAAAGAAAAAAAAGGGGCCGGGCACAGTGGCTCATGCCTGTAATCCCAGCACTTTGGGAGGCCGAGGTGGGTGGATCACCTGAGGTCAGGAGTTTGAGACCAGCCTGGGCAACATGGTGAAACCTCGTCTCTACTAAAATTACAAATATTAGCCAGGCACGGTGGTGGGTGTCTGTAATCCAGCTACTCGGGAGGCTGAGGCAGGAGAATCGCTTGAGCCCAGGAGGTGGAGGTTGCAGTGATTGTGCCATTGCACAATGGCAAGATTGTGCCATTGCACTCCAGCCTGAGTGACACAGAGAGACTGTCTCAAAAAAAAAAAAAAAGGACATTAATCTACCTTAACATAATCACATCTTAAAGGCACCACCTCCCAACACCATTATATTGGCAATGAACTTTCAACATGAGTTTCGATATGGACAAACCACACCCAAACCATAGCACCGTTTAAACTAGATTAGCATTTTGCATTACAAAGGGCCAACATACTGCCCAGGGGCAAAAGATTATCTTGTGTGGGAACCTTGTAGTGTGTATACCATGAGGCCTACTACCTGTGTCTCTTCAGTCATAGGTTTGGAGATCTCAAATCATAGAGGAACAAGATGGCATCACTATTCTTTGCTATAGTCAAGATATGATTGGAAATGCCATTCAATCATGAGCAGATAGT
Organism: Homo sapiens; assembly: GCF_000001405.40. Taxonomy (NCBI): domain Eukaryota; kingdom Metazoa; phylum Chordata; class Mammalia; order Primates; family Hominidae; genus Homo; species Homo sapiens. The sequence continues at coordinate 38,071,143 of NC_000008.11, forward strand.
CCTCCTGTTGACAAGATATCCTATTTACCACCTCCAACCAAAACCTTCAGCCACGCCTCTTCTCCCTCCTTAAGAATTCAGTTCTTCCTTCCTTACATTGAACCTGTCAGCTTCTTTCAGGTTCCTGCAGGGCTGAGGATGGGCCACCACAAGCAGGAGGACATTGTCAGCCCAAGGGAGTGCTGTTGATCCTGACCTGTCAGACAGCTGGCCAGCCATGCACAGGGCTCACACAGGCTAATATGTGAACAAATACAGCTGCTTCAGCGGCCAGATGGGTATTGGGATTCAGTGGGTGGATGACAAAGGGCCCTGGCTCTTGGGCCTGAATCAAGAAAACTTAAATCCTTGAGTCAGTAACTGCATTGTTGTAACCGAGCGAGTTATAGAGAAACGCCACACTCTGAGACGAATTCAGGAGTCCTTTATTAGCCGGTGACTGAGAGACGGCTAGTGCTCAAAATTCTCTCAGCCCCGAAGAAGGGGCTAGATTTTCTTTTATACTTTGGTTTAGAAAGGGGAGGGGGAGCCTAGCTGAAGCAATCTTACAGAAGTAAAACAGGCAAAAAAGTTAAAAAGACAAATGGTTACGGGAAAACAAACAGTTCCAGGTGCAGGGGCTTTAAATCCATCACAAGGTGATAGATGTGGAGGCTTTGGGTACTATCAACCAGACACAAATGCGGGGGGCTTAGAGTACTATCAACCGGGCAAATTCCTGGGAACTGCGGGTATAGCTTGCCACGGTATCTTATCAGTTAATTGCATTCTTGGATGTGCTGGGAGTCAGCTTGCACAAGTTAAGTCATTGAGGAAGGGGGTGGGTAAGAGGCTGCAAGGGGCTGCAAGTGAAGGAGCCAAAATGGAGTTTGTCTGGCTCTCTCAGCTAAGGGAGAGTAAATTCAGGTTAAAACAAGGTAGGGTATCACAGTATTAAAGTTTTTGGTTCAATCGGAACCTTCCTTTTGTCAAGGAAGAGAGAAAGGAGGTCATGACATTGTCTCTTCTCAGGAGTCCATCTTGGCCAGGCGCGGTGGCTCACGCCTGTAATCCCAGCACTTCGGAGGCCAAGGCAGGTAGATTGCTTGAGATCAGGAGTTCAAGACCAGCCTGGCCAACATGGTGAAACCCTATCTCTACTAAAAATACAAACATAGCTGGGCGTGGTGGTGCACACCTGTAATCCCAGCCTCTAGAGGCTGAGGCACAAAAATCACTTGAACCCAGGAGGCGGAGATTGCTGTGAGCTGAGATGGCGCCACTGCACTCCAGCTTGGGTAACAGAGCGAGACTTTGTGTCAAACAAACAAACAAAAAAAGAGTCCATCTCGTCCCCTCCATGAGGCAGGCAAGCCCACTCTTAGATTTCCCCTACTTCAGGTCTCTCATGACTGCTGTCCTCTTGACCTCTCCCAGATATTTGGGTTTCTTGTACTACACAGCTTCATTCATACTCTAAGTGCCAGCACCATGATTCATCGCCTGCAGGTTCCAGCAGAAAAACCCACCTACCACATCCTGGTCAGAACTTGAGGTGACTGGGGTAAGGGAAAAAGTTCATCTCAGGCCAGGCGCGGTGGCTCATGCCTGTAATCTCAGCACTTTGGGAGGCTGAGGTGGGTGGATCACGAGGTCAAGAGATCGAGACCATCCTGGCCAACATGGTGAAACCTTGTCTCTACTAAAACTACAAAAATTAGCCGGGCATGGTGGCGCGCACCTGTAGTCCCAGCTACTTGGGAGGCTGAAGTAGGAGAATCACTTAAACCCGGGAGGTGGAGGTTGCAGTGAGCCTAGATCATGCCACTGCACTCCACCCTGGACAACAAGAGCGAAACTCCGTCTCAAGAAAGAAGAAAAAAAAGTTCATCTCACCCTTTCCCTGCCCCACTTTCTGGCCTCCAGCATTCTGCAGGGACTCTCACAAGAGACATTCGCTATGGCCTAACCCATGGTGAGTCTTCCTCATAGCTCCCAGAGGAACTTCCATCTTCTCAGTTGCACATGCACCCCCTCGGCACTTAAAATGACCCTGAGCTTCCAGCACTTGTTCCTCTTCCAGCTCATCCTCCCGCTCTGTCATCTCACTACATCAGCTGTTCTCAAACCTTCATGTGCATCAGAATCACATGGAGGGCTGACTAGAACACAGATTGTGAGGCCTGACCCCCAGAGATTCTAATTCAGTAGGTCTGGCATGAAGCCTGAGAATTTGCATTTCTGATCAGTTCCCAGGTGGTGCTAATGTGGTTTAGTCTAGGATCATGCTTGGACAACTGCCCAGCTGCATAATTTCAGGATGTTAGCTCTCCTAGTCCAGTGATTGCACCAAGCCTACATTCACAAGGAGTGGAGAACCAGCCATTCAGTGCTCCTGTGTCCCTGGGTAAACAGGCAGCTTGTTTCCAAACTCCTCAGGCTCCAGAGGAGCATGTTAACGGAAAAACCAAACTCTGTAAAAAAAAATATATATATATATATACACACACACATATATAAATATATATATATGTGTATATATACACATATAAAATATATAAATATATAGTATATATAAATATAAAATATATAAATAGATATAGTATATATAAATATAAAATATATAGATATAGTATATGTATAAATATAAAATATATAAATAGATATAGTATATATAAATATAAAATATATAAATAGATATATATAAATATAAAATATATAGCTATACTATATATATTTAAATATAAAATATACAAATATACTATATATTAAATATAAAATATATAGTATATATACTATATATTTAAATATAAAATATATAGTATACATACTATATATTTAAATATAAAATATATAGTATACATACTATATTTTTAAATATAAAATATATAGTATACATACTATATTTTAAATATAAAATATATAGTATACATACTATATTTTAAATATAAAATATATAGTATACATACTATATTTTAAATATAAAATATATAGTATATATACTATATATTAAATATAAAATATATAGTATATATACTATATATTTAAACATAAAATATATAGTATATATACTATATATTTAAACATAAAATATATAGTATATATACTATATATTAAATATAAAATATATAGTATATATACTATATATTTAAATATAAAATATATAGTATATATAGCATATATATTTAAATATAAAATATATAAATATACATACTATATATTTAAATATAAAATATATAAATATATATTTAAACATAATATTTAATTGTTTATATTAATTAATGTATTAATATAATTAATATATTAATTATATTAACTAATATATTAATTATTTATAATTATATAAAATATTTCATATATATTATATATTTATATTTAAATTTATATTATATTATATTATATTATAATATATTTATATATATTATATATAATTATATATTTAAATATATATACTATATATTTATATATTATATATATTATATATAATATATAAATATATAGTATATATATTTAAATATATATACTATATATTTATATATAGTATATATAAATATAGAGTACATATACGATATATTTATATATAGTATATATAAATATACAGTATATGTACTCTATATTTATATAGTATGTATATATTTATATATAGTAATATATACTATATATTTATATAGAGTATATATACTATACTATATATAGTATACTATATAGTATATATATAGTATATATAGTAGATAAATATATATAGTATATATATACTATATATATATTTATCTACTATATATAGTATATATATACTATATATACTATATATATACTATATATACTATATATATACCTATATACTATATATACTATATATACTATATATACTATATATATACTATATATATATAGTAGATATATATAGTATATATAGTATATATAGTATATATAGTATATATAGTATATAAATATATAGTGTATATATACTATATATTTAAATATATATTTAATGTATTTAAATATACTATATTTATATATATTTAATGTATTTAAATATACTATATTTATATATATTTAATGTATTTAAATATACTATATTTATATATATTTAATGTATTTAAATATACTATATTTATATATATTTAATGTATTTAAATATACTGTATTTATATATATTTAATGTATTTAAATATACTGTATTTATATATATTTATATATAATATATAAATATATAGTATAAATATTTAAATATATATTTAATGTATTTAAATATATATTTAATATATATTTTTTAAAAATATAGCCCGGGCGCGGTGGCTCACGCCTGTAATCCCAGCACTTTGGGAGGCCGAGGTGGGTGGATCACGAGGTCAGGAGATCAAGACCATCCTGGCTAACACGGTGAAACCCCGTCTCTACAAAAAATACAAAAAATTAGTCGGGCGTTGTGGCGGGCGCCTGTAGTCCCAGTTACTCGGGAGGCTGAGGCAGGAGAATGACGTGAACCAGGGAGGCGGAGCTTGCAGTGAGCTGAGATCGCACCACTGCACTCCAGCCTGGGCGACAGAGCAAGACTCTGTCTCAAAAAAAAAAAAAAAAAAAAAAAAAAATATATATATATATATATATATATATATATATATATATATTTAAATTAATATATATTTAAATATATATTTAAATTATATTATTATAAATAATATATATTAATTTAAATATATATTTAAATATATATTTAAATTATAATATATACTAAATTATTATATATTTAAATTATAATATATATTTAAATATAAATAATTTAATATATATTTAAATATAAATAATTAAATATATATTTAAATTATAATATATATATTTTTTAATGGAGTCTTGCTCTGTCACCCAGGCTGGAGTACAGTGGTGCGATCTTGGCTCACTGCAACCTCCGCCTCCCAAGTTCAAGCGATTCTCTTGCCTCAGCCTCCCAAATAGCTGGGATTACAGGCTCCCGCCACCATGCCCAGCTAAATTTTGTATTTTTAGTAGAGACAGGGTTTCACTATGTTGGCCAGGCTAGTCTCGAACTCCTGACCTCAGTCTATCCACCCGCCTCGGCCTCCCAAAGTGCTAGGATTACAAGTGTGAGCCACTGAGCCCAGCTGTAAAATATTTTAAAGAGGCTGATTCTGAGCCAATAGGAGTGACCATAGCCCTGGGGAAAACACAGACCGAAGGAGCCTTGATGAGCCTTTGGTTTCATACATTGTAGGGAGGCAGGAGTTATAGGCAAAGACGTATATCAATGCATGAAAGGTACACATTGGTTCAGCCCTAAAAGGCAGGATGTCTTGAAGTGGGGACTTATAGGTATAAGTAGATTCAGTGATTCTTGAATTTGCAGTTGGTTAAAGGAGTAAGGCTCTGTCGAAAACTTGGAATCAGCAGAAAGGAATGTTTAAGATAAGGATGCTATGTAGCAAGATTGCTGGCCTGCAGGCTAGACTTTACTCCTGCTTGGGATAGCCTTGGGTCTTATTTATAATGTGGTATCTTATTGCAACAAAGAATCTGTTTGTCAGTCAGCTTGCTAGGGAATGTTTGTCCGTCTTATGATCTCTATTTAATATGCTGGTCAGTTGTGCCTAAACTCCAAAAGGGAGGGGGCATAACAAGGCGTGTTCGACCTCCCTTCCTGTCATGGCTGGGAGTTCAGTTTTCTTTTCTATTCTTTATTTTATTTATTATTATTATTATTATTATTATTATTTTGAGATGGAGTCTTGCTCTGTTGCCCAGGCTGGAGTGCAATGGCAAGATCTCGGCTCACTGCAACCTCTGCCTCCCAGGTTCAAGTGATTCTCGTGCCTCAGCCTCCCAAGTAGCTGGGATTACAGGCACACACCACCATGTGGAGCTAAATTTTGTATTTTTAGTAGAGACAAGGTTTCGCCATGTTGGCCAGGGTGGTCTCGAACTCCTGACTTCAGGTGATCCACCCACCTCAGCCTCCCAAAATGCTGGCCAGGGAGTTCAGTTTTTTTATTTTATTTTATTTTATTTATTTTATTTTATTATTTTATTTTATTTTATTTTATTTTATTTCTTTGAGATGGAGTTTCACTCGTTGCCCAGGCTGGAGTGCAGTGGCACAATCTCGGCTCACCACAACCTCCGCCTCCCTAGTTCAAGCAATTCTCCTGCTTCAGCCTCCCGAGTAGCTGGGATTACAGGTGCCCGCCACCACACCCAGCTAATTTTGTATTTTTATTAGAGACAGGGTTTCTCCATGTTGGTCAGGCTGGTCTTGAGGGAGTTCAGTTTTTAATGTTCATCTAGGCTCCCCTTGGCCAAGAAGGGTATTGACCATTCAGTCAGTGGGGGTGGGGGTGGGGTAGAATGTAGAATTTTATTTTATTTATTATTTTTTTTTTTTTTTGAGACAGAGTTTCACTCTTGTTGCCTAGGCTGGAGTGCAGTGGCACAATCTCGGCTCACCGCAATCTCCGCCTCCCAGGTTCAAGCGATTCTCCTGCCTCAGCCTCCCGAATAGCTGAGATTACAGATGCACACCACCACGACCGGCTAATTTTGTATTTTTAGTAGAGACAGGGTTTCTCCATGTTGGTCAGGCTGGTCTGAACTCCTGGCCTCAGGTGATCTGTCTGCCTTGGCCTCCCAAAGTGCTGGAATTACAGGCGTGAGCCACTGTGCCCGGCCCAGAATTTTATGTTTATTTTACAAGCTCCTTGCTGAACCCATCTGGGCTGCTTCCCCAGTGGGGTTGGTGGCATCTTTGGCACTAAAATGTGACAAGCCTCAGGCTGGGCACGGTGGCTGACACCTGTAATCCTAGCATTTTGGAAGGCCAAGGTGAGCAAATTGCCTGAGCTCAGGAGTTTGACACCAGCCTGGGCAACATGATGAAACCCCATCTCTGCTAAAATAAAAAAAATTAGCTGGGCTTGTTGGCGCGTGCCTGTAGTCCCAGCTACTCAGGAGGCTGAGGCATGAGAATTGCTTGAATCTGGGAGGTGGAGGTTGCAATGAGCCTAGATCATGCCACTGCACTCCAGCCTGGGTGACAGAGCGAGACTCTGTCTGAAAAATAAATAAATAAATAAAAATAAAGGAACAAGCCTCATTCACAGGAGAGAATGCAGTTTCATTTATTCAACAAATATTTACTGAGTGCCTTATATGTGCCAGGCATGGTTCTAGGTGCCTACGATACATCAGTAAACAAAACAGACACAAATCTCTACCCACAGCCAGGCGCGGTGACTCACGCCTGTAGTCCCAGCACTTTGTGAGGCTGAGGAGGGTGGATCACCTGAGGTCAGTAGTTCAAGACCAGCCTGAACAACACTGTGAAACCCCATCTTTACTACAAATACAAAAATTAGCTGGGCATGGCAGCGTGTGCCTGTAATCCCAGCTACTCAGGAGGCTGAGGCAGGAGAATGGCTTGAACCCAGGAGGCAGAGGTTGCATGCAATGAGTTGAGATAAGCCACCGCACCCTGGCCTGGGTGACAGAGCGAGGCTCTGTCTAAAAATAAATAAATAAATAAAAGCCAGGCCTGGTGGTGCACGCCTGTAGTCCCAGCTACTCCAGAGGCTGAGGCAGAAGAATTGCTTGAACCCTGGAGACGGAGGTTTCAGTGAGCCAAGATCGCGCCGCTGCACTCCAACCTGGCTGACAGAGTGAGACTCCATCTCAAAATATATATACCCACCTTTTATGGAGCTCACCTTTTCCTAATAATAATAAGAAGAAAACTCTTTTTACTGTGTTTGATGGGACTCAGATATCTGGTTACTGGAAGTAGAAGTAACCAGGAATGCTTAGTTGGCTCAGTGTATAAACACTAGAAATGAAGGCCCAGAAGCTTCAGCAGAGACTGAATGACTGCTCCATTGAGATGAACTACCGCATAATTATCTTCATCATGACTTTAACAAACACAGAAAGCTTTGTTTTGCTTAATTGATGATAACAACATGGGGGCATCGTAGTGGGGGAGAGAGTGAGTCCTTGGAGTCGAGTCCAGGGCATCTGACCCACTGTTCTTTGTTAGGAGAGAGCCTAGAGGCCTTCAACAAAGGCTGTGTTGGAGGAAAAACTGAAGCTAAATTAATATTTAAATGGAATAAACTGAAGCTAAATTAATATAAGTAGAGAGTTTATTTGCACCAAGCTTGAGGATTGTAACATGGGAGCACAGATTTAAGTTTCCTGAATATACATTCCAATTAGCAGCAGTTACAAGTGGATTTATTTATTTATTTATTTATTTATTTTTTGAGAGGGAGTTTCGCTCTTGTTACCCAGGCTGGAGTGCAATGGCGTGATCTCAGTTCACCACAACCTCCACCTCCCAGGTTCAAGCAATTCTCCTGCCTCAGCCTCCTGAGTAGCTGGGACTACAGACACGCACCACCATGCCTGGCTAATTTTGTATTTTTAGTAGAGACAGGATTTCTCCATGTTGGTCAGGCTGGTCTCGAACTCCCAACCTCAGGTGATCTGCCTGTCTCAGCCTCCCAAAGTGCTAGGATTACAAGCGTGAGCCACCATGCCCAGCCACAAGTGGACTTTTTTTTGTTTTTTGAAACAGAGTTTTGCTCTTGTCGCCCAGGCTAGAGTGCAATGGCTCAATCTCGGCTCACTGCAACCTCTTTCTCCTGGGTTCAAGCGATTCTCCTGCCTCAACCTCCCGAGTAGCTGAGATTACAGGTGCCCACCACAACACCTGGCTAATTTTTGAATTTTTGGTAAAGATGGGGTTTCACCATGTTGGCCAGGCTGGTCTTGAACTCCTGACCTCAGGTGATCCACCCACCTCAGCCTCCCAAAGTGCTGGGATTACAGGTGTGAGCCACCGTGCTGGTCCACAAGTGGATTTTTAAAGGGAAAGAAGAGGCAGTTCCTGAGTTGTTTACCAAGAATTTCCATCAAAATAACATAAGCTGCTGATTGGCTATATACATTGTTAAGCTATAGGGTGTGGGTTATAGTGGCTGTTGCAGCACTGTTAGGTTAATTTATGGCTACTTTTAGCAATAGCAAGCAATTTCAAGAGATGAACACATAGCTCAAAATGGGGTGGGGGAAAGTAGGACGTGATTGCTATTTCATTTTAATGCCTCTTTGGGCCTGATAATTTAAAAGGACTCCCATGCATCAGATAAAACTTATTTTCTTACCTGGTACGGGGATGGGACATAACTTGTTTTCATACAAGTTCTCTCCCTTGGGTATTGAAGGCCCTGTGGTCAGTACAGGCTGGGAGCAGTGGCTCACGACTGTAATCCAAGCACTTCGGCAGGCCAAGGCAGGAGGATCGCTTGAGTCCATGAGTTCAAGACCAACCTGGGCAACATAGTAAATCCTGTCTCTACAAAAATTTTAAAATTAGCCAAGTGCGATGGCACACACCTGTAGTCCCAGCTACTTAGGAGGCTGAGTGGCGTGAACACATCTCACTGCAACCTTGACCTCCTGGGCTCAAACAATCCTCCTGCCTTGGCCTCCTGAATAACTAAGGCTACAGGCATGCACCATCACACTCGGCTAATTTTTTTTCTTTTTTTTTTGAGACAGAGTCTCACTCTGTCACCAAGGCTGGAGTGCAGTGGTGTGATCTCAGCTCACTGCAACCTCCACCTCCCGGGTTCAAGCAATTCCCCTGCCTCAGCCTCCTGAGTAGCTGGGATTACAGGCGCCCGCCACCATGACCGGCTAATTTTTGTATTTTTAGCAGAGACGGGGTTTCACCATGTTGTCTAGGCTGGTCTTGAACTCCTGACCTCAAGTGATCCACCTGCCTTGGCCTCCCAAAGTGCTGGGATTACAGGCGTGAACCATCACGCCCAGTCCAGCTAATTTTTTAAATTTTTTGTAGAGTCGGGGTCTCACTATGTTGCCCAGGCTGGTCTCCAACCCATGGGCCCAAGTGATCCTCCTAACTTGGCCTCCCAAAGTGCTGAGAGACAAAGCAGGGACCGCACCCTCCCTCTCCACTCCCCCACCTACTTGTTAGAGGCCTGCCAAGTCCCTCCCAAGCGTGGAAATAAAGGAAAATCTTGAGTTCCCTCAAAGAAAATTCCAAGCACCTAGCTAGCCTTGATAAATAAACGAGCAACGTGATAAGCAAGAATGTAATAGTAGCCTAAAACAACAGCAAAGGAAGCTAGAGCCAGGAAATGTTTGGTTCCCTATGTAAACTGAAGATAACATCTTAGCGCGTGTCCCTGAACTGTTTTTCAGAGACTGGACCCCCACCCAATGGATCTGCTGGCACACAGACCTCAGATAAGGAGAAACTGAGGACTGAACTCTGACAGCTGTCCTTTATTCTAAAGTTCTTCCTGAGGGGCCTAGAGCAAGTCACAGTCACAACATTGAGCTAACATTCTTTTCTTCTGACCCCAAATTTTTCTCCCTTAAACAATTGCAAATCAGAAAATCTTTGAATTTACCTGTTGCTTGTAACACCCCTACATTCCCCCGAACCCTCCTCGCCTTCAAGATACCCGACTCTTTTAAGCCAAAACCAATGTGTAAGCTTCATGTACTGACTTATGACTTTGCCTGTAACTTCTGCTTTCCCGAATTTTACCCCTGCCTTTAAGAACCCTTACCTGCAAGCTACTGGGGAAGTCAGGATTTGAGAGCGAGCTACCTGGTCCTTCCTGCTTGGTGCACTGCAAATAAATGTCTTCCTTTCTGCTGTTGCGGGACAATCAGAGACGGGAAAGACGAACAGAGTTCAGGAAAGCCTTTATTAAGGTGATCACCTGGCTCAGTAGGACTAGCATCCAGGAAAGTCTGAGCCTCGGCAAAGAAAGCAGCCACCTTTTAAGCAGTCAGTGGCTGAGAGCTACCTGGTGCAGGAAGCGTACTTACAGAAGTGAGAACAAAGGCAGTTGATCAGTCTTTTACATTTATGTATACTACATGTTCTACATCCTTGGGAAACTCTGTTTCTGTAACATACGCTTATCAACCTTGTAACTTTGCAGCTGCGCTAGGGAGGTGAAGCAGGAACTCGCTGAGCCTCAAGGAATGTGAAACTGGTGAGTACAGATAAGGCTTGCTGAGCACAGAAGGAAAAACAGGCAGTTAGTATTGTTCTCTAACTTAGACTACGTGGGGTGCAGGTTCTAAACTACATTTAGCTTTTGAAGGAAAAAGTAAAAATTTCTTGGTGGTCTTTGATTGTACTTGTAAAATTCATGAATTCCTTCTTCATCCCCCCCCCTTTGGTGCTCGCCATAAATGTAGATTGATAAAGAGCACCACAGTCGTTTATCTCTTCCTGTGTAGGCACGTATTCTTCCTGGGGGACTGGTTGGTATTTTTGTAATGCCATTATTTTGGTGGTAGTTGTTCCGTCCACTATTGCTTTAATAGTAGACTGGATGCTTCTGATGAGGAGAGGTAAAAGACAAGGCAGTATTAGACATCCTCCTACTATAGCTATAAAAACAATTATCAAGGTTTTAAAGCCTTCCAAGCATGAGAACCATCCTCCAAAAAGTGAGTTTGGGCTCCACCAGGACCAAGTCTGGACTGGGACATGGGCTAACTTCCTCATTCTAGCAGTAATTTCCATAACAGCTCTTCTGTTATTATCGATTTGTAAGCAACAGTTGGTCAAATTAAGCTTGCCACAAACTCCTCCTTCTGAGGCTAGGAGGTAGTCTAATGCTAGCCTATTTTGGTATATAGCATCTCTCATTTGAGTGGCCTGTAAAGCTAACAGATCCAAGGCTTGGGGTGTTTCATTGACTATGACTTCTGTACTGCTTGCAATCTTATAATTCGGTTTAACATGTAAATAGGGGTGCGGTAGCCCCATGATCCATCTTGAGCCCATGTAGCTGGCCCATAGTATTTGATAATTTTTTCAGGAGGCCACTCATTATCCTTCCAGCTTCCTATCTCAATGTCCTTCTTTATGTTTGTGTTTATCTTTTCTACAGTACTTATCTGAATAAAGACGTTTCTTCTGGTCCTTTTCCCTTCTTCATTATAGACCAGGTAACTTAAATCTTCCCCTTGTTTCAGTGGGAGCAAGAAGAAGGACGGCCTTATTGTCTTTAACACACAGGCTCCAGTCCACTTCTCAGGCAATAGTTGATAGGCTTTTGTCCCACAGGTCCAATATAGTTCTGCCGGTGCTTTCTAAACATTTGGAGCATCTAGTTGATACCATGACTGATTTAGTGCTGGAAACTGAAAGAGAGGGTTAAAATCTGGTACAGAGGAATTGTCTATAAAGCTTCTCCACTGTGTCTTGTTCTTAGACTATTCAAAATATTGCTGACCTAAACAAGTTTTATCTCCTACTTGAGTTTGAAAGTCTTTTCCCCATGGTGCTATGCAGTATCTTCTAATGATAGGGGTTTTTAAGAGCCAGACGCTTGGGTTTGCATTGAACCTTGTAACAAATTCCAGTATGGTAAAGTTATCTTATGGCATTAGTTTTCTAGCCTCCCAGAGCCATTGGTCACCTATACTGGTACCTCCACATACATAACATGAGGTGACTCTGAGATTAGTAGCAATACTTTCAGCTAGCTGAGTGAGTAGGTTCTCAGCTGACATTGGTGGAATCTGAACTTTTGGCTCCCTGGGGTTAAAATGTTTACTGAAGGATTTGAAAAATCTGAACTGTGACATTGGACTGACTTGAGCTTCAGCTCGCTGAGTCTTTTTAATAATGATTAATTGAATACCTAGATTTACTTCTTCTCGAGCAAAGATTGCTCTCCTTGGTGTCCTTTAGTCCAAAAAGGCATGTTTGGCCTTAATATGGTCAGATTTAGGGGGTTGCATGTTTTAGTTGCACAACCAATCTTTGCTTCTTGGCTGGTTAGCAGAGCTACTCTCCCTGCATAAAGGCATTGGCTGAACTGATTTGTGGTCCATTGAATGTTACCATCAGGACATTCTTCTTCTAGTTCTCCTGTTATGATCTTAGCAGGCTTGCTACTGACTCTTTCTTGTCCTAAGTTCTTGCAGACTACTCCTAGATTGTTTAGGTTGCTGAGGTGTGCAGCCTGACAGGCATCAAAATATATAGAAATAGATCCTTTATGTGAATAAGAGAATACCTGCATTTTGCTTACGAGTTTCCCAGTTCTAACGTCTTTAGGATTGGCATATGAAGGTAATAAAGGTTTCCCTATTTTGAATTTAAAACCAGAAGTCATAGGGAAGGAGGCCTGGATTATAACATACTTGAGGTTGCCTATTTCCGTGTCACAGACGGAGTAGCTGGTTTGATTATAAACACATGTCCCCAAGGGAGTTCCTTTACAAACTTATTACACTCATAATAAGTTTGATATAACAGGGTTTTAGTTATACCTTTACCAGACCAAGCTTCTATCATACAATGATGACAATTATCTTGGTTTCCTCCCATGCCTGTTAACATTATTGTCATTAGTCTGATCAAGTTTATACTATGCACGGGCATCCTCCTGGGCAACAAGTTTGGTAGCAGTTGCAAAGATAGCATGACAGCAAGGCAATCAGTATAAGCAATAGTGTAACTACATTTGCAAATTCAGTCCACATTTACTCATCTAGTGCTGGCTTCCTCAGGCTTCGGCCGTGCATAGACTAGTCAGCTTCTGGTTGTGTGACTAGAGCAGGGCTTGATGTTTCCTTAAGCTTCAGCCTTGCGTAGACTAGTCAGCTTCCAGTTGTGTGACTAGAGCAGAGCTTGATGCTTCCTTAAGCTACAGCCGTGCGTTGACCGACCAGCCTCTGGTGTGGTCGTAGCAGGGCAGTTGTCTTTTCCTGCTGCGCCTTGGTTCCTCTGCAAGATCAGTCGAGTTGGATGATCTGGATCTTGCTGACTCGTCCATTGGTCTTGAACTGAGGCTGCAGGTTTTAGTTGACTGTGGTGGTGTAATACCTGCAACTTTAACAGCAGTAGGGGTAGACATGATCACAATATGGGGGCCATCCCATAAGGGCCCGAGGGTGGTAGGATTCCAGCATTTAACCCATACAGAGTCCCCACGTTGAAAAAGATGTATTGCATCTGTAAGGCTAACAGGTATTCTTTCTCTTACCCACCTTTGTACTTCTTGCATTACCTCACCTAATGCCTGCATTTATCTTCTTAGGGTCGGTTCTCCAATTTCCTTTCAATCTCCTTTTAACTGAGATATAAGTGGGGGTGGTGGGCCATACACTATCTCATAGGGTGGATACCTGGTTAATTTGTAGGGGTACACCTGACTCGGAGAAGGACCATGGGCAATACCTGGTCCCACCTTAAATGAGTCTCTTGGCAAAACTTCTTCAACAGTTGTTTCAGTCCAGTTCATCCTTTCAACGTTTCAAGAATTTTGTGGGCGATAGGCTGCATGCAGTTTCCATTTAATTTTTAACGTCTGAGTTAGTTGCTGTACTACTGCTGCCACAAAAGCTGGTCCATTGTCTGAGCCTAAGGTTAGAGGCGGTCCAAATCTAGGAATAATGTCTTTTAATAATATCCTGCTTACTTCTCATGCCTTTTCTGTCCTGGTGGGGAATGATTCGACACACCCTGAAAAGGTGCAGACAAACACTAACGTGTAACGATAGCCCCCAGCCTGAGACAGTTCGGTAAAGTCTACAAATAGGTTTACACATGGCACTGGCCCTGTTTCCTGAATTCCTGGGGGCCAAGTAGGTCCTTGCCTTGGGTTATTCTGGGCACAAGTAACACACTGCTCGCAGACAGCTCGAGTGATGGCAGTTAGGCGTGGCACATAGAAATACTGCCCTACGAGAATCTCTAAAGCTGTCTTCCCCATGTGTGTTCCTTGGTGAAACTGCTTTATAAATCAGGGGGCAGTGGCTTCTGGAATGGCAAGCGTCCCATCTGAAAACTTCCACCAGCCTCCTTTCTGATAACTCCCGTTTTCCTGCATGAACCACGCCTTCTTGTTGGACAAGTAGTTAGGAGCATCTGCAAGGCGAAGCTCTAATAAGGGCATGGCATAAGTCTCTTCTTTATTTGTTGTTTTTCTGTCATTGCAGCCTTTTTTGCTTCCTTGTCTGCTTTTCTGTTTCCTGTAGCCTTATCACTTCCTCCTGTTTGATGTCCTTTACAGTGGATGACTGCTACTTCCTTTGGAGTCCATATAGCCTCTAGGAGCTGCTGTATTTTCTTTTTGTTCTTTATTTCTTTTCCTTCAGTAGTTAACAGTCCTCTTTCTTTGTAAATAGCGCCATGAGCATGCAAGGTTGCAAAAGCATATCTTGAGTCAGTATAGATATTCACTGACCTTCCCTTCGCTAGAAATATTGCTTTTAGTGAGAGCTATTGGTTCTGCCTTCTGCGTTGAGGTTCCTACCGGTAGGGGGTGGGCTTCAGCTACTGAGCTTAATGTGACTATGGCACATCTGGCCTTTCTGATACCCTCAGATATGAAGCTGCTTCCATTAGTAAAATATTCAACATCTGGGTCATTTAAGGGTTGATCCTTTAAGTCTTCCTGGCTTGAAAAGACTTCATCCACTGTTTCTACACAGCAGTGGTACCCTGGGGCACATAACAGGAGCTTTCCATGTTCTGCACATTCTATTCGTAACAGTGTGGATGGATTTAGGGTATTCACAGTCTCTAAGGTGATATGGATTCTCACATAGGAGTCCTTGGTATCTTAGCATCCTAGGGTTAGAGAGTCAACGATGTCCTCTCTGTTCCATCAAGGTGACAACTGTGTGGGGCACACGAATTATCAACTTCTGTCCAAATGTGAGCTTGTTAGCATCTTCGGCTAACAAGGCAGTGGCAGCCAGGGCCTTGAAACAGGGTGGCCATCCCATAGCCACCAAGTCCAGTTGCTTGGACAAATACGCTACAGGCCAATACCATGACTCTAGTGTTTGCACTAAGACTCCTGTAGCCATACCTTTTCTTTCATGAACATACAAGTAAAAGGGCTTTGTCATGTCTGGCAGTCCTAGTGCTGGGGCCCAGGTTAAAGCTTTCTTGATTTCCTTGAAAGCCATGTCCTGTTCTTTTCCCCAAAGGAGGGGCTCTTTTTCTCCCACTTTGGTTGCCTCATATAAAGGCTTTGCTAGGAGCGAGTAGTTAGGAATCCATATGTGGCAAAAAGCAGCTGCCCCTAGGAATTCCCACACTTGCCACCTTGTGTCTGGCTGAGGAATGCTACAGACAATCTCTTTTCACTCCTGTCCAAGCTCACACTGCCCTTGGGAGACATAAAAGCCAAGATACCAAACTCCTTGGCCACAGATCTGTGCCTTTTCCTTAGATACTTTATAGCCAGCTTCCCACGGCACTCTAAGGAGACTCTGTTCCTTGGATACATTCCTTTGTTGTGGGTGCAGCTTACAGCAGATCATCTGTATATTGCAGTAAGACACAGCGATTGCTTGGTGGTGTGAAAGCCTTTAAGTCTGAGGCTAGTGCTTCTTCAAAGATAGTTGGGACCCCGTCTCTACTAAAATTACAAAAAATTAGCCGGGCGTGGTGGCAGGTGCCTGTGATCCCAGCTACTCGGGAGGCTGAGGCAGGAGAATGGCATGAACCCAGGAGGCAGAGCTTGCAGTGAGCCGAGATGCGCCACTGCACTCCAGCCTGGGCGACAGAGCGAGACTCCGTCTCAAAACAAAACAAAACAAAACAAAGAAACAAAAAAAAAGATAGTTGGGGAGTTTTTAAATCCTTGGGGAAGTCTAGACCTTGGGAAAGTCTAGACCAGGTATACTGAGATGGGCCTCACTCAAAGGCAAAAATGTCTCGGCTTACAGGGGCTAACAGGATGCAGAAGAATGCATCTTTAATGTCCAAGCATGTGAACCAAGCAGCACTAGCAGGTATTTGTCCAAGCACAGTGTACGGGTTAGGCACAATAGCATGCAGTATAGCAGCTACCTGGTTGACTGCCCTTAAATCTTGTACAGGCTGGTAGTCACCAGAAGGTTTTAACACTGGCAATAGGGGAGTATTCCATGGGGAGACACATATGTCTCTTATTCCAAATTCAAGGAGCCATTTTAAGTGCTTTGCAATCCCTTGGTTAGCCTCTATGGGAATGGAATACTGATGCATCCGCACCGGGCAGGTTCCTCATAGTAGCTCTACTATGACAGGTGCTTGATTTACAGGGGGATTGTCCTCCGCCCAGACTCCTGGTAACTTAAGGAGTAAGTCTGTGAACAGTTTTTCTTTCTCAGCTATGCTGTACTCCTTTCCACACTCCCGGCAACTACATTCATAAAGTCTCCACTCCTCTGCATTGGGTACTGTAAGAGTCAGTACCATAGCCTTTTTTTGCCCTAGGCTCAAGGTCATATCTCTGCTTGGTGTGAAGGAGATTTGAGCCTGCATCTTCTGCAGCAAATCTCTCCTCAACAAGGGCCCCAGGCAGTTCGGCAAGTATAAGAACTTGTGTTGGACTTCTTGGTCTCCAATCATACATCTCTTTGATTTGAAAAATAATGTTTTTTCTGTGATACCTGTGGCCCCAATAATATTAGCAGTCTTTTGATAACGACCCAATTGTTTGAGTCACAACCGAGTGTTCAGCACCTGTGTCTACCATAAAGTCTGTTTTTCAGCCCCCTACTACCATTGAGACCATGGGCTCCTCAGGGCCTAATGAGATGGAGCCCGGTCTGTCTCAGTCTTCAAGGTAGCCGTTGGCGCCTGCCAGCCCAATTAGATCCATGTCAGATCCTACTACACCTTGCCCAGCAGGGGAAGGAGGCCTTGTCCAGCCATTCTGTCCCTGGTTGTTGCCTTTATCCTTTTCTTTCTCTGGACATTCATCTTTCCAATGCCGTCTTTGCTTGCATCTCGCACATTGATCTCTCTCTAGTCTAGGCTGACCTTCCTGACCTGTCTTGGTCTCCTCACCTGGCCTAGCTTGTCCTCTACCACAACTGCATCTATGGCCACATCCACATCCTCTTGCAAATCCAGCCTCTCTTTCAACCAGGGCTGCAGCTAAGAACTCTGCCTTTTCCTTCACTCTATGCTTGGCCTCCTGCTTTACTTCTTCATCTCGATTTACAAACATGTTGCCACCTGGATAAGCTGGGAAATGTTCATACCTTCAAACCCCTCCAGCTTCTACAACTTTCGCTTAATGTCATTTTGTGCCTGACTCACAAATGCCGCATTAACCATGCACCGATTCCCTGCCGCTTCTGGGTCAAAAGGTGTGTAGTGCCGGTAAGCCTGTCTAAGCCTCCCATAGAACTCACTGGGGCTTTCATCTGGTTTCTGATAGACTTCTGAAACCTTTCCAGTGTTTGTTGCCTTCTTCCCTTCAGTCTTTATTCCTTGTATTAGAGCCTCTTGGTATCTCAGCAACTTCAGCAGATCTTGGGCCTGATTTGGGTCCCAGCCTGGGTCAGTTTCTATTGGCAAAGCCTGCCGAGCACACTGTCTGACATCTCCTGTACCTACTGGGGCATTTTTTTCTAGCCTCTGATGAGCCGCTTGTATTACTCTGCGGTGTTCTTCTGTATTGAACAGTGACAGAAGGAGCTGTTTGCAGTCAGCCCAGGTTGGGTTGTGAGTTAAGAAGATGGACTGCATTAGGTCGATAAGAGCCTGGGGTTTTTCCATATAGGAGAGAGTATGCTCTTCCAGTTGAAAATGTCTGTAGTAGAGAAGGGCTGATAAACATAAAGCCATTCTCCTCCTTGAACCTCATTTTGTGCATCTAAATAGATCTGTCGCCTAGTTTCTCTGACGGGCATCTGCATGTCTCGGCCGCGTCCTGACCGGAGATGGCCAACCTCATCCTGGATTTCCTCCTTTGATTTATCAGGCAGTGGCCCTGGCTCTTCCCTACATAGTGAAGTTTGGGGGGTACTCTTCTCTGAGTCTGACCCTCCGGAGACAGCTGCTGGAGTGTCTTCCTAAGTCTTGTCAGAGATAGGTAAATAGGAACATAAGGGGGTGGAGTCTCTAGCTCTTCTGGTGGGGCCTGTAGGACAGGTTTTTCCTGTTTTCCTTGCTACTGTTTCTCCTGGGACTGGTTTTTTGGGTCTTTTCTATGGTTCCTTGTTTTGTACAAGCCACTAGAGTCTTAAATAATTTTCAAAACAGGCCTGTAGCCATTTCGGATGGGTTTAAATCATGCTCAGCCAGGAGTCTGTGTATGGAAACTGATCAGGGTGCCCCGGCTGTTCTCCGATCCCAGTGACCACCTGAAACACTCAGCCAATTATTTCCCAATCTAAGGTTCCCTTGGCCAGCCACCCTACATTAAAGGAGAGCCAGTCAATTTCACAAAGGGTTCTTAGCCACTACGTTGTTAACTTCATTCCATAATCACCATAAAAGTCTTTCTTGAAGTTCTTCAATATACATTCTAATTGAGTTGGCTTCGATGCTTTTCCTCCCATTTCCTCCCTCACGGTGCACTTTCACTCTCACTTTCACTCTCGGATTCACCAGACTGGGTCCTATTACGGGAGGTTCGGACACTGCTTGGCCAGGTCACAGCCAACTACTGCTGTGAAGCTATGAAGCTAATCCTGTCAGCCTGACACAGTAACCTAGGTCTGGCTCATCCCACGCTTGCCTCGGAGCACACAGTCTGCGCTAAGAGATCTGCACCTCCCAGCTGGGCATGGTGGTTCATGCCTGTAATACCAGCACTTTGGGAGGCCGAGGCAGGCGGGTCACGAGGTCAGGAGATTGAGATCATCCTGGCTAACATGGTGAAACCCCGTCTCTACTAAAAATACAAAAACAAAATTAGCTGGGCGTGGTGGCGGGCGCCTGTAGTCCCAGCTACTTGGGAGGCTGAGGTGGAAGAATGGCATGAACCCAGGAGGTGGAGCTTGCAGTGAGCCAAGATCGCACCACTGCACTGCAGCCTGGGCAACACAGTGAGACTCCATCTCAAAAAAAAAAAAAAAAAAGAGATCTGCACCTCCCCATGTCACTCCCTGCATTGGCCTCTCCTGAGACCATCTCTTTCACACACTTTCACTCCTCATTGGATGAAACAAGCCTTTCTCATGTCCCAGGTAGGTTCACACGCACCCACCCACACACTCCCAGTTTCTGCTTCCAGATCCAGTGAACCACTTTCACTTGTTAGTGGGGACATGGGGTTCATCCAAATTGGCAGTCCACTCCTGCCACCCCCAGCCACTCTGGGTTGAATAAGTGGTTGTTCCCTGGGAGGTGATCAAGCTCCCCTTCTGTCCTTATGGGATGGGCTTTTCCAGGGCCCAACCTTACCATGGTTCAGTAGTCTGCCTGCACGCTGCTCCTGTGACTGTCCTGCAACTCCTAAGTCGGTTCTGTTTGCACTGTCAGGGAAAGGCTCCAAGACACAGGAGAGCTGTTCTCCTTCTGGGCTAAGTCTTACCCAGTGGTGCCAAGGGTCTCAAATCTCCTGCATCCTGGGGCTCTAGCCCACAGGCAAAGGATATAGAAATCTGCCATCTCCAATCCTGGACAAGCCCCCAGAAATGTTGTGGGACAATCAGAGACGGGAGAGACCAACCAGAGTTCAGGAAAGCCTTTATTAAGGTGATCACCTGGCTCAGTAGGACTAGCGTCCAGGAAAGTCTGAGCCTCGGACAAAGAAAGCAGCCACCTTTTAAGCAGTCAGTGGCTGAGAGCTATGTGATGCAGGAAGCGTACTTACAGAAGTGAGAACAAAGGCAGTTGATCAGTCTTTTACATTTATGTATACTACATGTTCTATATCCTTGGGAAACTCTTTCTGTAACATATGCTTATCAACCTTGTAACTTTGCAGCTGCGCTAGGGAGGTAAAGCAGGAACTTGCTGAGCCTCAAGGAATGTGAAACTGGTGAGTACAGATAAGGCTTGCTGAGCACAGAAGGAAAAACAGGCAGTTAGTATTCTTCTCTAACTTAGACTATGACTATGTGGGGTGGGGGGCTACAGTACACTTAGCTTTTGAAGGAAAAAGTAAAAATGTCTTGCTGGTCTTTGATTATGCTTTTAAAATTCATGAATTCCTTCTTCACTACTGCTGCAAAACCTTGGTGTGGATATCTACTTTTACTGCACCAGGCAATTGGACCCCATTCTGGTTCAATAACAGTTTCTTCATTTCAGGTTGACAGTAGCCTTCCACCAGCCCCATCTGGTTGGTGTTCAGTTATGGGCCCATATGGGGCTATGGGTCATTCCATTATGGTCACTGAAGCCCCAGCCCCTCAGGTCCAGCAACTCCCTTTGGTACTTCTGGGCCAAGTTTGAGGGCATGGAAGTGATTCTGCTTCAGCTGTGCCACACTGGGGCTTGGAAATCCCTGCAAGGCTAAGTTCGTATCCAGAGTTACTACTGAAGCAGTTACGTTGTCTCGGGTAAATACCCGGGGTTGGTCATCTCAGGCCAGGAAATTTAGGACATGGGCACACATGAGTTTAGGAGCAGAGGTTTAATAAGCAAAAGAAAGAGAAAGGAAAACAGCTCTCTCTCTAGTGAGAGAGAGGGGACTTCTGAGAGGAAAAAACCAGCCGGCAGCGGATGCACTAGATTTTATAGTCAGGTTTGAGGAGCTGATGTCTGATTTACGTAGTGCTCACAGATTGGTTTGATCAGGTATGATGTTTATAAAGTGTGGGGGAAGGCTGGCCGCCCCACCCTAATCTTGTTATGCAAATGAGCTTTCCCCTTGGCCAGCACCATCTTATCTGCTCCTTATTGTACACGTGACTGGCAGAAAAGGGAAAATGGAGCCGCCATCTTTAACATGATTGGCTCAACTGCCAGCACCTATGTCTTCAACTCGATTTTACAGGCTGCTGTTTGTTAGAAAGGAAAATAATTGGGGGCTGTTTTTCATTAAAAGAAAAACCTTACCAAGGACTTCCCTACCCTCACTATCTACCTATATCATTACAAAATTCTTGACTTGACTCCTATATCATTACAAAGTCATGGCCCTATATCATTGACTCCTATATCATTGTAAAGTCCTTGACTCCTACATCATTACAAAATCATGGCCCATTCCCTTCTCATCTCCCAAGTAGGCTTTTGTGTGGTGGTAAAAGCCTTATCTCAAATATTTCAGTTATGTTCAGAGTTCTTTCTCTTTTTCTAAGGAACATATATAATAAACCATTTCTTTTTCTTTTCCTTTCTTTTCTTTTTAATATAGGATCTTGCTCTTGCTCTGTCACCCAGGCTGGAGGGCATAACCCCCATGTGTCATGGGAGGTGGGAGGTAATTGAATCATGGGGATGGTTACCTCCATGCTGTTCTCGTGATGTGAGTTCATTCTCATGAGATCTGATGGTTTTATAAGGGGCTTTAACCCATTTTGCACTGCACTTCTTGCTGCTAACATGTGAAGGACATGTTTGCTTCCCCTTCCACCATGATTGTAAGTTTCCCAAGGTTTCCCCAGCCATGCTGAACTGTGAGTCAATTAAACCTCTTTCCTTTATAAATTACCCAGTCTTGGGTATGTCTTTATTGGAAGCATGAGAACAGACTAATACAGTAAATTGGTACTGCCAGTGGGGTGCTGCTATAAATATACTCAGAAATGTGCAAGCAACTTTGTAACTGGGTGACAGGCAGAGGTTGGAACAGTTTGAAGGGCTTAGAAGATGATATGAAAATGTTGGAAAGTCTGGAACTTCCTGGAGACTGAGGGCTCAGAAGACAGGAAGATGTGGAAAAGTTTAGAACTTCCTAGAGACTTGTTGAATGGCTTTGATCAAAATGCTGATAGTGATATGGACAATAAAGTCCAAGCTGAGGTGGTCTCAGATAGAGATGAGAAACTCATTGGAAACTGGAGCAAAGGTCACTCTTGCTATGCAAAGGGACTGGCAGCATTTTGCCCCTGCCCTAGAGATCTATAGAACTTTGAACTTGAGAGAGATGATTTAGTGTATCTGATAGAAGAAATTTCTTTTCTTTTTTTTCTTTTTTTGAGACAGAGTCTTGCACTGTTGCCCAGGCTGGAGTGCAGTGGCATGATCTCGGCTAACTGCAAGCTCCGCTTCCCGGGTTCACGCCATTCTCCTGCCTCAGCCTCCCGAGTAGCTGGGACTACAGGCGCCCGCCATCGCGCCCGGCTAATTTTTTGTATTTTTAGTAGAGACGGGGTTTCACCTTGTTAGCCAGGATGGTCTCGATCTCCTGACCTCGTGATCCACCTGCCTCAACCTCCCAAAGTGCTGGGATTACAGGCGTGAGCCACTGCAGCCAGCCTCTGACAGAAGAAATTTCTAAGCAACAAAGCATTCAAGAGGAAGCAGAGCAGAAAACTTTGGAAAATTTGCAGCCTGATTATGCAATAGAAAAGAAACCCCATTTTCTGGGGAGAAATTCAAGCCTGCTGCAGAAATTTGCAAAAGTAGTAAGAAGCTGAATGTTAATCTCCAAGACAATGTGGAAAATGTCTCCAGGGCATGTCAGAGACCTTCACAACAGCCCCTCCCATCACAGGTCAGGAGGCCTTGGAGGGAAAATGGTTTCCTTCACCAGGTCCAAGGCCCCCCTGCTGTGTGCAGCCTAGGGACTTGGTGCCCTATGTTCCAGCCACTCCAGCCATGGCTAAAGGGAGCCAAGGTACAGCTCAGGCCATGGCTTCAGAAGGTGCAAGCCCCAAGCCTTGGCAACTTCCACATGGTGTTGAGCATGCAGGTGCACAGAAGAATTGAGGTTTGGGAAACTCTGCCTAGATTTCAGAGGCTGTATGGAAATGCCTGGATGTCCAGGCATAAATGTGCTGCAGGGCAGAGCCCTCATGGAGAAGTTTTGCTAGGGCAGAGCAGAAAGGAAATGTGGGGTTGGAGTTCCCACATAGAGTCCCCACTAGGGCAATGCCTAGTAGAGCTGTAAGAAGAGGGCCACCATCCTCCAGACTCCAGAATGGTAGATCCACCAACAGCTTGCACTGTGTGCCTGGAAAAGTCACAGATACTCAACATCAGCCCACGAAAGCAGCCAGGAGTGGGGCTGTACCCTGTAAAGCCATGGGGCAAAGCTGCCCAAGACCTTGGAAACCCACCTCTTGTATCAGTGTTGCTGGGAATAGGTCCCAAGACTGGCCATAAACAAGATCTCTGCAGCACTGTGACATGCTTATGATGGCTATGACGCTCACACTGGAAGTTGCTGGTTTACCAGAATGAGGGCAAGGAACATCTGGCCCACCCAGGGTGGAAAACCGCTCAAGATGTTCCCAAACCACAAACAATGGCATGAGCGATCTGTGCCTTAAGGACATGTTCCTGCTGCAGATAGCAAGCCAGAGCCTGTCCCTTTGTTCCCCATAAAGGATACTTTTAGTTAATCTATAAACTGCAGAAACGATGTTTATCATGGGCTTACTGTCAATAAACAGGTGGGTCAAACTCTGTTCGAGGCACTCAGCTCTGAAGGCTGTTAGCCCTCTGATCCCACTTTGCACTCTATTTCTGTGTCTGTGTCTTTATTCCTCTAGTGCCACTGGGTTGGGGTCTCCACAACCGAGCTGGTCTCAGCAAGTGTGACCTGGATGTGATACATGGAGTCAAAGATCATTTTGGAGCTTTAAGATTTGACTGCAGTCTGGATTTGAAACTTGAGCGGGTCCTGTAGCCCCTTTGTTTAGCCAATTTCTCCCATTTGGAATGGGTGTTTTTACCCAATGCCTGTACCCTCCATTGTATCTAGGAAGTAACTACCTTGCTTTTAATTTTACAGGTTCAGAGGCAGAAGGGACTTGACTTGTCTCAGATGAGACTTTGGACTTGGACTTTTGAGTTAATGCCAGAATGAGCTAAGACTTTGAGGGACTGTTGGTAAGGCATGATTGTGTTTTGAAATGTGAGAACATGAGACTTGGGAGGGGCTGGGGCAAAATGATATAGTTTGGGTATGTCCCCATCCAAATCTCATCTTTTTTTTTTTTTTTCCAACATGGAGTCTCACTCTGTTGCCAGGCTGGAGGGCAGTGGCATGATCTCAGCTCACTGACTCCCAGGTTCAAGTGATTCTCCTGCCTCAGCCACACACATAGCTGGGAATATAGGCATGCACCACCATGCCCAGCTAATTTTTGTATTTTTAGTAGAGACAGGGTTTCACCATGTTGGCCAGGATGGTCTCCATCTCTTGACCTTGTGATCCGCCCCCTAGGCCTCCCAAAGTGCTGGGATTACAGAAGTGAGCCACTGTGCCTGGCCTCCAAATCTCATCTTGAACTGTAGTTCCTGTAATCCCCACGTTACGGGAGGGACCCAGTGGAAAGTAATTGAATTGTGGGGGTGGTTACCTCCATGCTGTTCTTGCGAAGTGAGTAA
The DNA here is from genome assembly GCF_000001405.40 of Homo sapiens. NCBI lineage: Eukaryota > Metazoa > Chordata > Mammalia > Primates > Hominidae > Homo > Homo sapiens. Next base: position 38,096,380 of record NC_000008.11, read on the forward strand.
GTTCTCATGAGATCTGATGGTTTTATAAGGGCTTTCCCACCCTCCCCTTCACTCGGCACTTCTCCTTGATGCCACCATGTGAAGAAGGATGTGTTTGCTTCCCCTTCTGCCACAATTGTAAGTTTCCTGAGGCCTCCCCAGCCATGCTGAACTGTGAGTCAGTTAAATGTCTTTCCTTTGTAAACCACCCAGTCTCAGGTATATCTTTCTTAGCAGCATGAGAACACACTAAAACACTCCGTCTCTACAAAAAATAAGAAAAATGAGCCAGGCATGGTGGCACATGCTAGGAGTTCCAGCTACTCAGGAGGCTAAGGTGGAAGGATTGCTTGAGACAAGAAGGTTGAGGTTGCAGTGAGCCATGATCTGCACTCCAGCCTGGGTGACAGGGTAAGACCCTGTCGCTTAAAAAACAAACAAACAAAAAAACCAACTGGAAAACATAGAGAAAAGAAACAACAACATCTTTATCATTCCACTACTCAGGAATCATAATTATGAGCATTCTGAATTTGAGGATGTGAGAATGGCCTCCACATTTTCACCACGGTAGAATAATTTACTCTTCAGTCGGCAGCTGCATCAAATCAGCTTTCTGGTAAACTGAGTGAATTAAGCAGTTACTGGAGAGAGAGCTCCTAAAAATATGTTTTTCCTGTTAGGCCATCCTAAACTTCCAACCCGGTGTTCTGGTAGTGATTTTCATTATTAACCTTATCATGAGAAGGTACGCAGTTTTTGTTTTTGTTTTTTTCCTTTTCTTTTTTTTAAAGCAGAGCTTCACTCTGTTGCACAGGCTGGACTGGAGTGGTGTGATCTTGGCTTACCGCAACCAACTCCACCTCCTGGGTTCAAGCCATTCTCCTGCCTCAGCCTCCTGAGTAGCTGGAACCACAGGCATGTGCCATCATGCCCAGCTACTTTTTGTATTTTTAGTAGAGATGAGGTTTCACCATGTTGGCCAGGCTGGTCTCAAACTTCTGATCTCAGGTGATCTGCCTGCCTCAGCCTCCCAAAAGTGCTGGGATTACAGGCATGAGCCACCACGCCTGGCCAGGACCCAGTTTTGATGGATGCTTTTCTTTTCTTTTTTTTTTTTTCTTTTTCTTAAGATGGAGTCTTAAGATGCTCTGTCACCAGGCTAGAGTGCAGTGGTGAGATCTTGGCTCACTGCAGTCTCTGCCCCCCAGGTTCAAGCAATTCCCCTGCCTCAGCCTCCCAAGTAGCTGGGACAAGAGGCGTGCACCACCATGCCCGGCTAATTTTTTTGTATTTTAGTAGAGACGGGGTTTCACCATGTTGGCCAGGATGGTCTCGATCTCCTGACCTCATGATCCACCCGCCTTGGCCTCCCAAAGTGCTGGAATTACAGGCATGAGCCACTGCCCCAGGCTGGATGCTTTGCTTTGAATTCCAGAAGTTAGGAGGTCTGGTTCTATCGCAGCCTTGCCTACTTTTATCCACAGGTGAGCTACCTGTGGGGGAGGAGGCAAGGAATTCTAAAACCTTGAAACTCAAATAATATTGCCTTCTGTCTCCTCAGCCTCTCAGCATCCGGCTCTGCCTCCTCATTTGGACTTCTGGGTCCCGAGTTCCTCCTGTCCCTCTGCTCTCTCTGATGCCACGGTTAATCAACTGAACTTTCTCACTCTTATCTTTGATTCCCTTTTATCCTGGCCCTGACTCTTACCTGCCTGGCAAAACCAAAACCTCAGATGCATGTTTCCGTTCATCTTTGCTGTGACTCTTACGTAGCTTTGTGCAGATGGAGCAAAGTGTGAAGACAGAAATCCATGCCCCAGCAGGTGTGCATCCTCCAAGCTCAGCCAGGCCTTCCAGTGTCCAGTATTTTCCCTTGGTCTCCTGTTCCCTATAATAACACTAAATGGGCCAGGTGCGGTGGCTCACACCTGTAATCCGAGCACTTTGGGAGGCCAAGATGGGTGGATCACCTGACGTCAGGAGTTTAAGACCAGCCTGGCCAACATGATGAAACACTGTCTCTACTAAAAATGCAAAAAATTAGCTGGACGTGGTGGTGGCAGCCTGTAATACCAGCTACTTGGGAGGCTGAGGCAAGAGAATCACTTGAACTTGGGAGGCGGAGATTGCAGTGAACCGAGGTTGCACCACTGCACTTGAGCCTGGGCAACAAGAGCAAAACTCCGTCTCAAATAATAATAATAATAATACCAAATGATATCCTTCTTCTATTCTCCTTCTTTCCTCCAGTCTCAGGCAATGAATGGGATTGCCTCCTCCAGACCAAGACTAACTTCTCCAACTCTGTCAGCTGACTCAGTTACTCCCTCACCTTCTTTAGAAAGCTGCTCCATCAACCATCTTCTCTCCTATATGTTCAACCTCTGGCTCCCTACTGATGAATAAAACTTTCATTAGCCTGTCCCCCAATCCTGCACTCCCTTCCCAATTATCATCCAATTGTTTTCTCTCCATCAGAGACAAACATTTGTTTAGGGACTATTTCAAACATACTTAAAAAGTACAGAGAACCATGTAGTAAACAAAGATTTAACAGACATTGACATTTTGCCATATTTCACTAGGGTTTTCCCGTTTATGGAAAAAAAATGCAGGCCGGGTACAGTGGCTCATGCCTGTAATCCCAGCACTTTGGAAGGTTGAGGCAGGTGGATCACTTGAGGCCGGGAGTTCAAGACCAGCCTAGCCAACACAGCAAAACCCTATCTCTACTAAAAATACAAAAATTAGCAGAGAGTGGTGGCATGCACCTGTATTCCCAGCTACTCAGGAGGCTGAGGCATGCAAATCACTTGAACCCAGGAGGCAGAGGTTGCAGTGAGCCAAGATCACGCAGTGGCACTCCAGCCTGGGCAACAGAGCAAGACTCCGTCTTAAAAAAAAAAAAATTAAAAGTAAAGAAAAAAAAAAAGCCTCAGGAACACAAAACTGGAAATTTGTCTACACAGCTATTTCTACTTCCATCCCTCCATTCCTCAATCCATTACAATGTGGATGCTGCCCCTACCCTGAAACTTCTCTAGCTAAAATCGTTCACGACTTTTAAAATATAAGTGCCAAGTTAGCACAGTAGCATGAACTGGTAGTCCTAGCTACTTGGGAGGCTGAGGGTGGAGGATCCTTTGACCCCAGGAGTTCAAGTACGGCCTGGGTAACAGAGAAAAACCAGGTGACTTAAAAAAAAATGTAGGTGCCACTCAGGGGTTCAATCCCCAGACCACTGGCATTTGAAAGCATGTTACATAAGCGTTTCATATTGCTAGGGTCACCAAATCAATTTAGTATGTCACTAATGGCATGAAAAAAAGACATAATACAAAGTGCAGAATGTTTAATAAATCTTTTGCTTCAAGTATAAATCATGTGTATACTGGGTCATTGCAAAATGTATTTCTTATGTGAGTTGTGGCTAAAACATTTGAAAGACATTGATCTAAATTAACAGTCTTCAAAATTTTGTTTGCATGAATTTATCATTGTAAGTTTAGTTACAAAGGATTTCATGTGGATTGTAAGCATTAGCATTGTTAAATAAAACCTTAAAAAATATTTCTATTGTAGTGATTTCTATGTCTGTCATCATCCATTCAAGAAATACATAAGTCAGGCATGGTGGCTCATGCCTGTTATCCCAGCACTTTGGGAGGCCAAGGTGGACATATCTCCCCGTCCAGGAGTTTGAGAGTAGCCTGGGGAACATGGAAAAACCCCATCTCTACAAAAAATGGAAAAATTAGCCAGGCATGGTAGTGCACATCTGTAATCCCAGCTACTTAGGAGGCTGAGGTGGGAGGGGCACCTGAGCCTGGGGAGGATGAGGCTGCAGTGAGCTGTGATCCTGCCACTGCACTCTAGCCTGGGCAAGAGAGCAAAACCCTGTCTCAAAAAAAAAAAAAAAAACAAAAACAAAAAATATGAGCAAGTTTTTTTTTTTCTCTTTTTTGAAGCAGGGTCTCGCTCTGTCGCTCAGGCTGGAGGGCAGTGGTGCAATTGTAGCTTGACCTCTCTGGGCTTAGTTGATCCTCCCAAATAGCTGGGACTAAAGCCACAACACCTGGCTAATATTTTGTTTTTTGTAGAGATGAGGGTCTTGCTATATTGCCCAGGCTGGTCTCAAATTCCTGGGCTCAAGTAATCTTCCTGCCTCGGCCTCCCAAAGTGCTGGGATTACAGACATGAGCCACTATCTTTGGCCGGGAATATAATTATTAGTATACAACTGATCAAATGTAGTCTATAGATTGATAATTAAACATAAAAGTCAAAATTTTATTGAAGCTGTAATTCTTAATGGGACTGAGCATTTATTTTTTCAATTCATATGTTCATGAATAAGTATCATTATTGCTAGAATGAGAGGTTTAGCATCGATTACTATTTTTTTTTTTTTTTGAGACTGACTCTTGCTCTGTTACCTCGGCCGGAGTGCAGCGGTGCGATCTCGGCTCACTGCACCTCCACCTCCTGGGTTCAAGCGATTCTCCTGCCTCAGCCTCCCGAGTAGCTGGGACTACAGGCGCGTGCCACCACACCCAGCTAACCTTTTTTTTTTTTTTTTTTTTTTTTGTATTTTTAGTAGAGACAGGGTTTCACCGTGTTAGCCAGATGGTCTCTATCTCCTGACCTCGTGATCCACCCACCTCGGACTCTGAAAGTGCTGGGATTACAGGAGTGAGACACCATGCCTGGCCTATTTTTCATTTTTTTTTAAGAGACTTGTTCTCACCATGTTGCTTGCATTAATGTTGCCCAGGCTTGCCTCCAACTCTTGGACTCAAGATCCTCTCACTTCACCTGTCCCGAATAGCTGGGACAGGCATGCATCACCACACCCAGCATTTTTCATTTTTATAGATAAAAGAGCTGACAACTTTTCTTTACATAAATTAGCATTTTCCCACCCAGGATTTATGAAGCAATGGAACTCAATTCTTTGAACTCCTTCAAAGTTCTATGTCAGGGCCAGGCACAATGGCTCATGCCTGTAATCCCAACACTTTGGGAGGCCGAGGCGGGTGGATCACCTGAGGTCAGGAGTTCCAGACCAGCCTGGACAGCATGGTGAAACCCCATCTCCACTTAAAATACAAAAAATTAGCTGGGCGTGGTGCCACATGCCTGTAATCCCAGCTATTCAGGAGGCTGAGGCAGGAGAATCTCTTGAACACTGGAGGTGGAGGTTGCAGTGAGCTGAGACCGTCACATTGCACTCTAGCCTGGGGAACAAGAGCAAAACTCAGTCTCAAAAAAAAAAAAAAAAAAAAAGTTCTATGTCAGATTATGGTGATCTACCACTAACACCTTTTTTTTTTTCAAGTTTTAATTTTCTGGCCAGGTATGGTGGCTCACGCCTGTAATCCCAGCACTTTGGGGGGCTGAGGTGGGTGGATCACATGGGGGTCAGGAGTATGAGACCAGCCTGGCCAACACGGTAAACCCCGTCTCTACTAAAATAAAAAATTAGCCTGGTGTGGTGGTGGGTACCTGTTATCTCAGTACTTTGGGAGGCCGAGGCAGGTGGATCACCTGAGGTCGGGAGTTCCAGGCCAGCCCTGACCAACATGGAAAAACCCCATCTCTACTAAAAACACAAAATTAGCTGGGCATGGTGGTGCATGCCTGTAATCCCAGCTACTCAGGAGGCTGAGGCAGGAGAATCGCTTGAACCCAGGAGGCGGAGGTTGCAGTCAGCCAAGATCACGCCATTGCACTCCACCCTGGGCAACAAGAGCAAAACTCTGTCTCAAAAAAAAAAAAAAATTTATAGAGACAGGGTCTTGCTTTGCTGCCTAGGCTGGTCTTGAACTCCTAGCTTCAAGCAATCTTCCTGCCTCCTGCCTTGGCCTCCCAAAGTGCTGGGATTACAGGCATGAGCCACTGCACCCAGCCAACATATTTTCTAGAATGTCTTTCAACTTGGATTCATCTGATGCTTTCTCTTGATTAGACTTGGATTATGGATTTTGGGGAATACCAAAGAGATGAAGTTGCCATCTCATTGTATATCGGGGGGTATATTTATAATTTTTTTTTTTTTGAGACGGAGTCTCGCTCTGTCCCCCAGGGTGGAGTGCAGTGGTGCGATCTCAGCTCACTGCAAGCTCCACCTCCTGGGTTCACGCCATTCTCCTGCCTCAGCCTCCCAAGTAGCTGGGACTACAGGCGCCCGCCACCACGCCCGCTTAATTTTTTGTATTTTTAGTAGAGACGGGGTTTTGCCTTGTTAGCCAGGATGGTCTCGATCTCCTGACCTCGTGATCCACCTGCCTCGGCCTCCCAAAGTGCGGGGATTACAGGCGTAGGCCACTGCGCCCGGCCTATAATTTTTAACTGGTTATATTAACCTGACCACTTGGGTAAGGTGGTGTGTTCGCCCATTTCTGCACCGTAAAAACTACTATTTTCTACCAAGAGGAAAAAGAAAATAAATAAAAAATAAAAATTACTATTTTTTTCTTTTTTTTTTTTTTTTTGAGACGTAGTTTCACTCTTGTTGCCCAGGCTGGAGTGTAATGGCGCGATCTCGGCTCACTGTAACCTCGCCTCCCGGGTTCAAGTGATTCTCCTGCCCCAGCCTCCTGAGTAGCTGGGATTACAGGCATGCGCCACCACGCCTGGCTAATTTTGTAGTTTTAGTAGACACGGGGTTTCTCCATGTTGGTCAGGCTGGTCTCGAACTCCTGACCTCAGGTGATCCGCCCGCCTCGGCCTCCCAAAGTGCTGGGATTACAGGCATGAGCCACCGCGTCTGGCCATGTTATTTTCTTTTTCTACATTCTATTAGTTAGAAGCAAGTCACTGAGTCCAGCCCACACAATCAAGGGGAGGGGGGTATTAAAGAATTTGTGTGGAGGCATGATGGCTCACTCCTGTAATCCCAGCACGCTGGAAAGCCCAGGCAAGAGGATCGCTTGAGCTCGGGAGTTGGAGACTAGTCTGAGCAACATGATGAGACCCTGTCTCTACTAAAAATTAAGAAAATTAGCTGGGCGTGCCGGGAGCAGTGGCTCACGCCTGTAATCCCAGCACTTTGGGAGGCCGAGGCAGCGGATCACAAGGTCAGGAGATTGAGACCATCCTGGCTAAAAAACGGCAAAAACCCTGTCTCTATTAAAAATACAAAAAATTAGCTGGGCGCGGTGGCGGGCGCCTGTAGTCCCAGCTACTCGGGAGGCTGAGGCAGGAGAATGGTGTGAACCCGGGAGGTGGAGCTTGCAGTGAGCGGAGATTGCACCACTGCACTCCAGCCTGGGCGACAGAGCAACACTCCGTCTCAAAAAGAAAAAAAAAAAAAAGAATATTAGCTGGGCGTGGTGGCTCGTGCCTATAGTCCCTGCTACTCAGGAGGCTAAGGCAGGAGGATTGCTTTACCCGGGGAACTTGAGGCGGCAGTGAGGTATGATGCCGCCACTGCTGCACTCCAGCCTGAGCGACAGTGCGAGACTCTGTCTCAGAAAAAAAAAAAAAAAACACACAGGTGAAACCCCGTCTCTACTAAAGATACAAAAATTAGCCAGGCGTCATGGCGCGTGCCTGTAATCCCAGCAACTCGGGAGGCTGAGGCAAGAGAATCGCTTGAACCCGAAACCGCGAGGTGGAGGTTGCAGTGAGCTGAGATCGCGCTACTGCACTCAGCCTGGGCGACAAACCGAGACTCCGTTTCAAAAAAAAAAAAAAAAAGCCGTGCGCGGTGGCTCACACCTGTAATCCCAGCACTTTGGGAGGCCCAGGTGGGTGGATCACTTGAGGTCAGGAGATCGACACCAGCCTGGCCAACATGGTGAAACCCCGCCTCTACTAACAAAAATTAGCCGGGCGTGGTGACAGATACCTGTAATCTCAGCTACTCGGGAGGCTGAGGTAGGAGAATCGCTTGAACCTGGGGTGGAGGTTGCAGTGAGCCGTGATCGGGCCACTGCGCTCCAGCCTGGGCGACAGAGCGAGACTCTGTCTCAAACAAACAACAACAAGAAAACACAAAATTCTGCGACCATATGTTAAAACTGCTACAATACTACGTATTTGGGAGGAGATACTTAGATCAAGCATCCTGCTTCTCTTTGGAGTACCAACCCCTGATTTAAGTATTTATCATCAATTTTAAAAATGTAACCTGGCAACTCAGTTAGGTCTTTCTTCAATTTTGTTGAAAACCAATAATTGAGAACCAATTGGGAAATCAATATCTACGTATTTCCCATGGCGTCCAGTGGCCCAGAGATTCCTACACTATCGGTGGACACATCACAGTAAGATTAGACTGAGGATTGGCGAGGGGTGCGCCGTTCTTGTGTAAAGCGGGAGAAGAGTGTATTATCGTTAGGCAACATTTTAGGATATAGGATAAACACTGGTGTCCTGAAAACGTTCCTGGCCGCAACACTCTCAGAGGTTTGCATTCTCGAGTTTGGAGACCATGGCTCTGAAAGACTCAACTCACTCCACTGATGCCAGCCACCAGCTACTGTTGATGACTTCCCAAGTTCGTACTTTCAGTCCACACCTCTTCCTTTCGCTGGGCACCAAACTTGTCTACATTCCGAGTGCCCCGGCACACCCCGGGGCTTCGCTTTCCGCCTCTCACAGTAGGAAGCGGCGAGCCGCTTCTAGTGCCCACGCCGCTCCTCGGCTGCCCGGCCTGGGTTTTCCACCCTCGCCCCTGGAATCGGCCTCCCTAGATTCCCTTCCCTCTTAAAATCATTTGGAAACGGGCTCCAAGGGGCGACCCTGCGCAGAAAACCAAATTCCATCCGGGGCGGGCAGGGAGTGCTAGACTCCAAGGAAGACGTTTCCCACATTCGGTGGTGAGGAGTGTTTGGCGGCACGGCACGGCCAGCGCTCTCAAGGACCCTCTTCTGCGCAGAATATCCAGTCGTAGCCACGAAAATACGCCGCGTCAGTCCCTGACTCGAAAGGAAGTCCTCCAGAGAGCCGCACTAACCATCTAGCTTCCTCCACCTTCAGCCTGCCAGGCCCGCGGCCACCGCCGGCGCGGGAGGCCGGCCCACCTCTGCCCGCGCGCCTGGCCTTAAAGCGGTCGTGGAATTATGCTTCCTCAGGCAGGCGGTGGACGCACCGCGGGCTTTTTCTGTTTGAAGACTACAGCGTCACACAGCAACGCGCGCGAGAGAAGAGAGTATTCTCGCGAGAAGTCCAGGGGTGGCCGTGATGGCGGCGGCAGGAGCAGGACCTGGCCAGGAAGCGGGTGCCGGGCCTGGCCCAGGAGCGGTCGCAAATGCAACAGGGGCAGAAGAGGGGGAGATGAAGCCGGTGGCAGCGGGAGCAGCCGCTCCTCCTGGAGAGGGGATCTCTGCTGCTCCGACAGTTGAGCCCAGTTCCGGGGAGGCTGAAGGCGGGTAAGAGGTCCTGCCGCCCGAGGAAGACGCGGGAGGGAGGCCCGCCCCTCGCGAATCCCGCGGCTCCTGGAGCCCTGCCGCCCGCCCCCTGCGAACCCAGGCCCCGCCGCCAATGGCTCGCCCTGCCTCTGCGCCGCTTGGCCCGTCCCCTCTCAAGCATATCTCGGATAACGCCCCTTCCGCACCTTTCACGGGCGGTGGGAGCTGAGGCTCCTGTCGTTATCTCTGATCCTTGCACCCTGGCAGGAAGCTGGTAGCTCACACTTTAACGGGAGGCCTTCACATATTCCAGAAAAGAAACCACTTTGCAGTGCCAGACTGGAAGAAGTAACGGTCACTCTGAAAACAGGGTGGGAGAGCTGCCTCTCTTTGAACCTCTCCCAGGACCAACTCTAACCCAGGTAGATTTGACTGTAAAGGCCGGTTAGGCTTCCCTGTGCTCCGTGGGTCCGCGACTGTCTGACATGTCCACCTTCTCAGTATCCTGACAGTACCTTGGGCATCCAGTCTGAGATCAGGCTTAGCTGAAAAAGCTGCAGGAGTATGAAGTTCGGCTGTAATTTGATCATCATTTTTGGGAATAGGCATTTTGAGGTTTGTCTTGAGAATTCTTACTTGAGCGCTTTCATTATCTTATAGGGAGGCAAACTTGGTCGATGTAAGCGGTGGCTTGGAGACAGAATCATCTAATGGAAAAGATACACTAGTAAGTATTTTTAGTTGTTTGCAAGACAAAATAGGGTTTGTTTTAGTTATTTCTTCTTCTTCTTTTTTTTTTTTTTTTGTTGCGACGGAGCCTTGCTCTGTCGCCCAGGCTGGAATGCAGTGGCGCGATCTCGGCTCACTGCAACCTCCTCCCCCCGGGTTCCAGCGATTCTCCTGCCTCAGCCTCCCGAGTATCTGGGATTACAGGCATCTGCCAACACACCTGGCTTCTTTTTTTTGTCTTTTTAGTAGAGACGGGGTTTCACCATGTTGGCCAGGCTGGTCTCGAACTCCTAACCTCAGTTGATTCTCCCGCCTCAGCCTCCCAGAGTGTTGGGATTACAGGCGTGAGCCACCGCGCCCGGCCTTGTTTTTACATTTTTAAGCGAATCAAAAATACATTCAGGCCAGGCACGGTGGCTCATGCCTGTAATCCCAGCACTTTGGGAGGCTGAGACCTCAGGATCACTTGAGACCAGCCTGGGCAACATAGGGAGACCCCCGTCTCTTAAAAAAATAAAATAAAGTAAAATACATTCAAGTCAACTGATTTGAGTCTCGAACTGCTCTGACACAGGAAGGTGCTGGGGATACATCAGAGGTGATGGATACTCAGGCGGGCTCCGTGGATGAAGAGAATGGCCGACAGTTGGGTGAGGTAGAGCTGCAATGTGGGATTTGTACAAAATGGTTCACGGCTGACACATTTGGCATAGATACCTCGTGAGTACTTTTCATAGTTTTTGTGAGAATTGCTCGGTAAAATAAATCTGAACATGCTCAACAGTTACTTTGTGGGCAAAATAAATGCAAAGTATTTCCTATGTCTCCTAACCCCTATTCAGCAAGTAGGATGTTGAATCAGGAGTTGTTTTAATTCCCTTAGCATGTTATCTGCTTACTGAGGGCACAGCTCTGGTAGATACAATGGTGGGTATTGCCCCTCCTTTTGAGTTGACAACCTGGTTTGGAGACAAAAAAAAATGCAATTACAAAGTGTTATATAAACAAATTTAGAACAATATAAACCTTGTGTTGGTGTTTTGGATTTTTCAGAAAGGATATATGTGGATAAAGCCTGTTGTCCAAAATTTGAGATGACCCATGCTCTTTATGCCTGAACCATCCTTTTTTTCCTTTCTCATTGCTGCTGACTCACTCCTTTAGGTATATTGTCTACTCTCCTCAGCAAACCTATTTCCAATCATGTACCTCTTCTAGTGAATTAAAATCATATTGTGATTGAGAATGAAAGACTTTTTTCCTTATACTGACTGTCTGTTGGAATAATTGTACTGCTCGCTCTCTGTAATGTTCTTTATGGTTTGTATTATGCTAATACATTTATAAAAGACTATCTAAACATAAGGCTGCATTATCGTGAAATTAATCCACCTTGGGTGAGATTGTGAAGAAATACATATATGTGTGTGTGTGTGTGTGTGTGTGTGTGTGTGTGTGTATATGTATATATATATACATATATATATGTTTTCTTGTTTTTTTCTTGCGACTGGGTCTCGCTCTGCTGCCCAGGCTGGAGTGCAATGGCAGGATCACAGCTTTCTGCAGCCTCGAACTTCTGAGCTCAAGGGATCCTCCTGCCTCACCCTTCCAAAGTGTTGGGATTACTGGCATGAGCCACCACACCCAGCTTTCCTTTATAATCTGTTGTATACTTTCTAGTTAAAAGGTTAAAGTGGGTTTTAGAAATGCTGATGTCTTAATTAACATGTGACTTGTGATTTAGGAAAGAGTGTTTTTAAAAAGAAAGAAAAATACTGAAGGATCAGGAAGAAATAATTGATCTTGGTAGCAACATCTGCTGGGAAAACACACTAGCTAAGCAAGCCTGGTCTCTTAGAGAGGCCTAAGATAGGGCCACTTTTGCCAGAAAAATTTGTTTGGATAGACAGTTTAGGAAAGGAAGTTTACTAGAGAGATAACTGGGAGGAATTCAAGGAAGAATCAAATCACAGTTCAAAGTTTTGGTAGCTTTGGAGACAACAGTTTGTAACTGAATTTCAAAAGTTATATCTAAAGTCCAGTTAGATCCTATCAGTGGTATCAAGTTAAAAAAAAAAAAAGGTGGGGGGCCAGGCGCAGTGACTCACGCCTGTAATCCCAGCACTTTGGGAGGCCAAGGCAGGCTGATCACGAGGTCAGGAGTTCAAAACCAGCCTGACCAACATGGTGAAACCCCGTCACCAGAAAAAAAAATACAAAAATTAGTTGGGCACAGTGGTGCGTGCCTGTAGTCCCAGCTACTCGGGAGGCAGGAAAATCACTTGAACCCGGGAAGCAGAGGTTGCACCCCAGCCTGGGCGACAGTGAGACTCCGTCTCAAAAAAAAAGGCCAGGCATGGTGGCTCACACCTGTAATCCCAGCACTTTAGGAGGCCGAGACAGGAGAATGACGTGAGCCCAGGACTTCGAGACTAGCCTAGGCAACATAGTGAGACCCTGTCTCTACGAGAAATAGAAAAAAATTAGCTGGGCGTGGTGGTTCACATCTGTAGTACCAGCTACTCAGGAGCTTTAGGTGGGAGGATTGCTTAAGCCCTGCAGGTTGAGGCTGCAGTGAGCCATGATTGCTACTGCACTCCAGCCTGGGTAACAGAGTGATACCCTGTCTCAAAAAAGAAAAGAAAAATAAAGCCCAGTTAGGTGGGATGGATTATCTTTTACAACTGAGATAGAGAATGTGAGCTAGCAGGGTATAAAAAAGGCTGCTTTTTACACCTGTTTGTATTTAAATTAAAATAACTATTTACCTACCTATCTTTAGTATGAGGTTTTGTCTTTGTAAATAAGCTTATCACAATAGTCTGTTAAACAGAAGAGGTTCTACAGAGAAGTGAAGGTAAGGAAACTCAGCTGTAACATTTGTAAGAATGTTTCGTAATTCCATGAGGGTAGCAATAGTTGGTAAATGCAGTCTTCTCTGAGGATATCCTAAGCTAGTTTCAGAGTCCAAGATAAACCTTTGTTCTGATTTCTTCTCTTCTAGCTTAAGCCATTTATACTAAAGGTCTTCTGTCCTTCTGTTACTTTGCCCTTTGCAAGACTAAACTCCTGTGCTTTTCCTGTCATCTTGTGCAATCACTACCATGTTTCTCTTCTCAAATGCGTTGGTTCCTCTGTTGCATCCGTCTCTGCCATATTGTCTTTCCCCTCCTGGCCTCTTCCTCTCTTGCCTTCAAATAGGCAAGTCTTCTCTTGATGTCAGGTGATCCATGCGCCTTGGCCTCTCAAAGTTCTGGAATTAGAGGTCTGAGCCACTGTGCCTGGCCTAGTTATTTACATTTTTAATTCATTTTTTCTTACATTCTGCCTGCCCTTTCCAACCACATTATTGACACCATAGAGATACACCTTAGACTACTTTGTCCTCTTCTACAGCTAGCCTGGCATATTCTTTTTAGGTACTCAAAAAATAAACTTAACGAGATACCAGTGAGAACCTTCTAGATGCTGAATTGTCCAGTATAACGGATAAGGTCTTATTAACTTTCGTGACAGAAAAATCCAGGTATTTATAAAAATATGAGCCCTGTTTTGGTTTTGACAACCTTTTTACATTTTAAGACTATGTTAACATATTAACATTTTAATTTACCTGTCACTGAGGGGAATGGATTCATGTTAACTTCTCATAAAGAGGCGTACAGCCTGTGCAGCATGGCGAAACCCTGACTCCATAAAAAAATACGAAAATTAGCTGGGCATGGTGGCTAATGCCTATAGTCCCAGCTACTTGGGGGGCTGAAGTGGGAGAATCAACCTGAGCCAGGGAACGTCAAGTCTGCAGTGAGCTATGATTGCACCACTGCACTCCAGCCTGAGTGGTAGAGTGAGAGCCTGTCTTTAAAAAAAGAAAAAGAAGTGTGTGTGTTCACAAGTTCACTAATTCGTATAATTTGGCTCTTCGGCAGATCCTGTCTACCTTTCATGACCAACTACAGTTTTCATTGCAACGTCTGCCATCACAGTGGGAATACCTATTTCCTCCGGAAGCAAGCAAGTAAGAACAAACTCTGGAGTATTTGAAGATGATTATCCACTGGAAAAGAAAAGGGATCTGGGCGTAGCAGAATCAGGAGACCTTTGCCTAGTAGCTGGTATAAATTCAGTTGGGGTTTAGCTCTGAATAATTGCAATTGCCCATTTCAGGTCACATGATGACTCCATTTTGCTGCTATAATTGTTATTTTCTGGACCACTTATCGAGTATTCCCTTGGTAGTAGAGATGTAGTACTACAGATAACTGTTTCTTCCTTTTTGTTTTTGATAGACTTGAAGGAAATGTGCCTTAGTGCTTTGGCCAACCTGACATGGCAGTCCCGAACACAGGATGAACATCCGAAGACAATGTTCTCCAAAGATAAGGTAGAGGTGGAACTAATGTGATTGCAGTTATATTGAAGAGTTAGGTGGAACTTCTAAATATACTCCCTAACAAGTACTTTCTTCCCAGTTTTTATTGAATATATGACAGTGGATTCAGTGATTACCTTGTTCTCTTTTTTTTTCAAGATGGAATGCAGTGATGCGATCTCAGCTCAGTGCACCCTCTGCCTCCTGGGTCCCAGAGATTCTCCTGCCTCCGCTTCCCGAGTAGCTGGGATTACAGGCATGCGCCACCACGCCCAGCTAATTTTTTGTATTTTTAGTAGAGACAGGATTTCACCGTGTTGGCCAGGCTCATCTCCAACTGACCTCATGATCCACTGGCTTCGGCCTCCCAAAGTGCTGGGATTACAGGCGTGAGCCACCGCACCTGGACTGTTGTGTTTTTTTTGAGAGAGGGTCTCTGTCACCCAGGCTGGAGTGCAGTGGTGTGATCATGGCTCACTGCAGCCTTGACCTCCTGGGCTAAAGCAATTTGCCTTCCTCGGCCTCTCAAAGTGCTGGGATTACAGGTGTGAGCCACTGCACGTGGCCTCTTTTTAGTTTATTTTTTCCAAAATTATTTTGAAAAGTTTCAAGGTGGAATGTAGTGACACCATCACGGCTCACCGAAGACTTGACCTCCTGGGCTCAGGTGATCCTCCCACCTCAGCCTCTCAAGTAGCTGGGACTACAGGTGCACACCACCACACCCAGCTAGTTTTTATGGTTTTTTTAGAGACAGGGTTTCGCCACGTTGCCCAGGCAGGTAGAACTCCCGTACTCAAGTGATCCGTCCGCCTCAGCCTCCCAAGGTGTTGGGATTACAGGTGTGAGCCACTGCACCCGGCCCATTTCTTCTTAGATTTAACAGTTAACATTTTGCTACATTTGTTTTATGTCCCCATATATCTGTTTTTCCCTTAAGCTATATGAGGCTACATTGTGGGTACACTTTACCCAATATTCTGTTATACAACCACAGTGCCATAATCATAATAAAAAAATTTAACATTGGTGCAGTACTACTAATTTACAGTTCATATTTGTAGTTTCTCAGGATTATTTTTGTGTTAATAATATCCTCCTCTATAGCTTCTTTCTCCATCCAGGATCTGGTCAGGATCACCCATTACATTTAGTTGTAATGACTGTTTTGTCTCTAATCTATTAATAAAACAATTCCTTTATTCAGTTGGGTTTTGCTCTATTACCCAGCCTGGAGTGCAGTGGCACAGGCCCGGCTCACTGCAGCCTCAACCTCCTGTGTTCAAGCTATTCTCCCACCTCAGCCTCCCGAGTAGCTGGGATTCCAGGCGCATGCTACCACATCCAGCTAACTTAAAAAAATTTTTTGTGGAGATGTGGTCTCACTAGCTGGTTTCGACCTCCTGGGTTCAAGTGATCCTCCTGCTTTGGCCTTCCAAACGTCTGGGAATACAGGCATAAACCAACACACCCAGCCCCTTTATTTATTTATTTATTTATTTATTTATTTAATGAATTAAAATTTTTTAAGTGCTTAGGCAGTTGTTTGGCATGATATTCCTCAATTTGCATTTGACTTTCTTCATGATTATGTTCAGGTTAAACTTTTTTTTTTCCGCTTTAATAGGGACAGGTCTCACTATGTTGCCCAAGCTGATCTTACACTCCTAGGCTCAAGCAATCTACCAGCCTTGGCCTCCCAAGGTGCTGAGATTACAGTTGTGAGCCACTGTGCCTGGCCATGTGTTAAACATCTTTGGCAAGAATATTACATAAGTATTGTGTGTTTTTTAGACTGTCACATCAGGAGGTATATAAGATATTGCTTTGTTTTATTATTAGTGATCCTAAATTTGACTAGTTGGTTAAGGAGGGAGCATTTTTATCTTTGTGCTAAGTAATCCTTAAGCCATACATGGAGATTATGTGAGTACTTTATTTTCCTACTCCTTTCAACCAGTGATTTTTAGCCCCCATTGATTATCCAACCCTGAATCAGTTGTTAGAGTAGTAGTTGTAAATCAGAATACATTCTTTGGTTGCAAGTCTTCTGTAAATAACTTTCCCTCATTCTTTTTCTTCCCTTTTAAATATCACTGTGGATTATTTTTTAAAAATCAGTGTGTTATAGTCCATTGTTGGAATTTTTTTTTTTTTTTAATTGAGATGGAGTCTGGCTCTGTCACCCAGGCTAAAATGTAGTGGTGCGATGTCTCGGCTCACTGCAACTTCTGCCTCCTGGGTTCAAGCAATTATCCTGCCTCAGCCTCCTGAGTAGCTGGGACTACTGGCGCATGCCACCATGCCTGGCTGATTTTTGTATTTTTTGGTAGAGACAGGGTTTCACCATGTTGGCCAGGCTGGTCTCAAACTTCTGACCTCAAGTGATCCACCCACCTCAGCCTCCCAAAGTGCTGGGATTACAAGCGTGAGCCACCACGCCCAGCTCTTGTTGGATTTTTTCATTTCTGACCCTCAGGTTGTCCCAGATTCAACCATTGTAGCCCTATCAGACTGACTCCTGAAACTCTTTGATACTCCCCCATCCGTTTTTGAACTCTTCCTTACTTTCTGGAACAACAAAATATTCCAGGCTTTCTTTGTACTTTCCCTGGTTCCTTTCAGTAAAGATTTAGTTGTCATGGAGCTAACTCTGGTGGTGGTGCTTTTGAAGATTATCTAAATA
This sequence comes from Homo sapiens, assembly GCF_000001405.40. NCBI lineage: Eukaryota > Metazoa > Chordata > Mammalia > Primates > Hominidae > Homo > Homo sapiens. The sequence continues at coordinate 38,113,508 of NC_000008.11, forward strand.
GGAGGCCAGAAGATGAAGGTCAAAAGTCGTTTCAGTCATGCAAGCAGGAGTTGGTGAGAGCCACAGTCACAGCAGTGGGGATGGAAGGGAGTCCTGACTGAAGTGACATTTCTGAAATTTTAAAATTTATTTGGTGAGCATTTAGGTGTAAAAATTGTGAGAGAAGAGTCAAGGACAACTCTTAATGTGTCTAGCTTATTCTGGGTGATGACTGGTTCTAAGTTATCAGGAGCAAGAATAGAAATCCATAAAGCAGATTTATGAGGTAATATACCAAGTTCCATTTTAGTCACAAGAAGTTTGAGGTCCCTTTAGGATGTCCAGATAGAGATGTCTCAGCTGGTAGAAATAGGAGTTCAAGAGAGAATAATTTGGGAGTCATCTTCCAATTGACAGCCAAGGGACTGTGACAGAGCTTTTCTCTCCAATTGGAGTGTAAGCCCTACATGGCTAAGGTTTGTTTATACTTGTGGAAATCCCCATAATCTGTGTATTGTGTGTATGCAATGAAATATTCAGAGATTAAAAGACAAACATGTAAACCTTGTATAACACCGTGGGGGGAAAAACTAACATGGATTTTTCTCTTGATTCTAACAAGATCTTCGAAAAATGCTGTTTTCTTTCTTTGTCAGCATATCTTTGATTGCAGCAGTAATAGTCTTAATTTATTTTGAAAATTAGGATATTATACCATTTATTGATAAATACTGGGAGTGCATGACAACCAGACAGAGACCTGGGAAAATGACTTGGCCAAATAACATTGTTAAAACAATGGTAAGTAGATTAAAATTGATTAGACTTGACATTTAAAAAACCATTGTTTTTTGTAAGAATTCAATAATATCGTCTCATTGTGAAATGATAAAATTAGAACAACTTAATGTTAAATCTTTGAGTGTGAGATACAGCTAATTGTGAATTTTAGTAGTTTTCACACACAGAATCAGTGAGATGCATATTGTCTTATATGAACATTGCCCGCATACACCTGGTTTTATGTATTGAAACTTGTCCACAGTACTTTTCCAAGAATAATTTTGTATTGAAATTAGAGACCATTTCTTTTCTTCTATTAAAAAAAAAGTTATAGGCAATATTGTCCTTAAAATTAAAGAGAGCACCTGGGGAGAAGTCAACAGCAAGCTGTTAACAGTGCTTATCTTTGTGAAATAGAAGGATAGGTGAGGATTATGAAAAACTTGGGCACTCTTTGTGTTTCTCTGTTGTTTGAATTTTTTGATGGTCACTGATTATTTCTTAGAAGGAAAAACGATACTATCTTTTTTGGACACTGCACCTAGGAATTGACTTTTAGAGTTAGTGGTTGATTATTAATTCCATACTTTTAAGTATAAAATGTTCATTAATAGTAAAACACTACTTCTTTTTAGAGTAAAGAAAGAGATGTATTCTTGGTAAAGGAACACCCAGATCCAGGCAGTAAAGATCCAGAAGAAGATTACCCCAAATTTGGACTTTTGGATCAGGTACATTAATATGTTTTACATTTTCTTTTTGATTTTAAGCCACTCGGGGATAGGTAATCAGGTTCTGTTTACATTTGTATATTTGCCACATAACACACTGCCATTATATGCACATAGCATGGTGGACTCCAAAAAAATAGTGACTGATATGAGAGTACTCACCTTCAACCAAGAGACCAGTGTTGTATAGTGTTTTTGTTGTGGGTCTTCCCCAAAATGTTATGAATTTCTTCAAATCACTTTTTTTTTTAACTTTAGTTTCCTCGCTTGTAACATGTAAAAATGCTATTTCAAATTACTTCTAATCTTCCTGCCATCTTAAATTTTGCTCTTAAAAACTTTCTTTGTTGTGAAAAGAATTTGTTTTGAAGAATTTGTGTTGCATATCTAACATAACAGGCAAACGAAAATTGCTGTTTTTTGTTCAACAGCAGGGTTCACATTTGGCAAGTCAGAATGTCAAATCTTAAAGCTGTGTCTTTACATGTTTGATTTGCCAGCTTTGAAAATGCAAGATTCAGCCCGGTGCAGTGGCTCATGCCTGTAATCCTAGCACTTTTGGAGGCTGAGGCAGGAGGATTGCTTGAGTCCAGGCATTCAAGACCAGCCTGGACAATACAACAAGACCTGTCTCTCAAAAAAGAAAATGCAAGATTTCACATAGAAATTTAGATTTCTGTCTTGTAAAATGAAAACATCTGACTGCATGGGGCCTGAATTCCCACAGGAGCTGAGTGAATGGGGCTTAGGCACTCTGGTTTGCCCTGTGCCCTCTCCTGCCTCTACCCAAGTTGATTGATTAATTGCCATTTATCGCCATTCTGAAACTATTCTGATCCTTACACTTGGCCTACCTCACACATACTTGCAAGGTTGCTTGCTGGTCCTTAAAACACCCAAGTTTGGGACTCTGCAAGCTTCATTGTTTAGAATTGTCCATTTCAGACTGTGCATGGTGGCTCACGCCTGTAATCCCAGCACTTTGGGAGGCTGAGGCGGGCAGATCATTTGAGATCGGGAGTTGGAGACCAGCCTGGCCAACACAGCGAAACTCTATCTCTAGTGAAAATAGAAAAATTAGGCCAGGCATGGTGGCTCATGCCTGTAATCCCAGCACTTTGGGAGGCCAAGGTGGGTGGATCACCTGAGGTCAGGAGTTTTGAGACCAGCCTAGCCAACATGGTGAAACCCCATCTCTACTAAAAAATACAAAACTTTAGCTGGGTATGGCAGCAGGCACCTCTAATCCCAGCTACTCAGGAGGCTGAGGCAAGAGAATCACTTGAACCTGGTAGGCAGAGGTTGCAGTAAGCCGATATCGCGCCACTGCACTCCAGCCTGGGTGACAAGAGTGAAACTCTCTCAAAAAAAAAATAATAATAATTAGCCAGGCGTGTTGGTGTGTGCCTATAATCCCAGCTACTCGGGAGGGTAAACCAAGAGAATCGCTTGAACCTGGAAGGCAGAAGTTGCAGTAAGCCGAGATCGCGCCACTGTACTACAGACTGGGCAATAGAGTAAGGCCCCATCTCAGAAAAAAAAGAATTGTCAATTTTAGTTCCCATTCTGTTAGAATTTCTCTTGTTTTATGAGCATCCAGATTGACTGACTTACGTAGACTCCTTTTTTAATTGGATGTATTTTTGCAGGACCTTAGTAACATTGGTCCTGCTTATGACAACCAAAAACAGAGCAGTGCTGTGTCTACTAGTGGGAATTTAAATGGTAAGTGTTTACATATCTCATTGCTGAAATATTTGGAAGCTATTGAATCCAGTTGTGCCTAGAACTGGCCATTCTTTGGGTTGACCCTTAACCTGGATACTTACTAAAATGCTTTTATAGTTCAAACTCAATTTTTAGGAACTAGCCAAGGATTTGGCAGATGGTAATAGAGGAGAACTTTTTGTCACTTTACAACAGTTTGGTCTTGAGTGAGACAGGTTTAGCATAAGACAAGGAACCATTTCAAGGTCAGATTTGCTGTGTTTATATCTGTATCCTTATAACTAACATTAAATTTAGAAAGATTCATCTCCTCTCCACTCTTTTTCTGCAATTCAGCTGTTACTTTTAACAGATTTCCTGTGCCCATCTTCTAATTTTTCTTGCCCTGAAACTTCAGCTCATTCACATGATAGCATTTCTATATTAACCACCCATTGCAGCTTGTTCTTCTGTTAACCCATCTAATAGCGGGAAAACCCCTCGTTACTAATGGTTATTTAATAAGAGTTGGGGTGGCTGAGAGATATTTAGCTGTTCATCTGATATATGGGATCATTAACCTGTCTTTTGGAGTGGTCGCGTCTTAAATATCTGATCATTTCTACTGTTACTAATATTTTAAGGTGGGTTGGAAATAGCTAGTGTGTTATCTTTTTACAACATATTTTCCCGTTTTAATTGTTAAAATTTGACAAATACATGGTGCCACTTCTGTTCTTACAGGTGGAGCCACTTTTGGAGGTGAATTCCTCCACTGTCTTCTTTCAGCCTCTCAGACTTAAGTATTTTGTGGTTTGGAAAATGCTTTTTGCTGAGCTATGGTAGAAGCTAAAAACTACATAATTTGAAGCATTATGAAAATGGCGGCAATAGCACTTAATATGAAACAGTAGTTGAGTTTAATGTTAGTATTTAAGAGCTTGTATGTTGTCATATTCTGCCTAACATGGCCAGCCACCCCACTTCTGTACTGTTTGCTCTGTTCTGGTTGGATCTGAAACTTCTTAAAATAATCAAAATGCAAATGACAATTAAAAATGTAATTGTGGCCACGCGAGGTGGCTCATGCATGTAATCCCAGCACTTTGGGAGGCCGAGACAGGCAGATCACCTGAGGCCAGGAGTTTGAGACCAGCCTGGCCACCATGGCAAAGCCCCATCTCTACTAAAAATACAAAAAATTAGCCAAGTGTGGTGGCAGGCGCCTGTAATCCCAGCTACTCAGGAGGCTGAGGCAGGAGAATCGTTTGAACCCAGGAGGCAGAGGTTGCAGTGAGCCGAGATCGTGCCACTGCACTCCAGCTTGGGCAACAGAGCAAGACTCTGTCTCAAAAAAACAAAAATTTAATTGTTTTTTGATTATGGTTACTTAAACTAGAGATGATGACATTGCAGCAGTTTAACATTAAACTTTTATGAAAAATAGGAATAACATCTGAGGTGTTCACCAAAGGAAATTCTGCATAAAAAGTCTGGTCCTGTATATGCAGAATATGAGCCACCTTCAATGTCTTGATCCTTTTTATTGCAGCAGAACTGCTAGTAATTCCCAAGCTTGCCCCAAATTAAGATTTAGTACTCTGCAGTTGTTTACGTAAAGGTGTTTTCCTGCAGTTCAGGGACATTTCCTGGAAGAGGGAAAAATAAAACTAATTGAGAGGAATTTGAACTGGACAAAAATTTCAAAGTACCTATTTCAGAAATACACAAGGTAATCTTCCTTGTGGCTTTAGTATGTAGCTAAATTTTTTGTATAAAATATGTAAATTGTCTATTCCTATTTATTGCTTTTAGTTCCACAAGCCAGGTTAATCTAACCTGAATTTTAGTGCATTGGCACAATCTTAATAAATGTTGTATTTGACGAATGGGTATGGAACTAAAAATTGCCTAGCAAATCGAAAGCCTTCTTTCTTATTTGTGTCATGTGCAACCACGATGGAGATCTAGCAGTACTGGAGAGAAACACCTTTTTAGTACTTCTGTTTCCGTTTTCCATGTTGGATGTATTTTGTCTTGTTGGATATTCAGGTTCAATGCTTTAGCAGATACTGTGCTTTTATGATGTTTATGGACTGTATTGTGTAGTTCAAGCAAGTGAACATCGACTTACAGTGAGGATATTCTCTCTTTATGGGTGTTTGTATTAATTTGGATGAAAAAAAATGTGCCCATACAGTTGTTTTCATTCTTTTTAGCTGTGGGTGTTTGGGATCTGAATGAGTGAGAATGCATTTGTGTCACACCCTGAGAAAGTATACCAATAGTTGCAGTTTATTAGGAACAAAGGTTGAAAACTGTAACCCAACCATCATAGTGCTGGATTCATTTGAGTTTATTGCCAGAACCCAGTGTTCCCAGGCTATGAGATGCTCAGTAGATTCTTTGAAAACTAGGGTGAAATCCAATATGCCTTTGGAAGGAAATCCTCCTGTGGTGTTACACAAATGCACATTGGGTGTGTTGGTCCCTATGGAATTTCAGTATCCACATGGTGTTTCCCTTGTGGCTCATTGAAAGCAATCTGCCTTCTCTTCAAAGGGGGAATTGCAGCAGGAAGCAGCGGAAAAGGACGAGGAGCCAAGCGCAAACAGCAGGATGGAGGGACCACAGGGACCACCAAGAAGGCCCGGAGGTGGGGAGAGTGCCCACCCTGCCCCCCTCACTATTTAAGTATTATTTGGTGCTGGGAAAGTCCAGCAGAGGGAAGAGAGTTCAAGGGTCGGAGGTTAAAAAGCCTGTCCATTTTTTCTAAACCTTGAGCACTTTGAGGGACAAAATAACCCCAGGTTGGAGGCCAGGCGCAGTGGCTCATGCGTGTAATCCCAGCACTTTGGGAGGTCAAGGAGGGTGGATCACTTGAGGCCAGGAGTTTGAGACCAGCCTGGCCAACATGGCGAAACCCCATCTCCACTAAAAATACAAAATTAGGCAGGTGTAGTGGTGAGCGCCTGTAATCCCAGCTACTTGGGAGGCTGAGGCAGGAGAATCGCTTGAACCTGGGAGGCGGGTGGCAGTGAGCCAAGATCATGCCACTGCACTCCATCCTGGGCAACAGAATGAGACTCCGTCTCAAAAACAAAACAAAAAACAAAAATAATAACCCCAGGCCGGGCACGGTGGGTCATGCCTGTAATCCCAGCACTTTGGGAGGCTGAGACAGGTGAATCACCTGAGGTCAGGAGTTTGAGACCATCCTGGACAATGTGGTGAAACCCCATCTCTACTGAAACAAAAAACAAAAAAATTAGCTGGGCCTGGGGGCACGTGCCTATAATCCCAGCTACTCGGGAGGCTGAGGTGGGAGAATTGCTTGAACCCAGGAGGCAGAGGTTGTAGTGAGCTGAGATCGCGCTATCGCACTCCAGCCTGGGCCACGAGAACGAAACTGTCTCAAAAAAACAAAACAAACCCAAGTTTAAGTGTCATGTTTTACATTTAAGTGTACATACATTTGTTAGTACAAAATTTATAGTAGTAACAAGTATAGTGTCTTCTGGTGATAAGCCTGGGGAACCTAGGGAGTGAAGTTCTGTTAAGGCGACTTGAGAAAGGATAGGTGGGGAGGGAGTGAAACCAGTGTTGAATGTTAGCTCCTTTAGCTCCTTAACTTTCTGCTTCTCCCTTCTCATGCCTTTTCCCTTCCCTTTGTCTAAAGCTGAGGTGATGAAATCCAGGTTGCTTATTTATTTATATATTTTTGTGAGATGGAGTTTTGCTCTATCACCCAGGCTGGAGTGCAGTGATGGAATCTCGGCTCACTGCACAAGTTATTTACTTAGATTAGCAAGATAGCAAGTGCTTATGTCTCTGAGCTTCTGTTCATTACTTTATAATAATCAGTATACTAAAGACTATCACCCTAATCACCCCCATTCCTCTCCTCCCTTCCCCCCCCCCCCCCCCCCGCATAATGTACCAGCTCAGTTTCATAGACATCAATTCATGTTTAAAGACCACTGGGAAGATATCCACAATCTACAAGTAATTTCACCAAAACTACCTTGCTCAATAAAGCTAATCCTTTTCACTTCCTTGTTTTGCCTGAAGAGGGCAGAGTTACTTATTTGAGTAATGAGAAGTATTTGCTGTGAAGTTGCATGTATTCTAGCTGAAATAAACCAGAGGCCTTTCTTACACAGTTGAATGCATTTGAGCTAAAGGGGGTTTTAGTTTTTTGATGTTATTTTTTCCTTTCTGCAGTGACCCTTTGTTTTCTGCTCAGCGCCTTCCCCCTCATGGCTACCCATTGGAACACCCGTTTAACAAAGATGGCTATCGGTATATTCTAGCTGAGCCTGATCCGCACGCCCCTGACCCCGAGAAGCTGGAACTTGACTGCTGGGCAGGAAAACCTATTCCTGGAGACCTCTACAGAGCCTGCTTGTATGAACGGGTTTTGTTAGCCCTACATGATCGAGGTATGTAAAGTATTGGAGATCATATGGATGCAGGGTTACTTTGAACTGCCATCATTAGCCTTGTCAGTCTAGAATTAGGTGTACATCTCAGTCTGTTGCCACTGCCTCACCCCCATCTCTGTCTAGATTCATCCAGAATGTGCAAGAAATTCTGTTCCTTCCTATAAGCTCCAGCCGTTTTATTTATATATATATATATATATATATATATATATATATATATATATATGGTTTTTTAAAACTTTCTATTTTGAACTAATTTTAAACTTGCAGTAAAGTTGCCAAAAATAAGTTTTCTTTCTCATCAAGCTTTTCCTAATGATAATATCTTAGAAAACCATAGTACAGTTATCAAAACTGGGAAATTAACATTGGTAAATATTATCAACACAACTAGAGAAAGACCTTTCAATTTTACCAGTTTTTCCACTCACACTTAATTATTTCTCTTTAGTCTATTATAGTCTTTAACAGTTCCAAAGCCATTGCTTATCTTTCATGACCATGATATTTTTAAGTGTTTTAATCAGTTATTTTGTTGAATATTCCTCAGTGAAGATTTGTCTGATGTTTTCTCATGATTAGACTGAAGTTAGGCAGTTTGGGGAAGAATAACACGGAAACAATGTCTTATAGCATCATCTCATGGGATTCATGATGTCAGTAGGTCTTATTGGTTACGTTGACCATGATCATTTGGTTAAGGTGATTCTGCTAGCTTTCTCCACTGTAAAAAACTACCGTCTTTCCCTTATACTTAACAAATGTCTTAGGCAAAAATACATCGAGTCTATCTATGCAAATATCTTGTTTGTTTTTAAACTTATGTTCACTAATTTTAGCACCCATCAGTGGATATTGTCTGCAACAATTATGACTGTGTTGTATGATGATTTTCGATTTCCTCTTTCCCTTTTCTGTTAATTGATTATTTATATCAGTATGGACTCATATATATTTACTTTATTTCAGGGAGTATAATCCAATACTTTGATTATTTTGTTGTTTAAATTATTCCAGCTTTGGCAAGTAGGAGCTTCTTCAAGAAGTTGGTTCTTGTGTTCTTTCGATAAGCCGTGTCTTTTTTTAAAAAAAAAATTTCTTTACTTTGAGGCATCAAAAGGTGTTCCTGGCCAATCTTATATTTTCTGTGCCCCAGGCCTACTTCTTTCACCGAGCCCTGGTTCCTTTGATTGGAGCATGTTGTTTAGGAATAACATCTAGGTGCTCACTTCCATATATCACATATACGAAAATTAGAATGATAAAGAGAAGATGCATGGCCCCTGTGCAAGAATAACACACAAATTTGTGAAGCGTTCCTTATTTTTTTTTTAAGTAATAAAGTAAATAAACAAATAGCAATTAATATCTAGGTGTTAGGTGTGCTGTTACTAGGCGTCATTGCTTCTAGACTTCCTCAGTGGTCAGAGGTAGGAAGTGCATGTGTGTATGTACAAACCTGCATGTACACAGATAACAATTTATATTGATACCTGGGTTGACAGCCTTCCTCCTTTCCTTATTTGTAAGGTCTTTCTCCAACAGTGGGAAATGTGAATAATTAGATAATTATCTACAATATATTTACTTTATTTCAATATATTTATTTTGTTATAGAGATCAGAGTCTCACTCAGGCTGGTATGCAGTGATGCAGTCCTGGCTCACTGCAGCCTCAACCTCCTGGGCTCAAACGATCCTCCTGCCTCAGCCTACTGAGTAGCTGGGATCACAGGCACACGCCACCACACCTAGCTGGGTTTTTTAATTTTAATTTTTTAGAGGTGGGGTCTTACTATGTTGCCTAGGCTGGTCTCAAACTCCTGGGCTCAAGCCGTCATCCTGCCTCAGCCTCCCAGGGTCTTGGGAGTGAGCCACCATTCTTGACCTTGCTCATATTTAATATGCACATAAAGTAGTTTCAGAATTTCTTTTTTTTTTTTTTTTTTTTGAGTTGGAGTCTTGCCCTGTCACCCAGGCTGGAGTGCAGTGGCGCAATCTCGGCTCACTGCAACCTCTGCCTCCCGGGTTCAAGTGATTCTTCTGCCTCAGCCTCCTGAGTAGCTGGAATTACAGGCACGTGCCACCACGCCCGGCTAATTTTTTGTATCTTTAGTAGAGACGGGGTTTCACCGTGTTAGCCAGGCTGGTCTTGAACTCTGGACCTTGTGATCTGCCCGCCTCAGCCTCCCAAAGTGCTGGGATTACAGGCATGAGCCACTGAACCCAGCCAGTTTCAGAATTTCTAATCCCTGGGAGAAACATTTACTAAGTAGATTATAGCATTTATATATAGCTCTTTTTGTCTTTAGACTTGCCGTACTCAGTCCAAGGTACTGGTAACTTAGATTAGTTCTTTTCTTCCCCACTTCCTTTAGTGGGTCATGTCCAGTTAAGTCAGGTTTATTTGCTAGTGTTTGATGCCATTTTGGATTCTCCCACATGTTGATTGTTTGTGTGTATGTATGTTTGGAGTGAGGATGTGTGAAACATTACTATGGTTCTGGGAGTCAGAGCTGTACAGAACGGTTTACAAAATGTCACTCCCTCATCACCCCTACAGTGCCCTTCTCACTCTCTTTTTTCCACCATCTTCCCACTCACACTCTAGTTTCTAGTTTATCCTTGCTGTATTTCTTCACAAATGAGCAGATACAGTACATGTATATATTCTTTTATCTCCCTTTTTTGTTTGTCTGTTTCTGTGTTTTTTTGGTTTGATTTGTTTTTTGAGGCTAGAAGGCAGTGGCGTGATCTCGGCTCACTGCAGCCTTCACCTCCCTGGCTCAAGCAATTCTCATGCTGAAGCCTCCCGAATAGCTGGGACTACAGGTGTGTGCCACCACCCGTGGCTAATTTTTGTATTTCTAGTAGAGATGGGGTTTCGTCATGTTGGCCGGGCTGGTCTCAAACTCCTGAGCTCAGGTGATCTGCCCATCTCAGCCTCCCAAAGTGCTGGGATAACACGTGTGAGCCACTGCGCCCAGCCTTATCTCCTTTTTTATACATGAATAGCAGCGTGCTATATATATAGTCTTTGCTCCATGCAATTATTTTATTTTATTTTTTTTTTTAGAAAGGTTCTTGTTCTGTCACCCAGGCTGGAGTGCAATGGTGCAATCTCAGCTCACTGCAGCTTCGACTTCCTGGCTCAAGCAATCTTCCCATCTTAGCCTCCCAGGTAGCTGGGACTACAGGCACACATCACTGCACCCAGCTAAATTTTAATTATTTTTTTAGGGACAAAGTCTCCTTCACTGTGTTGCCCAGGATGGTCTTGAACTCCTGACCTCAGGTGATCCTACTTCCTTGGCCTCCCAAAGTGCTGGGATTATAGGCATGGGCCATTGCATCTGGCCTCATTGTTTATTTGTTTGTTTTCAAGATGGGGTCTCACTCTGCCACCCAGGCTGGAGTGCAGTGGTGTAATCATGGCTCACTGCAGCCTCAACCTTTCCTGTTAAAATCAGCCTGCAAAGCCTCGAAATTCTCTCCCACCTTTTGCCATTTTTTCTTTCTGTGGAAGTCATGGGGTTCTCCCCTGATTATTTAGATTGCTCCCTTATCTCACATAATGGCCTGGTAATAAAGTAAGATTCAAACCATATGCAGAGGTAGAGAGATGAATTACAGTGAATACCTGTCTTAGTCCCTTTGTGTTGCTACTAAGGAGGACTTGAGGCTGGGTAATTTGTAAAGAAAAGAGGTTTATTTGGCTAAAAGAAGCATGGCACCAGCGCTTGCTTCTGGTGAGGATCCCAGGCATGTCCAGTCATGGTAGAAGGCAAAGCGGAGCAGGCGTTAGATGGCAAGAGAGGAAGCAAGACAGGGAGGGAGGTGCCAGGCTCTTTTTAACAACCAGCTCCTCAGAAACTAATAGAGTGAAAACTCACTCACATCCCCACATTCCGCATTAATCTGCTCTTGAGGTATCTGCCCTCCTGACCCAAACACCTCCCATCAGACCACACCTCCAACATTGTGATCAAATTTCAACCTGCACTTAGGGTCAAATACCCAAACTATAGCGATACCTTGTACACTTTTCACCCAGATTTTAACAGTTCAAGATTTTGCCATGTTTGCTTTATCTGTTTATTTCTTTTTCTTTTTCTGAATTAAAAAAATATATATATCACCCTATGTACACTAAAAACTATGCATCTCTTTAAAAATGCGGCTATTGGGGCCAGGCACAGTGGCTCACGCCTGTAATCCCAGCACTTTGGGAGGCTGAGGCGGGTGGATCACCTGAGGTCGAGAGTTCAAGACCAGCCTGACCATCATGAAGAAACCCCTTCTCTGCTAAAAATACAAAATTGCGGGCCTGGTGGTAATCCCAGCTACTCGGGAGGCTAAGACAGGAGAATCTCTTCAACCTGGGAGGCGGAGGTTGCAGTGAGCCGAGATCGCGCCATTGCACTCCAGCCTGGGCGACAAGAGTGAAACTCCATCTCAAAAAAAAAAAAAAATGCAGATATTTTCTTTTATAACCAAAATAATTCCTTGCTATCATCCAAATTCAGTTCATAATCAGATTTCCTTGATTGTCTTAAATACCGGTTCATCTCCTGAGATATTTATTAATTACAAAAGGAAAATTGTCATTTAGCAGTGGAGAAACCTGGCAGGCATCATCTTAATCAAGTGACCAGGGTGAACATCACTATTTTGATAGCATATATGATGCACTGAGGGGCACAACATTACCTCATTGGAGTTCCTGAGTAAGAATAACAATAACCTTGACCTTAAAATGAGGAAACGCCAGGCCGGGCATGGTGGCTCACACCTGTAATCCCAGCACTTTGGGAGGCCAAAGTGGGTAGATAACCGGAGGTCAGGAGTTTGATACCAGCCTGGTCAACATGGTGAAACCCCATCCCTACAGAAATAGAAAAATTAGCCAGGCATGATGGCAGGCACCTGTAATCCCAGCCACTTGGGAGGCTGAGGTGGGAGAATCGCTTGAACCCGGGAGCCAGAGGTTGCAGTGAGCCGAGGTTGCACCATCACACTCCAGCCTGGATGACAGAGCAAGACTCTATCTCCAAAAAAAAAAAACAAAAGAAAACACCAGACAAATGTAACTGAGGGACATTCTACAAACTGAAATGACCAATATTCTTCAAAGTGTCAAGCTTATGAAAGGTTGAGGAACTGTTTGAGATTGGAAGAGGCTAAGGAGACATGACAACTAAGTGAAATGTGGAATCTAGGATTAGAACCTGGGCCAGAGAAGGGGATATTACTTGGATAATTGGCTTAATTTTAAGAAGGTCCATGGATTATTTAATAGTATTATTGTTAATTTTCTGGTTTTGATGATTATGTTAATGATTATACATGATGTGAACATTTGGGAAAACTGAGTGAAGCACACACTAGGACTCTACTATTTTTTGAAAGTTTGAAATTGTTGGCCGGGCGCGGTGGCTCACGCCTGTAATCCCAGCACTTTGGGAGGCCGAGGCAGGCGGATCACGAGGTCAGGAGATCAAGACCATCCTGGCTAACACGGTGAAACCCTGTCTCTACTGAAAATATAAAAAATTAGCCGGGCGTGGTGGCGGGCACCTGTAATCCCAGCTACTTGGGAGGCTGAGGCAGGAGAATGGCGTGAACCCGGGAGGCGGAGCTTGCAGTGAGCAGAGATCGCGCCACTGCACTCCAGCCTGGGCAAAAGAGCGAGACTCTGTCTCAAAAAAGAAAGAAAGTTTGAAATTGTTTTAAAACAGTTAAGGCCAGGTGCTGTGGCTCATTCCTGTAATCCCAGAACTTTGGGAGGCCAAGGAGAGCAGATTGCTTGAGTTCAGGATTTGAGACCAGCCTGGGCAACTTGTTCAAACCCTGTCTCTTCAAACAATTAGCTGGATGTGGTAGCACTTGTAGTACCAACTACTTGGGGGCTGAGGCAGGAGGATTGTTTGAGCCCAGGAAATCAAGGCTGTAGTGAGTCAAGATGACACCACTGCATTCCAGCCTGAGCAACAGCATGAGACCTTATCTCAAGGAAAAAAAAAAAAAACTAGTCAAGAGGCTAGCCACAGTGGCTCATACCTGTAATCCTGGCACTTGGGCCAACACAAGAAGATCGCCTGAGGCCACGAGTTCAAGGCTATGGTGAGCTGTGGTTGTGCGACTGAGTAAGAGAGCAAGACCCTGGCTCTTAAAAAAAAAAAAAAAAAGTTAAATTTTTTAAATGAAGATTTATTCAAATTAAGTTCCAAACTCATCACCATTGGTTTGTTATATTTGAGGGAATATGCAATATAATTAATATCAATCAGATGTCTTAAAGTTAATCACATGTAGGCTGGGCTCAGTGACTCAGCCTGTAATTCCAGCACTTTGGGAGGTCAGTGCAGGTGGATCACCTGAGGTCAGGAATTCGAGACCAGCCTGACCAATATGGTGAAACCCGTCTGTACTAAAAATACGAAAATTAGCTGGGCGTGGTGGTGGGCGCCTGTAATCCCAGCTACTCAGGCTGAGGCAGGAGGATTGCTTGAACTTGGGAGGCGGAGGTTGCAGTGAGCCAAGATCGTGCCACTGTACTCCAGCCTGGGCTACAGAACAAGACTCTGTCTCAAAAAAAAAAAAAAAAAAAGATAAGCCAGGTGCGGTGGCTCATGCCTGTAATTCCAACACTTTGGGAGACCAAGGCGGGCAGATCACGAGGTCAGGAGTTCGAGACCAGCCTGACCAACATGGTGAAACCCTGTCTCTACTAAAAATACAAAAATGAGCTGGGCGTGGTGGCACGCGCCTGTAATCCCAGCTACTCGGGAGGCTGAGGCAGGAAAATTGCTTGAACCCGGGAGGTGGAGGTTGCAGTGAGCCGAGATTGCACCACTGCCCTCCAGCCTGGGCGACAGAGCGGGACTCCATCTCAAAAAAAAAAAGATAATCACATGTAATAAAAACTAAGTAACCTAACAACTTTCTCTTTTTTGTTGCTTTCTCATTCCTTGCCAGTATCTTATGCTGAGATTTTTAAACTCCTCAACTAATATTTCAAACACCTGACCTGATATTTGTGATTTTTAAATTGTTTTATTGGACTAATGTTTTTGTGGCAATTGTCCCCAAGAACCTCAAATAAGTTGCAGGCCTTCTTTTAATCTCTGTCACCGCAGCTCCCCAGTTAAAGATCTCAGATGACCGGCTGACTGTGGTTGGAGAGAAGGGCTACTCTATGGTGAGGGCCTCTCATGGAGTACGGAAAGGTGCCTGGTATTTTGAAATCACTGTGGATGAGATGCCACCAGATACCGCTGCCAGACTGGGTTGGTCCCAGCCCCTAGGTAAGCTGGGGCCTTAATATGGACATCACAGCAGATAGAGAGGATAGACCATCTGGCCAAGGGCTAAGGCTTCAAGGCTGTTGGGTTTACCAGATTGTGGGCATAGAATTCAGTTCCTGAGGGTTGAGCTGGTTTGCTATTCCCGGGATATTTTTGTAATTCTTTGCTTGTGAGAAAGTTTTTAAGCAATTTTACAAAATTGACCAAAAAACATAAAAAGAAATAGGATCTTTTTCCTTCAGCAAACTAGATTTGACTTGCAATCTTCTGACTTCCTGTGTATGTTTTTATTGGGACAGGAAACCTTCAAGCTCCTTTAGGTTATGATAAATTTAGCTATTCTTGGCGGAGCAAAAAGGGAACCAAGTTCCACCAGTCCATTGGCAAACACTACTCTTCTGGCTATGGACAGGGAGACGTCCTGGGATTTTATATTAATCTTCCTGAAGACACAGAGACAGCCAAGTCATTGCCAGACACATACAAAGATAAGGTGAGTTTGTCCTCTCCCGGCAGATTCCTGGCTTTGAAGGCCTGTGGCAGCCAGTGCTTATCACTGGCTTGTGTGATCTCTTAGGAACTGAGCCACAGCTCACGTTTTTTCCTAACCTGTTGCTATGACATTTTCAGAATAACAGTAACAATCGGTGCACAAATAGTCATCCATTCATTCTTCTACCCATCTATCATTTGTCTTTTTTTAGTGCACTACAGAGAAAATGACAGACATCAGGACACTTTCCCACTAAGTACTTCAGGATACATAAGCTAGAATTCAGCCTGTTTAATTCATTCTTTTGATACAAAATGTATATAAAATGAAGTACACAAATTTTAAGTGTACATTCACTGAGTTTTGAGTTTGACCTAAACTGTTGAAATGTAGGATCCACTAGGCATGATGGTTCACGCCTATAATCCCAACAATTTGGGAAGCCAAGCTGGGAGGACTGCTTGAGCCCACGAGTTCAAGACCAGCCTGGGTAACATCACGAGACCCCATCTGTACAAAAGACTAAAAAAGTGCCGATAGTCCCAGCTACTTGAAAAGCTGAGATGGGAGAATCATTCAGCCCAGGAGTTCAAGGTTACTGTGAGCTGTGATCACACCACTGCACTCCCCCCAAAAAAGAGATGTGGACACTTACCATCACCTCAGGAAGTTTCCTCATGCCTTTTCACAGTTAGTCCTCACCCCCACATAGAGGCAACCACTGTTTTAACTTTCTTTCCCACCATACTTTAATTTGTACCTCTTCTTGAACTTAAATGGGCTCATGCAGTCTGTAGTCTTTTATATCTGGCTTTTGAGACTCATCCATTTTGCTGCATATATCTGTGCACCCTTTTCAGTGCAGGGTAGTACTCCATTGCATGAATGTGCCCCAGTGTGTTTATGCATTTTCCTACTGACAGACACTTGGGCCGTCTCAGGTTTGGGGCTACTATGAGCAAGATGCTATGAATATTCTTGTACAGTCTTTTTGGATCATTGGATAGTTACATATTTAGCTTTATAAGAAATTTTCCAAACTCTTTTCCTACCATATATGAGGGTTTTAGTTGCTGACATTTATGATTGTCTGTCAACTTAATTTTAGCCATTTTTGATGGGTGTGTAGTAGTATCTCATTGTGAGTTAAATTAGCATTTCTTTGATGACATACTGGGCATTTTTCATGTGCTTTTCGGCCACTCATATGTTTTTTGTGAAGTTTCTCTTCAAATATTTTGCCTGTTAATATTGCTATTCTGAGACTTCTCTGTTCTTTTTTTTTTTTTTTTTTTAAGTTTAAATTTTTTTGGTAGAAACAGGTTTGGTATTTTTTGTTTTTTTTTTTTTTTCCATGTTGCCCAGGCTGGTCTTGAACTACTGGGCTCAAGCAGTTCACCTGCTTCAGCCTCCCAAAGTGCTAGGATTACAGGCATGAGTCACTGCACTTAATAGTGTCTTCTGAGGAACCAAAGTTTTAGTTTTTATGAAGTCTGATTTATCAAATTTTTCTTTTATACTTATTTCTTTCCATGAATTTAAAAAAAAATCTTTGGCTACTCCCTGTCATGAAGATATTCTCCCATGTTTTCCTTTGAAAACATCATGGTGTTAGCTTTTACACATAGGTGTCTGATTTACCTTGGATTAATTTTTTTTTTTCTTTAGATGGAGTCTCGCTCTGTTGCCCAGGCTGGAGTGCAATGGTGCAATCTTGGCTCACTGCAACCTCCGTCTCATGGGTTCAAGCTGTTCTCCAGCCTTAGCCTCCCGATTAGCTGGGATTACAGGCACCCGCCACCACACCCAGCTAATTTTTGTATTTTTAGTGGAGACAGGGTTTCACCATGTTGGTCAGGCTGGTCTTGAACTCCCGCCTCGGCCTCCCAAAGTGCTGGGATTACAGGCATGAGCCACTGTGCCCGACCAGATTTTTATGTATAGTATGGAAATTCATTTTTTTTCCATATGATTACACAATTATCCCAGCACCATATGTTAACTCTTTCCTTTCTCCACTGGATTTCTTTGATGCCTTTATTGAAAATCAGATGTTTGTGTTAAGGAAAGGTTTACTTCAGAGCTCTGTATTTCAGTGATCTGTTTCTTGTCCTTTATGCATGTATCACAGTGTCTTGGTTATCATAGCTTTAGAGTAAGTCTTTAAATTTGATAGTGGAAATACTCTGAGTTTATTCTGATAATAAGCAGCCTACAGTCTCATTTTTATTGATTATATCACACTAGTGACTTATTGTACCATCCTGCCTCCCGGAACTCTTTAAATGTATACCACACTGATGCCTGGTTTTACAGAACACAGAGGTCTGCACTTAAAAGGATTCTGTAGGTGTTTTTTCAATGATTCATTTACATTACAAAAAAAATTTTTTTTCCTTTAATTAAAAAAAAAAACAAATTTTTTGACCAGACACTGTGGCTCCATGCTTGGGAGGCCAAAGCAGGCAAATCACTTGAGGCCAGGAGCTCGAGGCCAGCCTGGGCAACATGGCGAAACCCTGTCTCTACAAAAAAAATACAAAAATTAGTTGGATGTGATGGCACACTCCTGTAATCTGAGTTACTCAAGAGGTTGAGGCATGAGAATCGCTTGAGCCTGGAGGGCAGAGGTTGCAGTGAGCCAAGATCATGCCAGTGAACTCCAGACTGGGCGACAGAGAGCAAGACTGTCTCAAAAATAAATAAATAAATAAATAATTTTTAGTGACATGTCCACACGACAGAATACTATGGATCTATTCAAAAGCCGCATATATACTGATTATAAAATGGTCTCTAATGTAGTTGCCAAGTTAAAAACTCAAGATGCAAGACAAAACTTATAATATGTTACCATTTGTATGGCTTTTTGGGCTTTTTTTTTTTTTGTATGTTTATCTGGTGTTTTATTTTGAAACAGAGTCTCATTCTGTCGCCCAGGCTGGAGTGCAGTGGTACGCAGTCTCGGCATACTGCAGCCTCTGCCTCCCAGGTTCAAGCAATTCTCCTGCTTCAGCCTCCTGAGCAGCCAGGATTACAGGCGTGCACCACCACGCCCAGCTAATTTTTATATTTTTAGTAGAGACGGGGTTGCGCCATGTTGGCCAGGCTGATCTCAAATTCCTGGCCTCGTGATCTGCCTGCCTCAGCCTCCCAAAATGCTGGGATTACAAGCGTGAGCCACTGCGCTCGGCCACATGTGTGTGTTTTAATTTTGAAGACAATATATGCCTAGATTCTCTGGAAGGATACCAGGACACTGGAACAGTGATTACTTTTGGCAGGGGAAACTGGGTATAAGGGACATAGAAAGAGAGACTCTCGTTTTATATGCTTGTATATCTTGGGAATTCTTCTTTTCTAACCATGTTTAATACATATATATGTTAAGAAATTGAAATTTTTTAAATTAATGTCATATATTTCTCTGGAAGTGAATAGTTAAATAGACTCTTAAGAACCAGTAAGAAAGAGGTGACCCAGAGACCACCTGTGGGAACAGATGGGAAACTAGGACGGGGAAGAAGGTGACCTTCAAAATATTTTCATAGAATAAGGGATTGTAGGCTTGGTGCAGTGGCTCGTGCCTGTAATCCCAGCACTTTGGGAGGCTGAGGCGGGTGGATCACCTGAGGTCAGGAGTTCGAGACCAGCCTGGCCAACAT
Organism: Homo sapiens; assembly: GCF_000001405.40. Taxonomy (NCBI): domain Eukaryota; kingdom Metazoa; phylum Chordata; class Mammalia; order Primates; family Hominidae; genus Homo; species Homo sapiens. The sequence continues at coordinate 38,132,617 of NC_000008.11, forward strand.
GGCGAAACCCCGTCTTTACTAAAAATACAAAAAGTAACCGGGTGTGGTGGCACATGCCTGTAATCCCAGCTGCCTGGGAGGCTGAGACAGGAGAATCGCTTGAACCTGGCAGGCCAAGATTGCAGTGAGCCAAGATCACACCACTGCATTCCAGCCTGGGTGACAGAGTGAGACTGTCTCAAAAAAAAAAAAAGAATAGGCTGGGCGCAGTGGCTCATGCCTGTGATCCCAGCACTTTGGGAGGCCAAGGCGGGTGGATCACCTGAGGTCAGGAGTTTGAGACCAGCCTGGCCAACATAGTGAAACCCTGTCTCTACTAAAAATACAAAAAATTAGCCGGGTGTGGTGTAATCCCAGCTACTCGAGAGCCTGAGGCAGGAGAATCGCTTGAACCCGGGAGGCGGAGGTTGCAGTGAGAAGAGATCACACCATTGCACTCCAGCCTGGGCAACAAGAGTGAAACTCCGTCTCAAAAAAAAAAAAAGAATAAGAGATTGTAGACTCAATAAACGTCATTTTTTTCAGTGAGATTATTGGAAAAGATGTGTGAATTTAGCCACTTTTATGGGTATTTTTATTGTGGTAAGCATGTATGTATTATGTATTTTCTCACGTTTCTTACTAAAGGCCTACTGAAAATGTTTTAATAAACATGTGCCATCTGGTATTTTTTAAGAAGTGTGTAATAGTTCAAAATCTAGCAAAACTCAACTGCAAAGATTTTTAATATCTGTTGTAGAGCTCAAGGGGTTAACACTATTTGTGTGCGGATGCGTTTTTTTCATGATGATGGAGCTGATGCTTTATTGTGCCTTTTTTTCTTTCTTGGTTTTCAAGGCTTTGATAAAATTCAAGAGTTATTTGTATTTTGAGGAAAAAGACTTTGTGGATAAAGCAGAGAAGAGCCTGAAGCAGACTCCCCATAGTGAGGTGAGTCATGGCCATAAGAACATTAGAATCATAAGGCCTTGAGCGTTAGGACCCATTCCTTCATTATAAAAGTGAGGAACACGAGGCCCAAAGGGGAATGAAGGGGCATCTGGTAGCCCCACTGGCCAGCGGCAAGCTCACCCTCTGCTTATTGTGTTTTGCTCTTTATGTAGTACCATGCTTCTGCTGTTAGAGACATGATCCTGTTCTTTCAGGATAACTCTGTAGAGAAAAGTGTATAAAAATAGTGGCCTGCACCACCCCATCTGGGAGGTGTACCCAACAGCTCATTGAGAACGGGCCATGATGACGATGGCGGTTTTGTGGAATAGAAAAGGGGGAAAGGTGGGGAAAAGATAGAGAAATCAGATTGTTGCTGTGTCTGTGTGGAAAGAGGTAGACATGGGAGACTTCATTTTGTTCTGTACTAAGAAAAATTCTTCTGCCTTGGGATGCTGTTGATCTATGACCTTACCCCCAACCCTGTGCTCTCTGAAACATGTGCTGTGTCCACTCAGGGTTAAATGGATTAAGGGTGGTGCAAGATGTGCTTTGTTAAACAGATGCTTGAAGGCAGCATGCTCGTTAAGAGTCATCACCACTCCCTAATCTCAAGTACCCAGGGACACAAACACTGCGGAAGGCCGCAGGGTCCTCTGCCTAGGAAAACCAGAGACCTTTGTTCACTTGTTTGTATGCTGACCTTCCCTCCACTGTTGTCCTGTGACCCTGCCAAATCCCCCTCTGTGAGAAACACCCAAGAATGATCAATGAAAAAAAAAAAAAAATAGTGGCCTGTTGGGAAATCTACAAGAGACTGAGGAAGCAAGTCCAGTGTCTTTATTCTTTATCAGAGGAGGTATCAAGTCCAAAGGGAGGGAACCTGGAGTGGGAGAGTAGACCTTGTGGTGTGGCCCAGGGGCACTAGGAGCTGTAACGTCTCACTCAGTGTCCTTCAGAACTTTCTCTGCCTCCACTTCCGGGGTTGCTGGAAACATGTCTGCCCAAGGTCATAGCACAGTCAGAGAAAGGCTGGCACATCTGGGCCAGCCACAAGCACCAAAAATAAAAAGGGAAGTGGGATGTAGAGGAAGAAAGTTAAGCTGGAAACATTTTTTTCATAAAAATGCTAATGCTGTGAGGCCACCCAGGACACTAATAGAAGGAGATGGAGGTGAAATAAAGAAACGAGTTTCAGCTGTTTTTAGGAAAGAAATACTAAAGAGAAATAATTATTAGATCTAAAGATGCAATAACCAGAAAGCCCCCTCTTGTGGGAAGAGAAGGCAGCCTTTTCTGAAGAATTGAAGTGGTCAAGAGAGGATATTCAGTGTAATTCTGGGAGAGAAAGGAGGAACATGAGGATTCAGAGATGTGACATAAGAGTCTTAGAGAACTTCAAAGTGAAAAAGCAGAAGTGAGAACTGACTCGGGGAAAGGAATTGATAAACAAGCACGCTTAAACAGGTGTGGTCCCAAGGAGTCCATGGAAGGCCAGCTTACTTTAAAAAAAAAAAAAAATTTTGTAGAGATGAGGTCTCACTATGTTGCCCAAGCTAGTCTTCAACTCCTGGCCTCAAGTAATCCTCTCTCCTCGGCCTCCCAGCTTACTTTTATAAATACAGTGCAATGAATAATAAAATATAGAAATGTTTGGTATATGTAGCACAGGAATTCAGAAAACAAAGCCCCGGACTTTGAGACCAGTCTGGGCAATACAGTGAGATCTGTCTCTATAAAAAAATTTTAAAAATTAGCTGGATATGGTGGTGTATGCCTGTAGTCCCAGCTGCTTGGGAGGCTGATGTGGGAGGATCACTTGAGCCAAGGAGGTTGAGGCTGCAGTGAGCCAAGATCACACCACTGCACTCCAGCCTGAGTCACAGAGTGAGACCCTGTCTCAAAAAAGAAAAAAAAGCCTGAATAGTGCATATTAACATGCTTTGAAAAATCGAAAGTATTATAAAAATTGAAGATGTTGTTATTACACAAGTTATGCACTGTTCTTGGGTGAGTGACTAGCAGTCTGGCAGCAGCACTTCTAACATATTTTCCTAGAGAGTTCTTTTTTTGTTTGTTCTTTTTTACAGTTCTGAAGTAAAACCATGGTTTTTGTTTCAGATAATATTTTATAAAAATGGTGTCAATCAAGGTGTGGCTTACAAAGATATTTTTGAGGGGGTTTACTTCCCAGCCATCTCACTGTACAAGAGCTGCACGGTACGTACATGTTTCCATCCCATGAGCAAAACTTGAGGGAAGCAGATGAATGGGTTGTGATGACAAAGTTACTGAGTGCTGGAACGAAATCCAAGCAGCCTCAGAGTGGCATGCGCATGTGTTGTTACCATTACTGTTTAGTCCAGAAACAGTTTGGGCATCTTAGGGAGTATTTGCTGGATAGAAAAAGGTCCTGCAGTTTGTGTGCGCCATACTTTTCCCTTGAGCACGTGGTGTGGTGTTACCGTTCAGTAGGAAGGATATAAATACACATACACAAATCCTCCTGGGATGTCATGATAACCCACCATTATTAGTCATTGTTGCTTACAATGATTTTTTTTTTTTTTTTTTTTTTTTTTTGAGACAGTGTCTCACTCTGTTGCATAGGCTCACCATAGCCTTGACCTCCTGGGCACAAGTGATCCTCCCACCTCAGCCTCCTGAGTAGGTGGGGTGTGCTAATTTTTTGGTTTTTGTTTTTGTAGAGGCAGGATCTCACTACATTGCCCTGGCTGGTCTCAAAGTCATGGGCTCAAGCAGTTCTCCCAGCTCAGCCTCCCAAAGTGCTGGGATTACAGAGAGGCATGAGGTACCACATCTGGCAAGTTTTTTTTTTTTTTAAATATGATCCAAACATGAAGAAGGGTACTATCATTAGGGCCTGTTGGTTTTAAAAATATATAGGTAGATAGGTAGATAGATACAGATATATAGAAAAGTTGGGGCTGGGTGCACTGGCTCACGCTTGTAATCCCAGCACTTTGGGAGGCCAAGGTGGGTGGATCACTTGAGGTCAGGGGTTCGAGACCAGCCTGGCCAACATGGCGAAACCCCGTCTCTACTGAAGATACAAAAATTAGCTGGGCTTGGTGGCACATGCCTGTAATTCCAGCTACTCAGGAGGCTGAGGCAGGAGAATCACTTGAACCCAGGAGGCGGAGGTTGCAATGAGCTGAGGTCGTGCCACTACTCCAGCCTGGGTGACAAAACGAGACTCTGTGTCAAAAAAAAAAAAAAGAAAGAAAAGAAAAGAAAACTTAGGCCAGTCGCGGTGGCTCATGCCTGTAATCCCAGCACTTTGGGAGGGTGACTCAGGCAGACCATTTGAGGTCAGGAGTTCAAGACCAGCCTGGCCAATGTGGTGAGACCTCGTTGCTACTAAAAATATAAAAATTAGCCAGATGTGATGGCCACGCGCCTATAATCCCAGCTGTGGGGGAGGCTGACGCAGGAGAATCACTTGAACCCGGGAGATGGAGGCTGCAGTGAGCCAAGATTACACCACTGCCCTCCAGCCTGGGCAATAGAGTGAGACTCCGTCTCAAAAAAAAAAAAAGGGCGGGGGTGGCGCTGGGCACAGTGGCTCACGCCTGTAATCCCAGCACTTTGGTGGGAGGCCGAGGTGGGCAGATCACGAGGTCAAGAGATCGAGACCATCCTGGCCAACGTGGTGAAACCCCATCTCTACTAAAAATACAAAAATTAGCCGGGCATCGGCCGGGTGTGGCGGCTCACACCTGTAATCCCAGCACTTTGGGAGGCCGAGGCGGGCCGATCATGAGGTCAGGAGATCGAGACCATCCTGGCTAACACGGTGAAACCTCATCTCTCTAAAAATACAAAAAAAAAAAAAAAAGAAAAAAAAAAGCTGGGCCTGGTGGCGGGAGCCTGTATTCTCAGCTACTCAGGAGGCCGAGGCAGGAGAATGGCGTGAACCCAGGAAGTGGAGCTTGCAGTGAGCCGAGATTGTGCCACTGCACTCCAACCTGGGCAACAGAGCGAGACTCTGTCTCAAAAAGAAATAAAAAATTAGCCAGGCTTGGTGGCACGCGCCTGTCGTCCCAGCTACTCAGGAGGCTGAGGCAGGAGAATTGCTTGAACCTGGGAGGTGGAGGTTGCAGTGAGCCAAGATCATGCCACTGCACTCCAGCCTGGTGACAGAGCAAGACTCCGTCTCAAAAAAGAAAGAAAAAGTTAATGCATGAAGATTTCCATGTACTTTTAGTCTGTCAGTAGGCACCATTGAAGCAGGTAAAAAAAAAAAAGGAAATCTTTAAACAGTGTAAACCAAAACTATCTGAGACAGATCTCAATCAATTTAGAAGTTTATTTTGCCAAAGTTAAGGACCTGCCTGTAAGAAAAAAACAGAATCACAGAAACAGTCTGTGGTCTGTGCCTTTCTCCAAGGATGAATTTGAGGGCTTAAAAGTTTTAAAAAGAAAAAGGGCTGGACGGAGTGGCTCACGGCAGTAATCCCAACACTTTGGGAGGCCAATATAAGAGAATCAGTTGAGCCCAGGACCTCGAGACCAGCCTGGGCAACATAGCAAAACCCCCTTTCTACAAAAAAATACAAAAAATTAGCCAGGCGTGGTGGTACATGCCTGCAGTCCCAGCTACTTGGGAAGCTGAGGTGGGAGGATCCCCTGAGCCCAGGAGGTCAAGGGTGCAGTGAGCCGTGATCGCATTGTTGCGCTGCAGCCTGGACAACAGAGTCAGAGCCTGTCTCAAAAAAAATAAAAAGTAAAATAAAGGGGAAATGCGGGCTGGAGGGGAAAGTAGGAGGGTATGGTCATCCACATGTTGCAAGAGAAAAGGAGCAGATAGGGGAAAGTCAATTATGTATTCATCTCATGCCCGGTAAATCGGCACTTCACATAAGGTAAGGTGAACATAAAGTAGCTGCCTGTGGGGATATTTAACGTTTTATCTGTAGGTGTCTGCTTAGCAACAAAAGGAAAGGCAGTTTCTTGCATGACTCAGCTTTCAGCTTAATTTTTTCCTTTTGACAGAGCAAATTGGGATCCTGAATTTTTATTTTTCTTTGACAACAGAAATCAACACAGATCTCTTTTAGTTACCTAATTCTTGATGGACATCAGGATGTTGACCACTTTTAGTAATATTTAATATATATCTTATTTGTTCCATTTATCCCCCGAGTATTGTAGCCACATTTAAAGTGAAAATTTCCTGTGTCAAATTAACTTTTCCAATATTTTTTGTCCATTTTTTCCATGTCTGCTTGAATTGAATTCGCTCCAGGTTTCCATTAACTTTGGACCATGCTTCAAGTATCCTCCGAAGGATCTCACTTACCGCCCTGTGAGTAACATTACAAATGGCTGCATGTGTCCTCAGCATCTCCGTGGCTGCTGTAGTCACCGTGTTCTGTTTCTCATTCCTCCTGCAGATGAGTGACATGGGCTGGGGCGCCGTGGTAGAGCACACCCTGGCTGACGTCTTGTATCACGTGGAGACAGAAGTGGATGGGAGGCGCAGTCCCCCATGGGAACCCTGACCAGGTCCCTCTTTTCTGTCAAGGACTTTCTGGGAATAATACTGGGGGTTTTGTTTTTGTTTTTGAACTGTCTCAAATGTTCTCCCAAAGATGCTAAAAACACAGCCTCTCCTTTTAGCAAGTTAAAAGGCTGGGTAGGACTGCGGGAGACTGCCTGCCTTTCACCATTTTCTCCCCACTTCCAGTGACTGCTCTTATTTTGTGTACCATAAGCCAACAACCGCTGACTCCAGGATTGCATAAGCCCCCTGTGAAATCGGTGCTGTACTGCATACCCTGCCAGCTGTGACTTGTTATCCTACTATATTTTCTAAGGAGTGAATAATATTGTCCGAGTAACTAACTTATTTAAAAGACATTTCCTTCTGTGGGCATTGACTGTATCCCACCTGTTTTCCAAGGAAATGGTAACCTGTTTCTGAGAACACCTGAAATCAATGGCTATACATTCCAAACCAATCTAAACGCTATTTCCTTTTGGTGTGGGTTTGGTTTTGTTCATTTTGAAATACACTTTTGAACACTGAGATCCGTAAAACTACTAGATCTCTGGAAGTGTAATTGTGAAAGAAACTTGCTTGCAGCTTTAACAAAATGAGAAACTTCCCAAATAAAACTTGTTTTGAAGTTTATGTGACACTTTGCTTCCCTTCAGATTGGGTGCCTCTTGGTGACAGTGTTCAGAAATGTAAGCAGCACGAGGAAGGGAGCTGGCACTGGGAGGAAGAGCCGGGTTTCTGAGTTGTGTTTTGGCTGCTTTCCTATTGCTCCCATTCTTGCCAATCAGCCACCCCCTTTCCTGTGAAAATCTGCCACCTTGAGGAGAGGAACAAGAGTTTAAAAGGGCTAATGATCTCCCTCCCGGTCTTCCCTTGGAACATGGATGTTGATATATGTGCGGGTGGTTTCCTGTCTTGCTTATCTTCCTTTGCCCTGAGCTGATGGCTAAAGGGCAGTTTTCGGACTATTAAAGACTGAAATGTAAGAATGAGCCTTCTAGGCTGGGCGCGGTGGCTCACGCCTGTAATCCCAACACTTTGGGAGGCCGAGGCAGGTGGATCACGAGGTCAGGGGTTCGAGACCAGCCTGACCAACATGGTGAAACCCTGTCTCTACTAAAAATACAAAAATTAGCCGGGCGTGGTGGCGGGCACCTGTAATCCCAGGTACTCAGGAGGCTGAGGCAGGAGAATTGCTTGAACCCGGGAGGCGGAGGTTGCAGTGAGCTGAGATCGTGCCACTGCACTCCAGGCTGGGCGACAGAGCAAGACTCTGTCTCAAAAAAAAAAAAAAAAAAAAGAATGAGGCTTCTAGGCACTGTGGCTCACACCTATAATCCCAGCATTTTGAGACATCAAAGCAGAAAGATTGCTCAAGACCAGGAGTTCAAGACCAGCCTGGGCAACATAGCAAGATCCCTTCTCAGTAAAAAAATTAGCCAGACGTGATGACACATGCCAGTAGTCCCAGCTACTCTGGAGGCTTAGGTGGGAGGATCCCTTGGGCCCAGGAGTTCGAGGCTGCAGTGAGCCATGTTTGCACCACAGCACTCCAGCTTGGGCGACAGAGCAAGACCCTGTGTCCAAAAACAAAAAACCCTTTCCTTTTGGATTCATATATAATTTCCTTATCTTCCTTTTTCTTTTCTTTCTTTTTCTTTTTCTTTTTTTTTTTTTTTTTTTTGAGATGGAGTCTTGCTCTGTCACTCAGGCTGGAGTGCAGTGGCGCAATCTTGGCTCACCGCAACCTCCGCCTCCTGGGTTCAAGCAATTCTCCTGCCTCAGCCTCCTGAGTAGGTGGGACTACAGGCACGTGCCAACACACCTGGTTAATTTTTTTTCGTATTTTTAGTAGAGACGGGGTTTCATTGTGTTAGCCAGGATGATCTCGATCTCCTGACCTCATGATCTGCCCACCTCGGCTTCCCAAAGTGCTGGGATTACAGGCATGAGCCACCACACCCGGCCTGTCTTCCTTTTTTCAATACATCAGTCTTACGGCAAAGACAGCCCTCCCAGGATTGCCCAAAGTCCCTCCTGCATTTACCTCTCTACCTCGGTTAATAAGTAGAGTGGCTCACCACTGGAGGGTGACATGCTGCTGCAGAATCACCATGTTATGCCTGTGGCTCTTCTGAATATCTTATCATTTTCCTGTTTAAGAGAGTTCCCACACTTCAAGACAATATTGGTATTTTAACATAGTAGCATTGATTAATATATTTGTCTCCCGATGAATCACCCAGACACTTTGATTTGGCCACTGCATATCTCTGAACAGGAAAGCCTATACAGGTCGAGTGTGATTGGAGGCTGAGGCTCAGCCCTAGACACCTATTAATGCGTGAACTAGTCTTCAAGGGCAGACCTGGTTATAAAGCTTCTAGATCATCGGAGTTTGAGGTACTCCAAGAAAATGAGGGTGGTGTTATTTAGAGGAAGCTGAATGTTAACTCTTTGTAATATAAATTACCACATATAAGTTGTATACACACTCTCCATCTAAATTATAAAATTAGCTTTTTGTATATATTTTCACAAATCAAAGGTTACAGGTAATGATGTTCTTCTCAAACTTCAAAAGTGTGTGTGTGTTTTAATACAGTTCATTTGAAGGGCTCAGAGAATATCTACTCTTCACAGCGTCCTATATAAAATAGTTTCTGTAATCAGATCAACAGTGATAACTTGTTTTATTCCAGTGTAAAATTAAACAAGTGGGAAAATATCTCCACAGAAACCAGAAAGACACAATTACATAGTTTGAAGGAGGCAATTAGAATCCAGCAAACCAGTGGGTTTGTTAAAAGCCTATTTCTTGACTGTCAGCCTGTTCTCTTGAAACTACAATATATGTTGCTTTAAGGTATCTTTAAACAAGTAACTATTTTCTCTTAGCTGGTAGTGGATGATAATTCCATTTTAGAAATACTTCTCTACAACTATCCTCTCTCAACTCTGAGGCTCCTAGATAAACAATAATTTTATCCATGTCAAAAATAAACTAAGAAACAATCCGAATAAATTATAATAAATACCTTTACTAGTTGTAAAATTTTAATACCTCAGGAAATACCACAGTGTTCCCACTAATGCTATTTTTTAATTTTTTAATTTAGTTTGTCATAATTTGGTTTCATCAACTCCTTTGTTTTTTCCTTCTTTTTTTTTTTTTGAGATGAGGTCTCACTATCTTGCCCAGACTGGTTTCGAATTGCCCTCCAGCAATTCTCCCACCTCAGCCTTCAGAGTAGCTGGCATTGTGGGTAGGCACCACTGTGCCCAGCTCCTGTTTTATAATAAATAAGCCAGAGCTCTATCTCCAAATGGTGCAAATCATCAATGCTATTAAAACAAGAATGGAAAAGCTTCAGGTGGTAATGGTGATTTTTTCATCCTCCCTACCCCCCTCCCATCCCAATGTGTGTGTGTGTGTGTGTGTGTGTGTGTGTGTGTGTATAATTTTTTTTTTTTTTTTAAGACAGCCTCGCTCTGTCGCCCAGGCTGGAGTACAGTGGCTCGATCTTGGCTCACTTCAACCTCCGCCTCCCGGGTTCAGGCGATTCTCCTGCCTCAGCCTCCCAAGTAGCTGGGATTACAGGCATGCACCACCACGCCCAGCTCATTTTGTATTTTTAGTAGAGATGGGGTTTCTCCATGTTAGTCAGGCTGGTCTCCTGCCCTCAGGTGATTGCCTGCCTTGGCCTCCCAAAGTGCTGAGATTACAGGCGGGAGCCACCTCACATAAATTCTCTTGACTCCTGGGAAAGGGAATTTGCTTTCACCATATTACCCCTTCTTCCAGCCACTTCTCCCAGAATACTAAACTTTTAGCCTGTTTAAGCAGAGAAGTTGCCAGCCCCAAACAAAGTTGACAGCTGTGGAATTATCTTACTACTAATTGGCATCATAAATAACAGAAATGTTAACTAATATTGTTTATCCTCTCATATTTGGCACTGCCTTTCCTTTTAATTAGGTAAATAAACAGTTATAATCTTCATCTTCCAGGGCCCATTAATCAGCTATTGCTTATAGAATTCTTTAAGAACTCATTTAGGTTATGATTATGGAAATTAAATTTTTATGAAAGATCCTGGTAACAGAGTCTAAATTATTGAATTGCATAATTTCCCAGTAGTTCCTTTCCTTTTAATGAGCCTTAATTTAGTTTGACTAATTAAAAGCTTTGTCCAGAACTCCTCTAGTGTGAAGTTGTAATCTACTAGCATAGATTTTTTTTTTTTTTTTTTTGAGATGGAGTCTCACTCTGTCGCCCACGCTGGAGCGCAGTGGCACAATCTCGGCCCACTACAACCTCCGCCTCCGGGGTTCAAGTGATTCCCCTGCCTCAGCCTCCCAAGTAGCTACGACTACAGGTTTGCGCCACCACACCCAGCTAATTTTTTGTATTTTAGTAGAGACGGGGTTTCACCATGTTGGCCAGGATGGTCTCGATCTCCTGACCTTGTGATCCGCCTACCTCAGCCTCCCAAAATGCTGGGATTACAGGCGTGAGCCACTGCACCCAGCTGCATAGATTTTTTTAACAGTACAATATTAAAACAAAGACTGATGTTTGTGTGAATTATGATTCTTTATTCTGACTGGTGCCTATGAAAGCAATAGGGAAACATGTCTACTAATGAGTTTTGTCTTTTTCCACAGAGAAAGCTTGGACTATATTTCTGGAAGGCACCCACTGTGGGGTGCTGCTTGTTCTGTGGTGTTGCTGTGCAGCGGCCGGGAGGAGCAGAGGGCTGCAGGAGACCCTCTGAGATTCTGCTTTGTGCACATGTACTGCCAGCGCATGGCATTCTTGAGCCCATAAAGCAAGACTTCTCAGGCCCTGTGGTTAGCATCCCCCACACCCATATCAGCCACTAGCATTTTAAAGATGGTTTTAGGTGGGTACATAAGGGCCCAGAAAAAAAGTTTTACAATTATTTTAGGGGCCTGAACCCTCATGTCATAGCTAATCAGTGAATGAAGTTACCTTTTAATCCAAGAGCCTCATCCCTGTTTTCTTGGTACTAAAAACTTTCACCAATCTGAATCCTAGTGTCATACTCTAAACACGAACCCCACCCATCCCACTGTCACCAGATGGAGATCTTAGACTTGCAGGCTTCCAGTAGGGATTCTCCTGATGAGCGTGTGTACCAGTGCAGCTGGGCACAGTTGGGAACAGCAGGCTGGTCTTCAACACCTGGCTTCAGAGGCAGGGTGGGACTCCAGGCGCTTGCGCAGGTGGTTGGCAAAATCCACCTGGGTCTGGGACAGGACCTGGTTGATGATGCTCTTGGGCAGCCACCCCTGCAGTAGGAGGTAGGAGAATTTGGCCATCTTGTGGGTTTTGGCCCACTCTTGACACTGCACCCTATCACAAACAGGCTGCCAGGGGCTTGGTCTTCGAGCTCTGTTAATAGGTGCAGCCTTGGAGTTGCCCAGTCAAGGGCGGGAGGACTGCATTGCTCCTCTGCTGTCATGACTTTCAGAAGCACAAGACTGGCCAACAAGATGTTTCAGCCTGGTGTTCCCAGCTGTGTGACCCTGAACCAGTTATGTTGCCTTTTTCACCCTTCAGATCTCTGGACCTAAGTTTCCTTCTTTCTAAAATGATAACTACATATAAGAGTTGAACTTTGCTGTGAGACAGAAGAGGGCCAGGCGCAGTGGCTCACGCCTGTAATCCCAGCACTTTTGGAGGCAGGCAGATCACGAGGTCAGGAGTTTGAGACCAGCCTGGCCACCATAGTGAAACCCCGTCTCTACTAAAAATACAAAAATTAGCCATGTGTGGTGGCACACGCCTGTAGTTCCAGCTACTCAGGAGGCTGAGGCGGAAGAATCACTTGAATCCGGGAGGCGGAGGTTACGGTGAGCTGAGACCATGTCATTGTACTCCAGCCTGAGTGACAGAATGAAACTGAGTCTCGAAAAAAAAAAAAAAAAAAAAGAAGAGGGGGCCATCACAGGCTTTGGAGATGGTAGAGTAGCAGTTAGGCCATCACTCCAGACCCTTCCCTGTCTTACAGCCTGTGATTCTATCAGAATAGAAGAGGATTCTTTCTGCAGCATGGGGGGAATGGGAAGAGCCTGTTTTTCTCACTACCACCTGCCTTCCAGGTCCCCCTCCCATGCCCTTCACCTTGAGGTCGATGCTGAGTAGCCACGTAAGTTTGGTCTTAGAGGGACTTCCAGCCAACGGGTGAAGCACCATGCAAGTGGGACCGTGCTCCGCCCTGGCAAATGGAGAAGTCAAGTCAGGAGGACAGTTGCGAGTTCTCTCTTGCACTGGCTGCTTACACCAGTACCATAGATAACACGTTTCTACGGTACCTTGTCTTTTCTGAGTCTCATCAGGGAAGTGCCCTTTGCAAAGGGTAATTATTTGGCAGTTGGCACAGTTACCAGCTCATCAGAATAAAGGCTGCTTGTAGCTGGAGCAGCCCCTGCGGCCTCTTGTGCCCTTTAGTTGCTGGATTACTGGGATGTCAGGGAAAGGATTCAGGCTGGTGGCTGGGCTGGGGCCTTGGGAAATTCAGGAGGCTGTGGTGTACTGAGTGGTATGGATTATTTCAATATTTTAGTCTACATTACAGCTGTTCCTGAGCGTACCAGGTGAACCTCAGCCCTGCCCCATGCTTCAGAAAATTATTAAGGTTCTTAAACTTTCTGGGAGGGTCATGACAAGCTGTCTGGCTGTCCAAGTAGGGCCTATCTTGTCTTTGTCCCTCCTTTGGTAAATAAGTATCTTCTTTTGTAGAAGGAAGCCATGGGTGCACCAAGGGTTGGTTTCTTGGAGCTGGGGATGCAGTCCACATGCTTGGGTGCACACCTGCAGGCCTGTGTTAGAAGAGGGGGGTTTGGAGCCTGCTGCCCGTATTACCTGATGACACCCTTCTGCTCAGGCATGTTCCCGAAGTCTGTGGCCATGCCAGCCAGCACACAGGTGGAGCCTCGGCGCTTGGCACAGCGCACGCTCACAAAGTCACGGGGCCCCACCAGGTTTCCTGCTGCCTCGGCAGCCAGCTCGTGAGTAATGAATGTATCTTTTCCGATCTTCTGCAGGACCTACCAGGCCATGGGGAACCAGAATCACGACTCAGCCTGTGTTGGGCTAAGCACCCCCCACAGCTAGGGGTCCTCTCTTTGATACAGCATTCACACTGGGCTCTCCTGGGCCCCTGCCACCTGCACCTGGACTTTGCTCACCTTGATCTCCTTGACATTGGGGTTCCACTCCCCCATTGCTTCCATGCGCTCCACGAGCTCTTCATAGAGCCTCTCCATGGGCTGGTCCACCACGACCTCCAGCCGGAACACCTTGCCCACATCTGGGACCACTTTACTCATCACTTTGTCCCCATTGTCCTGTCAGAGAAAGGAGCCCCCAGAAGGTGGTTAGACAAAAATATTCTTGGCCGGGCATGGTGGTTCACGCCTATAATCCCAGCACTTTGGGAGGCCAAGGTGGGTGGATCACAAGGTCAGGAGTTCGAGACCAGCCTGGCCAAGATGGTGAAACCCCGTCTCTACTAAAACTACAAAATTAGCCAGACATGGTGGCAGGCGCCTGTAATCCCAGCTACTTGGGAAGCTGAGGCAGGAGAATTGCTTGAACCTGCACGGCAGAGGTTGCAGTGAGTGGAGATTGCACCACTGCACTCCAGCCTGGGCGACAGAGTTGTCTCAAAAAAAAAAATTTTATATATATATATATATTCTTAGTCTAGGTCCCATAGGCAATACAAGGCAAGATGGGGAGGGGAACAGCAAAGGAACTCCAAGTTGAGCACGAGGAAGCCTGGAACTGTCCTAAGATAGAGTCGGTAATCATTGTTGCCATGGCCTTGTGCATCTGCTGACAACTGGAGGAAGTTACCTGCTGCCACTGGACCCTTTTTAAGATTTTTTTCTTGTTTTTTTTTTTTGAGACCGTCTCACTCTGTTGTCCAGGCTGGAGTGCAGTGGCACAATCACGGGTCATTGCAGCCTCAACCTCCTAGGCTCAAGAAATTCTCCTGCCTCGGCCTCCCAAGTAGCTGAGACTACAGGCAAGCAGCATTACACCTAGCTAATTTTTAAATTTTTTGTAGAGATGTGATCTCCCTGTGTTGCCCAGGCTGGTCTCAAACTCCTAGGCTCAAGCAATTCTCCAGTCTCGGCCTCCAGGCGTAAGCCACTGCACCCAGCCCCACTGGACCCTTTGTCTTGGTGGTGAATGATGGTGGTATGGGTAGGTCCAACTGAAAAGACTCTTACTTGACTTCAGAAGCTCAAAGATCCCAAGAGAGAAACCTGGGAGTGGGAAAAGTGTTTTACACCAGCTTAATTAGATACATAGAATGTTGAATGGGATCTTCAAGATTTGTTTTAGTTCAATACCTCATTCCACACCAGAAGAATGTGGGGCCAGAGAAGGTCAGTGATTGGCCCAGGGACCCTTAACTAAGAGCAGTGCCGACCTAAGTCCCAGTTGGCTCCCAAACTAGTAGTCTGTTAACTCCATTACTCTGAGAACTTAGGGAAGGAAGGGTTCTACCTGAACTTTGTGTAGTGGGCAGCATGTCAGCTTTTGCTGAAGGTAAAGCCACCAAAATCTCCATAACAGAGCCACCAGCCTTTACCGTGAACCTGGTTACTGTCCCCTGTGATGGGTCAGTGCTCAAGCGCAGAGAACCCCAGAAGGCCATGGACCACTCTGTGTTCTAGTCCAGGCCTGTTGTAGGGTGAGCCCACATCACCCCTGCAAGCCCAGCCACAGGTGGGCTGACAGCACAGACAGTGCACTTTGGCATCGTTGGGATATCTGACCCAGGGCAATGAGGCACTTGGAGTTCCCCTTGCATGATGTCTGCCAAGTGGGCACACAATGCAATCCTATTCTGTAACTAAGGACACAGGAATAGTGTTTCTCAAACAGGACTCTCCAGGGTGTCTTTTATGGGGGAAGAGCATTATCTGAGGATATATTCTCGAGAAAGGAGAGTTCTCAAGATAAAACCACTTGCTACCCAGTGACTGCTGCATGAGACAGGAATTCTGGGAAAAATAGTAACCCCAGCTGGCCTTGAGGATGGCAGTGGAGCATGGAGGAACCACAGGCTTCTCCCCGACACTTACCTGCTGACTCTCCTTCTTCCAGCCCTCTTGGTTGCTAAGGATGCCCAAGGCCTTCTGCATGGCCTCCTCCCCCTGCTGGAGATAGGCCAGCTCCTGGTCACTGTAGAGAGTCTCTTCCAGCCGAGAACCTGGATACACAGCCGAGGAGAGACAGAGCTTCCTTCTTCTCCCAGCCTCCACCAGCTCTCATCCCTGGAGCTCTGGGTCTGCTCATTGCTCTGAAGAGCCCGGACTAAAGCCATAGGGGCCAGCCTGCTGGTCGAGTTAATCACAGCCGCCCCAGGTGACCAGAGAGGGATCTGGCCTTGAGGAACTCTAGGCTGGGGACGTCCTCTCAAAATGAAGGAATGGCAGGAGGGGAGCCAAAGCCACATGCACCACATCACCCTCCAGGGAACCTCCTGCCAGCAGCACCAGGAGCCCAGAAGCCTCAGCACTTACCGAGTAGAGAGCTCCGCCGCCGAACCTGGTTAATCCACGTGCTAGGGGTGGGGCCCCCCAGGGCCCTCCGGTTCAGCTCCTGGCTGATGGCCATCACAGCCTGTTGCCTCAGCCCTGCAGAAGGGAATAACCCTTGTCTAGGAGCTGGAAAGCCCCTTAGAGATGGACCACTCCCACCCCCTCATCTTGTCTCAAATGAGTAAGTTGGTTTGGAGAGGGAAGTGACTTGCTCAGGAGCACACAGGATTCTAGCAGGGACCTGAACTAGAGCCAGGCCCTCAACTCCCATGGCAGTGCTCCAGGGTCCAGAAATCTGCCTTCCATCTGGGGTGGTCAGGCCTGGCCCTGCCTGGAGATGGGCTATACCAGAGCCTGCTGGAGTTTCTGTCTCTAAAAGGGGAAAAAGCTGTGTTCAAGCAACCAGAAAAATCCTACTTCATAAGGAGAATACAACTCCTGAGGCCTGTGTGCTTGCATGAGTCTGTGTGTCTGCACGAGTCTGTGCTTGCATGAGGTCTGTGTGCTTGCCAGAATCTGATTGCATGAATCTGTGCTTCTGTGAGTCTGTGTGCTTGCATGCATAAGCTACTCTGTGTGCCCCTGGATTCTGGGCCAGGGAAGCCCTGTCCATCTAGTGAGGACGACAACACCACTGCCAGCTGCAGATCTAAGCATGGCTTCTCGCTCTAAAGGTAGCTAATTCAATCCAGTGTAATTGGAAAGATCGTGCCTAGATTGACTTGTGTACCCTTCAGTGGCAGCAGGGGATTGATTCAAATGACCTTGGATGCGAATCAGCTCTACAAAAGTGGCCTCTTGTAGCTGGTTTCTGCCCCTTCCTGGCTATTCAATGATAATCAGTCTTCCGTCTTATCTCTTTACCTTGCCCTCCTGTCTTACTCCCCTATGTCTCTTCTCCGTCTTTTTTTGCCTGTGGGAGTCAAGTCTAATATTTACTCTGCCACTGTGGGCAAGACTTTCCTGTGTACCCCTGCTACAAGACTTGTCCAGCTCTGAAGGAAGGCAAAGTCAGGAATAGTTCAAGAAAGATGGCCAGGCATGGTGGTGCACGCCTGTGGTCCCAGCCACTCAGGAGGCTGAGGCAGGAGAATTGCTTGAACCCAGGACGCAGAGGCTGCAGTGAGCCAAGATAGCGCCAGTGCACTCCAGCCTAGGCAACAGAGCGAGACTGCCTCAAAAATAAAATAGGCTGAGCGCCATGGCTCATGCCTATAATCCCAGCAGTTTGGGAGGCAGATCACCTGAGGTCAGGAGTTCAAGACCAGTCTGGTCGACGTGGCGAAACCCTGTCTCTACTAAAAATACAAAAACTAGCCAGGCGTGGTGGCATGCACCTGTAATCCCAGCTACCCAGGAGGCGGAGGTTGCAGTGAGCCGAGATCGTGCCACTGCGCTCCAGGCTGGGCAACAGAGTGAGACTCCATCTCAAAATAAAGTAAGCCAGGTGTGGCGGCTCACACCTGTAATCCCAGCACTTTGGGAGGCCAAGGTGGGAGAATCCCTTGAGCCCAGGGGGTCAAGACCAGCGTGACCAATATAGCAAGACATTGTCTCTAAAAAAAATAAAAATAAAAATAAATAAATAAAACTAGCTGGTTGTGGTGGTGCACGCCTGTAGTCCCAGGTACTCAAGAGGCTGAGGTGGGAGGATGGCTTGAGCCCATGAGTTTGAGGCTGCAGTGAGCTATGATTGTTCTACTGTACTCCAGCCTCTGTGACAGAGACCTTTATTCAAACAAAAAAAAAAGAAAAGGCGGAAGAAAAAAAGAACGAATGAAGGAAAAGGGGAAGGAAGAAAGGAAGAAAGAAAGGAAAGGAAGGAGGGAAGGAAGAAAGAAAAAGAATAAAAATGAAAGAAAAGGAGAAAAAAAGATTGGAGTCCTGGAGGGGAGACCAGAAATTATAGAATCTGGAAGGGATATATCTTAGTAACCAGCCCACTTCTTCCGAGGGGAAAACTGAGATTCAAGAAGGGAAGAAACTTGCCCAGGTTCACCCAGTAAGAGGCACAACTAGGATCAGAATTGGGTGGCCTGAGCCTCATCCGCTGAGAGCTGGCCAACCCCTCATCGCCTCCTTCCCGCAGCGCTCACCCTTCATGTTGCGCATGTGTCTGTAGGAGCTCCCAGCGCACAGCTTGAATGTCGCTAGCAGCATTGTTTCCTGGCAAATGTGGCAGTGGTGGGGTCGCTGCCGCTGCTGCTGCCGCCGCTGCTGCTGCCTCTTCTCTCAAGGGTGGTTCTTCGTCCTTCCTGAGCCCCTCAAGCTTCGCCTCTGAGTCCCGCAGCTGCAGCCTGGACCTGGTGTTCTGCGTCTTAAATGTCCCCCGCTGAAGGCTGTGCATCATCATCAGGAGATAAAAACGCCATCACTCACTGTGCAAAGGAAGGGGTCAAGGATAGAGCGATTGCCTCACACTGCTGCTTTGGCCGTTTGTGGGGAGCTTGGGGCGGGGGAGGGTGCAGGGGAGAGTAGGGAGGACAGGGCCAGGCGAGGGATGGAGGGGAGAGAAGCAGGGGCAGCTTAGATGAAGGCACACAGTGGTTTTCAAGACTTTAAAGTGCAGATTTCTAGCCCTTGTCTTCAGAAACTCCAGGCTCAGCTGATCTGGAATTGAGGCTCAGAAACCTGTGTTAAAAAAAAAAAAAAAAAAAAAAAAAAAAAAAAAAAAGAAGGAAAAGAAAAGAAAAAAGAAAAAAAGAAAAGAAAAAAACTTCCCTTGGCCAGGCGCGGTGGCTTACGCCTGTAACCCCAGCACTTTGGGAGGCCGAGGTGGGCAGATCACTTGAGGTCAGGCGTTCGAGACCAGCATGGCCAACATGGTGAAACCTCATCTCTACTAAAAATACAAAAAATTAGCCGGGTGATGTGGCAGGCACCTGTAGTCCCAGCTACTCGGGAGGCTGAGGCATGAGAATCACTTGAACCCAGGAGGCAGAGGTTGCAGTAAGCCAAGATCGTGCCACTGCACTCCATCCTGGGCGACAGAGTGAGACTCCGTCATAAATAAATAAATTAAATAAATAAATAAATAAATACCCAGTGGTTGCAATGCAGGTGTTGTGTGGACTACACACTACACTTTGAGAACCACCGTCTCGCGAGAGTGAGCCAGGGTGTTTACCAGGCAGTAGAGACCATATGGCTGCTCTTCTTCTGGGTGAGGACCCTGAAGTCCACAGAGTGGAACTGACTTGTTCAAGGTCAAACAGCTGGCCAGTGGCAGGGCCAGGACAACAACCCAAGCCTCTGGCCTTCAAGCCATCTGTACACAGTTCCTCCTGCGGTCCCCAGGACGCTTGGTATATTCAACTGTCAATTTATTTACTCATCTATTTATAGAAACCACCTTTCCCAAAGTCCTGTTCCGAGTGAGGGTTCTTAGGGGTCTGTGCTGGAGCAAGGATGACCTCTCGTGGCTGAGTCGCGGGGGGGCGGGGGGGGGCGGGGCAGCCCTATCAGTATACGGCAGAGAGAAGAGGAGGGCCTGGGCCACGCCCACACCCTTCCTCACACTTTCCCGCCAGTAGCTTTGTCTGAGTGAGCTGGGCTGGGGGTCTTGGTATGTGCAGAAAGCTTGAAAAGACAGGGCATGGGCTGGGCACAGTGGCTCATGCCTGTAATCCCAGCACTTTGGGAGGCTGAGGCGGGCAAATCACAAGGTCAGGAGTTTGAGACCAGCCTGACCAACATGGTGAAACCTCGTCTCTACTGACAATACAAAAATTAGCCGGGAGTGGTAGCGTATGCCTATAATCCCAGCTACTCAGGAGACTGAGGCAGGATAATCACTTGAACCCGGGAGGCAGAGGTTGCAGTGAGCCAAGATAAAGCCACTGTACTCCAGCCTGGGTGACAGAGCAAGACTCCGTCTCAAAACAAAAACAAAAACAAAAAAACAAAAATTAGCCAGGCATAGTGGCAGGCACCTGTAATCCCAGCTACTCAGGAGGCTGAGGCAGAATTGCTTGAACTTGGGAGGTAGAGGTTGCAGTGATCTGAGATCACACCATTGCATTCCAGCCTGGATGACAGAGCGCGAGACTCTGTTGCAAAAAAAAAAAAAGGAAAAAAAGAAAAGACAGGGCGTTGGGGTGTTCACCCTAGTCTTTGCACTTTAGGGGCCCTGTCAGGCTGAGCAAGGCCCCACGAGGCCTCTGCATTTCCCACTCACCCTTACCCAGGCGCAGCACGTGCTGGGCTCTGACTCTGACGGAATCTCTTCCCTTTACAGTGACCTTGAGGCTGCTTTTAAGCCAGATTCACTGGGCAAGAATATTGGGAGTGGAAAAACTCACACTGGAACTGCCCCTGGCCCAGGCCCTGCTCCCTGTGGGAGGGAGTTCTGTGTCCTGCCACCACCTCACAGAGGCAGAGGGGAGCCCTAAAAATGGGGAGCAGTGCCGGGGCCCCATGCACTCTCGCTGTCTCCCCAACACCAGACAGGGTGAAAGGGACAGGATCTGCTCAGAGCCAGGCCTGGCACTTGGAGCCCATATAGAACAGGGGAGTCACCCCCCTGGCCCCCGATTTCCACCCCGGTGATGCAGTCGGGGAATCCTGTGAGCAGAGGCTGCCTAGAGGTACCCGGCCCCTTCCTCAAAACCTCCTCCAGGAAACCTTCCTAGACCATCCTGGTCTTCTGGAATGCTGGCTCCTCCCACCACACCCTTACTGTCAGTATCACTTGAGGGGCTTAGTTCTGGTCCTGATTTGTTGAATGGTTTGTATGTGTTTGCTTGTCTCTTCTGTGGAATTATCTCCCCAAGGCAGGTGCTGGGTCCACTTTCCCCCTTAAAAGCTGTCCCCACCCTCAGCACTCACCTCCAGCAGAGACACAGGGGACTCTTGCTCCTTCTCTATTAAAACTTTTTTTTTTTTTAATTTTTAAAAATAGAGACGGGGTCTTGCTATGTTACCCAGGCTGGTCTTGAACTCCTGGGGTCAAGCCATCCTCCTGCCTCGGCCTCCCAAAGTGAGCCACTGTGCCTGGTGTGCTCCTTCTCTATTGAGTGACCAACTGGGAAAGCAGCTAGGGGTGCAGGTATATCTTTAGACTCAGGAAACCTGCCTGAAGGCATTGTTTCCAGCCCTCAGTCCCCAAGGAAGACAGCAGGGCCTCTCCCCCGTCGCCAGCCTGTGCCTAGGCCCTCTACCTTTCAGAGAGGAGGTGCAGTGGATGAGCTGGGCAGGTGGGGTGCCAGCTCCCCCGGCTCCTCCCTCTGATCTGCTGGGGCATGTGCCTCTCCTGCACATGTGTGTCTGCAGGCCTGCCTCAGCGAGGTGGGGGGAGGGGGAAGGCGGTTATTATGGGACAGGCCATGCAGATGATGATCAAGGCCCTGCTGCTGCCTTCCTGTGGAGAATTATGGCCATTCTGAAAGGGGTGGAGGTGGTGTGGGAGACGGAGGATAGAGCCTATGGCTGTGGCTGATGTCAGAGGCTGCCATTGACTCCTGGGAGGGGGTGGTTGGGAGGTGGTGCTGGGTGACCTCTGCAAGGGCCAAGGCTCTCTCCCTCATCCTTTCCAGGCAGAATGACTCATTAACTCTCTCCATCCCTCTGAGCAGTAAAGTGGCGAGAGAGGTCTGGGAATTTCCTCTGGTTCTGGACCATCTGTATCTGGCTCTGCTTTTTGATGAGGGCAGAGCTTCCAAGAAAGGAGGCCAGATGACCATGGCAGGCCATGGGGGAGGAGAGCCAGGAGGCCAGCTCAGGTGGTGTGGATGTGCCATGCTGGAGAGGAAGGCCCCCAGGCCAGGCGAGAGAGCCAGGGCTTTGGAGCAAAAAAGGGGATTCCTTCCTTCCTTCCTTCCTTCCTTCCTTCCTTCCTTCCTTCCTTCCTTCCTCCCTCCCTCCCTCCCTCCCTCTCTCCCTCCCTCCCTCCCTCTCTCCCTCCCTCCCTCTCTCCCTCCCTCCCTCCATTCATTCAACAGTCCTTTCCTGAATGTCTCTATGTGGCTCTAAAGTTAGGACAATATGAGTTGAACCATAGACCCAGTATGGACAGTCGTAGAGCAGATGAGGTGTTTTGGAAGTAGAGATGATGGAACCTCTAATTCTATGGGGGAGGGAGGGAGGAATGTTACGGAAGGCTTCTGGAAAATACGAATGGGAGTTAGCTAGGTTTGTGGAGGGGGTTGAAAATAGAGAGTTGATGGGGTAAGGGTGTCCCAGGTAGAGCAGATGGCCAGCAGCTTGGAGGAGACTCTGAGGGCTGCGAGCTGGCTGTCAGGGGAAGCTTGGGCCATTCCACGTGGCCTCAGCCTCCCAAAGTGCTGGGATTACAGGCGTGAGCCACAACGCCCAGCCTCTTTTTATTTTCTTCATCCTCTCAGGTTAGTTATAAGGTTTAAATGAGGTAACAATACATCAATACCTCACAAGATAAAGTCCAGAATTCTTAGCACAATTCCAATTTGGCCATTCCAGTTCTCACCTGGATTCTACCCAGCAGTGCTCAGCTCTCCCTGTGGTGCCTGCTGCCATCCATCCTGTGCATACCTTCTCTGTTCCAGGGATACTTGCAGTGCAGTCTCCCCTCAGAGGCTGTCCTCTGTGCCTTTCCTCACCCTACTCTTTAATTAGAATCCAATATTTTGGCCCGGCATGGTGGCTCATGCCTGTAATCCTAGCACTTTGGGAGGCCGAGGTGGGCGGATCACCTGAGGTCAGGAGTTCGAGACCAGCCTGACCAACATGGAGAAACCCCGTCTTTACTAAAAATACAAAAAAAATTAGCCAGGCATGATGGCGCATGCCTGTAATCCCAGGTACTTGGGAGGCTGAGGCGGGAGAATTGCTTGAACCTGGGCGGTGGAGGTTGTGGTGAGCCGAGATCGCGCCATTGCACTCTAGCCTGGGCAACAAGAGCAAAGCAAAACTCCGTCTCAAAAAAAAAAAAAAAAAGATCCAATATTTTACCTTTTGGCCCCACCTTGATAAATATTTATCACAGTATAAATAAGACTCTTGCCAATTTCTCCTTGTTTTACTTTTTTTTTTTGAAACGGAGTCTCGCTGTCTTACCCAGGCTGGAGTGCAATGGCACAATTTCGGCTCACTGCAACCTCCGCCTCCCAGGATTCTCCTGCCTCAGCCTCCCGAGTAGCTGGGATTACAGGCACGCACCACCACACTTGGCTAATTTTTGTATTTTTAGTAGAGATGGGGTTTTATCATGTTGGGCAGGCTGGTCTTGAACTCCTGACCTTGGGATCCACCCACCTTGGCCTCCCAAAGTGCTGAGATTATAGGCGTGAGCCACTGTGCCAGCCCTTTTTTTTTTTTTTTTTTTTTTTTTGAGACAAGGTCTTGCTCTATTGCCCAGGCTGGAGTGCAGTGGTACAATCCCAGTTGACTGCAGCCTCAATCTCCCAGGTTTAAGAGATCCTTCCAGCTTAGCCTCCCAGATAGCTGAGATTATAGGTGTGCACCACCATGCCCAGCTAATTTCATTATTTTTTGTAGAGACAGGATATCACTATGTTGCCCTGGCTGGTCTTCAGCTCCTGGGCTCAAGCGATCCTCCTGCCTCAGCCTCCCAAAGCTCTGGGATTACAGGCATGAGCCACCGGGCCTGGCTGGGTTAACCTTTTAAAATCTCCTGTCTCTCTCTGTGAAAAGTGGGGCTAATAGTTGCATCTTAGCATATGCCTGGCTGCCATCTAGCAGTCAATAAATTTTAGGGTGATGGATGCTTACTCAACTTTAAATTCTGTTGGAGTCTCTTGTTTCCCCCCCTCACCCACCATTTCAAGCAGGTAAGCCCGACTTTTGATTTCCTTTCCCAGGAATTTTGGCAGAGAACATAGAGCATTTGGTCTTTTGTAATCACCTAAACCAGAAGAACAAACTGAATTTAGCCCTCACAATATTTAATTTGACCTACACACCATTTTAAGAACACTTTGAATTCATTGCCACTGTAAACTATAGGGACAGAAAATAGATCAGTGTTATCCAGGGGCTGGAAAGGAGGAAAGAAATACACAGGGCAGGAGTGATGAAAATATTCTGTATCTTGATCGTGATAGTGGTTACATAACTATACTCAGTTGTTAAAACTTATAGAACTCCACACCAAAAAGGCTGAATTTTACTTTATGTAAATTACACCTCAGTAAACCTGATCAGAAAAAAAACTGTGTCTTGGTGATGGATTCCCAGGCATTCTGGGTTCCTGACCTTGAGATCTGCCCAGCAGTGAGCCCTCTCTCTTTCTATTGGCCCCAGCTACGTACTTGGGTCGTGACACCACTCAGTTCTCTGGGTTCCCAAAGCAACAGGCTTTGAGGCCTTTTTTTTCTTTTCCCTTCTTTTTTCTTTTCTTTCTTTCTTTTTCTTTCTTTCTTTCTTTTTCTTTCTCTTTCTTTCTTTTTCTTTCTCTTTCTTTCCTTTCTCTCTCTCTCTCTCTGTCTTTCTCTCTCTCTCTTTCTCTCTCTCTCTCTCTTTCCTTCTTTCTCTCTCTGTTTTTTTTTTTTTTTTTTTTTTTTTTTTTTTTTTTTTTTTGGATACAGAGTCTCGCTCTGTTGTCCAGGCTAGAGTGCAGCGGCACGGTCTCAGCTTACTGCAACTTCCGCCTCACAGGCTCAAGTGATTCTCCTGCCTCAGCCTCCTGAGTAGCTGGGATTACAGGCACCCGCCACCACGCCCCGCTAATTTTTTTATTTTTTTATTTTTCTATTTTTTTGAGGCGGAATCTCGCTCTGTCGCCCAGGCTGGAGTGCCGTGGCGCTATCTCGGCTCACTGCAAGCTCCGCCTCCCGGGTTCACACCATTCTCCTGCCTCAGCCTTCCAAGTAGCTGGGACTACAGACGCCCGCCACCACGCCAGGCTAATTTTTTGTATTTTTAGTAGAGACGGGGTTTCACCGTCTTAGCCAGGATGGTCTCGATTTCCTGACCTCGTGATCCGCCTGCCTCGGCCTCCCAAAGTGCTGGGATTACAGGCGTGAGCCACTGCGCCTGGCCTAATTTTTGTATTTTTATTAGAGACAAGGTTTCACCATTTTGGCCAGGCTGGTCTTGAACTCCTGACCTCAGGTGATCTGCCTGCCTTGGCCTCCCAAAGTGCTGGGATTACAGGCGTGAGCCACCGCGCTTGGCTGGAAAATTAACTTTTGATCTTTGGCCACTTAGGTGAATACAGGACCAGCTTAATTGGTAAAATCAAGCACCCTTAAAGCAGTCTCTTGCTCCCATTATCCACAGGACCCCTATAGGGTGACATGCAAGATGGGGGTGGGCACTGCAGCCCACATCTGCCTGG
The DNA here is from genome assembly GCF_000001405.40 of Homo sapiens. Taxonomy (NCBI): domain Eukaryota; kingdom Metazoa; phylum Chordata; class Mammalia; order Primates; family Hominidae; genus Homo; species Homo sapiens. The sequence continues at coordinate 38,157,933 of NC_000008.11, forward strand.
AGGACAATTAGGAGGAGAACAGGTAGAAGAAAATCTTTACTCCCAGCAACCCTGACAGGCACCCAGCTCCCTGTCCAACCCTCACCCCCATGTTTTCCTGGGATGCTTTTCCAGGTTTTTTTTTTTTTTTTTTTTGAGACGGAGCTTCACTCTTGTTGCCCAGGCTAGAGTGTAATGGCGTGATCTCGGCTCACTGCAACCTCTGCCTCCCAGGTTCAAGCGATTCTCCTGTCTCAGCCTCCTGAGTAGCTGGGATTACAGGCATGTGCCACCATGCCCAACTAATTTTTGTGTTTTTAGTAGAGACGGGGTTTCATCATATTGGTCAGGCTGGTCTTGAACTCCTGACCTCAGGTGATCCGCCCACCTTGGCCTCCCAAGATGCTGGGATTACAGGCATGAGCCACCACACCGGGTCTCAGAATTTTTTTACCACCAATTACCTCCAAACCCTTCACACCTGAAGGGCTATGGCCTGCACTAAAGGCTGCCTCCACAGTAGGGGAACATCTCCATATTCAATGTAAGGACTGATCACTACTAATTATCCTACTCCTGGCCGCTCAGTGGTCGCAACTGTCTTCACCTTTTGGGGTCGTACTGGTCTCTGAAGCATATTGGTAAGCCAGCCTGAACTTACTTCATGCTTTCATCCATCCATCCATCCATCCATCCATCCATCCATCCATCCATCCATCCATCCATCCATCCTTCAACAAATACATACTGAGACTTAATGCACATTAGGCATCATTCTAGATGCTGGGGATACAAGAGTGAACAAGACAGATAGAAATCCATCCTTAAGGGTTTACATTCTAGTGAGGGAGGGGAGCAGACAGTAAACAGGTAAAATATATGTCAGATGGCAATACTTGGTAGGGTGAAAAGCTGGAAAGTTACAGATGGGGACGGGGTGCTTTTTTTTTTTTTTCTTGAGACTGAGTCTCACTCTGTCACCCAGACTGGAGTGCAGTGGCATGATCTCGGCTCACTGCAACCTCCACCTGCTGGGTTCCAGCAATTTTCCTGCCTCAGCCTCCCGAGTAGCTGGGATTACAGGCACCTGCCACCACGCCCGGCTAATTTTTTTTTTTTTTTTTAAGACAGAGTCTCATTCTGTAGCCCAGGCTGGAGTGCAATGGTGCGATCTCGGCTCACTGCACCCTCTGTCTCCCGGATTCAAGCGATTCTCCTGCCTCAGCCTCCCAAGTAGCTGGGATTACAGGCATGTGCCACCATGCCCAGGTAATTTTTGTATTTTCAGTAGAGACGGGGTTTACCATGTTGGCCAGGCTGGTCTCAAACTCCTGACCTCAGGTGATCCACCTGTCTCGGCCTCCCAAAGTGCTGGGATTACAGGCATGAGCCACGGCACCCAGCCAGGGGTGCTATTTTAAAGGGGCAGTCAAGGGAGGGGAATGTGACAGAGATCTGAAGATAGTGAGAGAAGGATTCATGCAAATTTCGGGGAATAGCATGTGTTAAGCCCAGAGATCAACAGATTCATCCCCATCCAGGGCACAGGTGATTTTCAGGAGTTGAGAAGAAAGATATGAAAATGAACGTGGACTTAAAATTTTTTTTTTCTGTACCTCAATGGATGCAAATACTCTTTTCCTTCGTAGTTGAAATAAGCACATACAAATTTACTATAAGGTAGTGTTTTTCAAATGTTTCTGACAGCCAGGCACAGTAACAAATTTATTTTACATCTCCAGTATCTGCATACATGCAGATAACAAGTTTCACACATGGCCTAACTTTATTATGTGATGCGCTTTGATTTCTTTCTTTCTTTCTTTCTTTTTTTTTTTTTGACGGAGTTTCATTCTTGTTGCCCAGGCTGGAGTGCAATGGCATGATCTCGGCTCACTGCAAACTCCGCCTCCCAGATTCAAGCAATTCTCCTGCCTCAGCCTCCCGAGTAGCTGGGATTACAGGCATGTGCCACCACGCCCTGCTAATTTTGTATTTTTAGTAGAGACAGAATTTCTCCATGTTGGTCAGGCTGGTCTGGAACTCTTGACCTCAGGTGATCCACCCACCTCGGCCTCCCAAAGTGCTGGGATTACAGGTGAGAGCCACTGCGCCCAGCCTTTTTTTTTTTTTGAGACGGAGTCTCACTGTCACCCACTATGCTCCTGAGTAGGTGGGACGACAGGCGTATGCCACACCTGGCTAATTTTTTGTATTTTTGGTAGAGATGATATTTCGCCATGTTGCCCAGGCTGGTCTCGAACTCCTGAGCTCAAGTGATTCACCCACCTCGGCCTCCCCAACTGCTGGGATTACAGGCGTGAGCCACCTGCATTCTATTTTTTATTCTAGTCCACTCAAAAAAGAAATTCTGGGCCACGTGCAGTCAGTCATCTTGGGCAGGTGTGCCTACTCTGCCTCCTGGCCTACCCCTTCTGCTGTCTGCACTGTGCTTGGCCTCCCTGTCCTGGCCCACTCACACTCCTGTGAAGAAAATGATACTTTCCAGCCTTCTTCACCTGTGATATCACTGGGACTCATCCTGACCTGGCTTCCCTGAGCGTCCATAATGGCCAGTATGAGGGTACTTGGCTCCACTAAGTATCCAGAGCCTGTTTGGATTTTATCAGATCAGGGAGGGGAGCAGATACTGCGGTTTAAACTTAGCTAAGAGCATGCAGTCTAAGAAGGTTACGGGCTAAGGGCGAAAAAAAAAAAGAGTAAGAGATATGCTGCTGTACTCAATTATTTCAGAAAACAGATGGCCAGAAAGGGGTCTTTGGTAGATCTTCCTATTTTTCTACCCTGAAAGCAGTCTCAAGCCCCAATTGGAAGAACTTTATTTTTCTACCCTGAAAGCAGCCTCAAGGGAAGCTGGGCGTGGTGGGGCATGCCCGTAATCCCAGCTACTCGGGAGGCTGAGACAGGAGAATTGCTTGAACCCGGGAGGTGGAGGCTGCAGTGAGCTGAGATTCGTGCCATTGCACTCCAGCCTGGACAACAAGAGCAAAACTCCGTCTCAAAAAAAAAAAAAAAAAAAAGATAAAACAGAAGTATGAAATGGGACTGATTCTGAAGCCTAATAATACAAGAGTCCAGCAATGGTCGGGGAAAAAAGCATTAGATTTCAGTATCTGCAAAGACTGGCTTGGGTAAGGTGAGGGCAAACCATCCCACTGGGCAGTCGAGGAACTAAGAATGCTGCAGATAGTCCGGAGAGTTTCATCCTTTAGGTCCAAGTCTTGGCTGTTGGCTGTATGATAAAGGTCTAAAGCAAGACAGTACACACAATGACTGAAACCTTGCTATGGCTTGGAAATTCTTGGAATTTAACGTAAGAGTAAATCATAACTCTTGCCATTACAGTGGGAATTGATGGATGTTGAAAACACAAGATAACTGTAACGAATTCACATTTCTTGGAGGTGTCACATGTTTTGAAGCAGTGGGGCTCTGAAAAACAAATGCTGTCATTCTGCTGAACTTCAGAGTATCTTACTGTAGTCACACGTTTTTCAAAAGTTGGTATTTCTTCTCTTTATGTGGGTAGTTAATAATACATTCTATTAAACAGTAAGATGGGCAAAACATTAGATAAGCCATTAAGTGCAATAGTTTCCTCATAAGTTACCTACTATAAAATCAGCCCAATGATGAACAGTTCAGAAGTCAAATGGTTTGTAGGCCTTTTGGGCAGTTTTAAAAACCCCTGAGCTCATAAAATGTTAATACTATAAAATAATTCACACACATACAGGCCAAGCGTGGTGGCTCATGCCTGTAATCCCAGCACTTTGGGAGGCCGAGGCCAGAGGATCACTTGAGGTCAGGAGTTCGGGAACCCACCACGCCAACATGGTGAAACCCCGTCTCTACTAAAAGTACAAAAATTAAAGAGGGGTGTGGTGGTACGTGCCTATAATCTCAGCTACTCGGGGAACCTGGGATGTGCAGGTTGCAGCGAGCCAAGATCGCACCTCTGCACTTCAGCCTGGGCGACAGAGCAAGACTCTGTCTCAAAGAAAAAAAAAATAATAATAATAAATCACACACATACAAATTAGATATAAAATTTATGAAAATAACATTTTTGCTTAACAGAATATAAAAAGGAACTACCTGGAATAATCAGTTAAAATTACTGAGAATCAGAGGATGACTTACTCAAGCCTAATCTGCCAATAATTGCCAATTTCACACGGTATCTCCTAACTCCTAGTTGAGCCCACTGTCTACTAAACCATGATTCCTTTATTTATTTATTTAGAGACAGAGTCTCACTCTGTCGCCCAGGATGGACTACAGTGGTGCAATCTCAGCTCACTGCAACCTCTGCCTCCCGGGTTCAAGCAATTCTCCTGCCTCAGCCTCCCGAGTAGCTGGGATCACAGGGATGCACCACCATGCTAATTTTTATATTTTTAGTAGACGGGGTTTCACCATGTTGGCCAGACTGGCCTTGAACTCCTGACCTCAGGTGAACCACCTGCCTCTGCCTCCCAAAGTGCTGGGATTACAGGTGTAAGCCACTGCACCCGGCCCATGCTTCCTTCTTGAAGTACAAATCTGTTAAGCTTTTCATGCAATCCCTACTCTTCGACAGTCACACAAAGTGCCATCACTATGGGCTTTCAGTCACTACAATACCATTTATGTTCCTTTTTGATGAGAACGTTAAGATACTCAAGACTCAATACAAAGGACTAGAACACCTAATTAAATTAGCAGAAAACCTGGAGAACAAGCCACTGTAAGAACATGTTGGGTCTCGTGGGGACTTAGTTTGGAATAGCCATGGGCGAAGCAGGAGCAAGAGCAACCATGATGTCGTTTCTCAAACATGAGTCTTCTGCAGTAACCAGTAACTGGGAAACAGCTGAAAGCTCCCTCCTCACGCCTGAGCGTTTATATTTTTTTTTTTTTTTTTTTGAGACGGAGTTTCGCTCATTGCCCAGGCTGGAGTGCAATGGTGCAATCTTGGCTCTCCGCAACCTCTGCCTTCCAGGTTCAAGTGATTCTCCTGCCTCAGCCTCTCAAGTAGCTGGGATTACAGCATGCGCCACCACGCCCTGGTAATTTTGTATTTTTAGTAGAGACAGGGTTTCTCCATGTTGGTCAGGATGGTCTTCAACTCCCGACCTCAGGTGATCTACCCGCCTCGGCATCCCAAAGTGCTGGGATTACAGGCATGAGCCACCGCCCCTGCCGAACATTTGTATTTCTTAACAGATACAAACATGGAAACAGGAGAGGACCCCTGAGATGACTGGAATAAAAATATTCCTTCCTAAGTAGCCAGCTACTTGAAACTGTGACTGAAGGGGGAAATCCCAGTATGTGGACTGCTTATACCTTTGAGAGCAGAAACTTAATTAATCTATTAATCTATTCATTACAGGTAACTCAAACTTGGAAATAACATGACACTTTTGAGATTCATATTTTATTTACAAGTAAATGAAGACTGTCCCTGTAAACTCTAATTTGGGATATGAAGAACAATATAAAGAAGTAGTTGCTGGTGCCACAGTGATGTGTGAAGGAGTCTATGCCACTGTTTCTTTAAACAGTGATTTTGTTATTAAAAAAAAAACCCACCTACACGATTTCTTCATGTTGCATATGTAAAATAATTAAAAATAAAAGTGACTTTTCAAAACTCTACAGTCTGTGATCAAATGCGTGAGGTGGCCAGGATGTCACTTTCACTCAGTGACAGCCCCTACTCTTCAAGAGCCAACAGCCTCTGGGCAAAAGATTAGTACTCATCAAGAGTATCTGCTCGAGGAATGGAAAGACCTCGGTCCTTCAGGGCCTGCACTTTCAACTTCTCTGCTTCCAGCTTGGTCTGCTGTTCCACCCTTTGTTCTTCTAGAATTTCTTCAATGGATACTTGCTGGAGGGGTGTGTCACTCTCCTTTTCCAAGTCCTACAAAAGAGACAGGTTTGAAAACTTCACCTGAAGACCAAGAATAGAAAGCACAGATCTCAAGGCAAATGGATTCCTCTATCAGGCTCAGATTATTTTTCATAACTGTGACAGGAACTGAAATATCCTTCTCCTAGGGACCGGTAAGTTTTTCAAAGAAATGCCTGACAACACTACTATAGGATACATACTTACAATGAGGTTAATAGTGATCAGTATATGTATATATTTTTCAAGATGGAGTCTCTCTGTCACCCAGGCTGAAGTGCAGTGGCGCAATCTGAGCTCACTGCAACCTCTACCTCCTGGGTTCAAGCGATTATCCTGCCTCAGCCTCCTGAGTAGCTGTGATTACAGGCACGTGCCACCACGCCTGGCTAATTTTTGTATTTTAAGTAGAGACAGGGTTTCACCACGTTGGTCAGGCTGGTCTCGAAACCTGACCTCATGATCTGCCTGCCTTGGCCTCTCAAAGTGCTGGGATTATAGGCAGTAATAAGTATTTGTATAACAGAGCTTTATGTGATCCAAAATCCCATATTAGTCAGGATTAATTTTCTATTAGTCCACGATTAATTTCCTTAAAAAAAAAAATTAGGGCTGCTTATAGACAGCTATCTCCCCCACTGCAGAGAATCCAAGAGGGAGGTTATTGAGGCAATGTGGCCTTAGACTTTTTTTTTTTTTTAATTATTTTAAGGACGGGTGGAGTGGCTCACAGTCGTAATCCCAGCACTTTGGGAGGCTGAGGTGGGAGGATCACTTGGGCCTAGGAGTTCGAGACCAGCCTGGGCAACACAGTGAGACCCTAACTAACTCCACCAAAAAACAAAACAAAAAAAAGCTGGTGTGGTGGTGTTCACCTACAGTTCCAGCTACTCAGGAGGCTGAGGTGGAAGGACTGCTTGAGCCTGGGAGGTTGAAGTTCAAGGCTGCAGTGAGCCATGAATGTGTCACTGCACTCCAGCCTCTGCAACAGCAAGACCGTCTCAAAAAAAGTAAAAAGACAAAAATAAAAAGGGATCCTCTTGCCTTTACCTCCTACGTAGCTGGGGCTACAGGTGTGCGCCACCGTACCAGCTCTGTAGTCTAGATCTAAACTGTAACAAGACTCTTTTTCCCTTTACGGCAACAAGTCTTCTAGGGAGAACCTCGGCAGACCATTTAGGTTACTAAACCAATTTGGTCCCAATATTTTTCTCCACTATTTAAAAAATTGCTGCTTAGGTTGGGCATGGTGGCTCACGCTTGTAATCCCAGCACACTGGGAAGCCGAGGCGGGCAGATCACTTGAGGCCAGGAGTTCGAGACCAGCCTGGCCAACATGGCAAAACCCCCGTCTCTACTAAAAATACAAAAAAAATTAGCTGGGCGTGGTGGCAGGTGCCTGTAATCCCAGCTACTTGGGAGGCTGAGGCAGGAGAAGCACTTGAACCTGGGAGGCGGAGGTTGCAGTGAGCGGAGATCACGCCATTGCACTCTAGCCTGGGTGACAAGAGTAAAACTCCATCTCAAAAAAAAACAAAAAATTGTTGCCTAATAAAAAATTCCTTATTTAAAAAATACACACTCATCGTAGATAATATGGAAAATAGACAAACAAGGAAAATTTAAAAATTATCCATAATTCCAGTATGGAGGATTAACATTTTGATAATATCCCTACAATTTTTCTACATATATACTGACTTAAAAAAAATAAACAACCCAGCCAGGTGTGGTGGCTCACACTTGTAATCCCAGCTACTCGGGAAGCTGAGGCACGAGAATCACTTGAATCCAGGAGGCAGAGGTTGCAGTGAGCCAAGATCACACCACTGCACTCTAGCCTGGGCGACAGAGTAAGACTCTGTCTCAAAAGGAAAAAAAAAAAAAAGTAAAAAATAAAAAATTAGCTGGGCGTGGTAACGTGTACCTATAGTCCCAGCTACTCATGAGGCTGAGGGGGGAGGATCACTTGAGCCCAGGAGTTTGAGGCTGCAGTGAGCTGTGATCACACCACTGCAGTCAGCCTAGATAACAAAGTGAGACGCTGCCTCAAAAACAAACCCCTCCCAAAAACCCACAATGCAAATACTGACTTTAATTCGTTTTTTCACTTAAATGTGGCATAGTATGCTTAATATTTTTATTTTTGAATGTTTTATAAACATTTTTCATTAATTATTTTTAAAGATATAGAAGACTTCATGAATTTGCGTGTCATCCTTAAGCAGGGGCCGTGCTAATCTTCTCTGTGTTGTTCCAATTTTAGTAGATGTGCTGCCAATGTGAGCACATTTTTCATTTTTTTAGAGACAGGATCTTGCTCTGTTGCCCAGGGTGGAGTGCAGTGGCACAATCACAGCTCACCATGATCTGAAACTCTTGGGCTGAAGTGATCCTCCTGCCTCAGCCTCCTAAGTAGCTGGAACTACAGGCATGTGCCACCACATCTGGCATTAAATCTTTTTTCTTTTTGTAGAGATGGGGTCTTGCTATGTTGCCCAGGCTGGTCTCAAACTTCTGGCCTCAAGCATCCTCTTGCCTTGGCCTCCCAAAGTGTGAGCCACTGTGCCTGGCCCTTATAAACATTTGCTAACCAATGTCATAATGCAGAAGAACCTTGCTAAAAAAGTATCTCACTGTCCATAGATTCAGTTTATTGTCCTTAAAATGAATGTACAGGTATTATTTGGTGTTTTTGTAAGATGGAAAGCCTATACAAAGTATTCCTGTTTCTTACCCTCCTCTATGACTTTCAATGATAAAAGTTTGGGACGGTACTGACACACTTCTCCAGATGCTCTGCCCTGCATACTATTACCACATGCTGCCAAGGTCTCAGAACTCACAGGCAGTGGCATTATCAGTCAGAGAGGACTCTCACCACAGAAGTTACAATGAAAGCCACACAAATTACATAAGCAAGCCCTGCTCTAGGTCCAAAGTTAACAGCACCCAGCAAAGTATATATTACCACCTGCCCTCCCAACCCATGAGTAGCAGCTAAAGAGAGCACAGTGTTCTCGGCCTAATGCACTGCCTCTTGGGCTTTTCAGTATGTGACTTGCTAAGCAATTCATGCTGCTGTTGCTGCTTCTTCCCAACAGTCTTATTACTTAATGCTGTGTCATCATCATCGTCCTTGAGGCAGAATTCAGGGATTTCTTAACCAATATAGTGTTTACAGAAACTGATTTCTATGTATGAATTCCTCTGGGGTTGGTACATAATTTCTCCTGATTGCTGATTCACATAACAATGCAGGCATTCCTGGAACCAAGTTTCTGTAGTGGTACCCCTGTAAAACTTCTGCAGCATCCAAACCATAACATATTTTTTTAAAAAAGGGAACTTTTCCTCACAAAAGGGATCCAAGGAAACAATTAAACTTCAAGAACAAACACGTTCACCTCTTTCTCTGCACAAACACACACATCTACTTAGATGTAACTTTGTGCCAATGTAACCAGTATAAAAAGCATGTCTGCTATGTTTACTACTATAAAACAGAAGCATATCTGTGAATATTTTCTTGAGAAAGGGTCTTGCTCTGTTACCCAGGTTGGAGTGCAGTGGTACAATCATGGCTCACTGTAGCCTCGACCTCCCTGAGCTCAGGTGAATCTCCCACCTCAGCCTCCCAAGTAGCTGGGACTGGTGATGTGCACCATCACCCCTGGCTAATTTTTGTATTTTTTTGTAAAGACAGGGTTTGGCCATGTTGCCCAGGCTGGTCTCTTGCAGCTTAAGCGATCTGCCTGCCTCGGCCTCCCAAAGTACTGGGATTACAGACGTGAGCCACTGCACCCACCCCAGTATTTTAACTTAAGTTTTTTCCTCTGATACGTTGCCTCTTCAAAATTAAATTCAGAAAAGTATTTTTAAAAATCATCTATAACCCCACCATGCAGAGATGGGTCAGCTCCCCTATATACTGGCAGTATCAAGCACAGTGGCATGTACCTATAGTCCCGGCTACTTGGGAGGCTGAGACAGGAGGATTGCCTAAGCCTAGGAGTTTGAATCTAGCCTGGGCAACATAGTGAGACCCCATCTCTGGAAGAAAAAAAATACTGGCAGACTACTTTACAGTCATGTAGTGTCTCCCCATGGGTACCATGGTACTAGGTGCTTTCAGACTTTTTTTTTTTTTTGAGACGGAATCTTGCTCTGTCGCCCAGGCTGGAGTGCACTGGCACGATCTCGACTCACTGCAAGCTCCGCCTCCTGGGTTCATGCCATTCTCCTACCTCAGCCTCCCAAGTAGCTGGGACTACAGGCGCCCGCCACCACACCCGGCTAACTTTTTTGTATTTTAATAGGGATGGGGTTTCACTGTGTTAGCCAGGATGGTCTCGATCTCCTGACCTTGTGATCCGCCCGCCTCAGCCTCCCGAAGTGCTGGGATTACAGGCGTGAGGCACCGCACCTGGCCTTGTTTCAGCCTTTATGCGACACAAGAAGATAACAATTTCTGCTGCTTGGCTGGGCGCGGTGGCTCATGCCTGTAATCCCAGCACACTGGGAGGCCGAGGCGGGTAGATCGCCTGAGGTCAGGAGTTCGAGACCAGCCTGGCCAACATAGTGAAACCCCGTCTCTACTAAAAATACAAAAATTAGCTGGGCTTGGTTGCGGGCACCTGTAATCCCAGCTACTCGGGAGGCTGAGGCAGGAGAATCACTTGAACCTGGGAGGCGGAAGTTGCAGTGAGCTGAGATCATGCCATTGCACTCCAGCCTGGGCAACAGGAGCAAAACTCTGTCCCAAAAAAAAAAAAAAACCCAAAAAACAAAAAACAATTTCTGCTGCTTAAACATGCAAGAAATGATACACTGAACTAAAAGTACAAACTACAAAAATATTTTATAAGAAAAATTTTTATAAGTATTACTTATAAATATTTTATAAGTAAGAAAAAGCTATTTCATATATTTCACAGCATATATTTCATATATTCATATATTTCATATACTTCATATATTTCACTTGGGCAGTATTGATAGTCTGGATTAGTCATTTCTAGCTATTTCCAATATGAGGTCTCTGAACCAACCCAACCCTAGCAGAATTATCTCCTTGCTTTCTCAAATGGCTGTTAAAAATGGCTACAAACCAAACCACTCTAAAGATTTCTGCAAACTGATTTAAGACATGGCTAGGTATTTAGAAAACAGTATTAAAAACTTTAAAAATTAAGCAAACACCAAAGTTTTTGGTAAGAAAAAAGAAGACAGTGCTGGCTCAACCCTTAATTTCAACTACTCTTGAAGAGATTTTTATTTTCCTTGCAAACCCAATAATCAGAAATAACAAGATGAAATCAAAGGTTTTAAATAAGATACTTTAAAAAAAAATCTGAGTACTTCTAGTAGGGGTGTGTGTGTGTATGTCTGCACACACGAAGACCTACAGCAACAATACCTCAGAAAATCTGATTTAACCTTTCACCTGCCAGCTGGTCTTTCTGGCACAGATACCAAAATACCCTCTCCCTGGCTGTGAGCTAAGGATCCAAGTAAGACTGAACTCCATTCTCGGGATAGGTAACGGAAAAGCTTTTCCTATAGCTACTCTTTCCCTTTCCCCCTTTACTAATATGGATATCACATTGTACTGTACAGGCAATATGTACTTCCCTGAAATACTGTGCATTAGCTTTATGCCATGAAAAACCACTTGTAACCAATTGTTTAAATGACTGCAAAATATTCCAACGTATGTAAGACACACCTTCCCCAGCATATATAAATCAAGCTTTGTCAATTTTCTGCTATTAAACAAATATATTAATGAACACATTTGTTAAGGCACTGAAACAAAGTATTCTCTGTAGCTTCCCTAAATTAATTTGGTAGTTGCCTAGGAGAAGCCAGATAAATGTGGAGAATATTTTTATTCTCTTTTGAAAAGACAAAAAAAGAAGTCTAACTAGCATGAATATGAAGATCTACAGCAGCTTAATAGTTTTCACTTACTATTTCTCCTAGTAGGACCACATTTTCTCCTCTGACCACAAAAATCCCTCGAGGAATATCACCGTATTTTTTGCCCACATGAATACGCTCCACAGTCTGATGTAGCACTAAGTTTGCTGTAAGTGTATAGGGAAAAACCAAAGATATTTAGTTTAAACTACTGGGTAAAGGCCCATAACTCAATAATCAGTTATTTTGAAAAGATTTAGGTAAACATGATTTCCAAGCTTTCTAATTATTTTTATTTATTTATTTTTTGAGACCGAGTCTCGCTCTGTCACCCAGGCTGGACTGCAGTGGCGCCATCTCAGCTCACTGCAACCTCTGCCTACTGGTTCAAGCAATTCTCCTGCCTCAGATTCCGGAGTAGCTGGGACTACAGGTGCCTGCCACCACTCCCGGCTAATTCTGTATTTTTAGCAGAGACAGGGATCACCACATTGGCCAGGCTGGTCTTGAACTCCTGGCCTTGTGATCCGCCCACCTCGGCCTTCCAAAGTGCTGGGATTACAGGCGTGAGCCACAGTGCCGGGCCCCCAAGCTTTCTAATTCTGGGGAAGGCTAAAATTTCAAATAATCTTCTCCTATTTCATTGAGTAAGACGTACCAGTTAGGAGATGTCTGGGATTATGTTGGGCTAATACATGAATGACAGCAGAAATAAGAGAAATAAATTCCTTTATCAGTTAATTGCTAATACCAAAAAAAACCATAGGAAAATATAAATGAATAAGGAACTTGGAAAACTTGGGCCTAAACAACCACAGAGATCAAAACTTTTGTTTTCTGGAAAGAAACAGCTTTTCTTTTTGTGTGGGTGTGTATGTGATGATCTGCTGAAGATTCAACTTTCTTTTAGTAATTAGGATTCATTTGACCCAACGCAGGTATCCATGGGTTATGATACAGCAAAAACCTATTTTTTCACCTTGACAGATAACTATATTTGTAATCTAAAAGTCAACTTAATAGCCACTACCCTTCCCTCAAAGTACTCTGATGAATCTGACTTAAGAATCAGGACTCCAATTTGTTAACAATAATTATTTTTCCTCTTTCAATTAGTACTACTTGTCCTATTTGAAGTAAAGGAGAAATCTATGTTCATATCTTCCATAATCCTTTTAAGTGTTTTAATTACGTTTCTTCCTCATGCTCAAATCCAGTGATTTCGCAGATATCCAATAAATGTTAGCATGAACATGAAGTTCCTTGAAACAGAAGGAAACATAATCTTTTAACTTAAGAAAAATGCAGGATGCGAAACAAAGACAGAGGCCTCTTATTCCAATGTATCCCTATATGTAAAGTATTAAGCTTAATGTTGGGGTCCTTAAAATAAAGGAAATGCCTTCTACCCAATTTTCATTGGCTAGGGAGGGATTACCTTCACTTCCGGAACTGCTTTGAAGTCATTTTACCCTGCCAATGTAGAAATAAGCAGCCTTGGGCCGGGCACAATGGCTCGCGCCTATAATCTCAGCACTATGGGAGCTAAGACCAGCCTTCCAGCTGTCCCCACTGATGCACCAGACATGTGAGTGAAGCTCCTTCAAACCAGCTGACTCACCTTCTAGACACCAAGGGACTGTCCTAAAACCATGAGGAGCAGAACAACTGCCCAGCTCAGCTGGGTGGGTGGATCACCTAAGGTCAGGAGTTTGAAACCAGCCTGGCCAACATGGCGAAACCCCGTCTCTACTAAAAATACAAAAATTAGCTGGGGGTGGTGGCTGGAGCCTATAATCTCAGCTACTTGGGAGGCTGAGGCACAAGAATCACTTGAACCCAAGAGGCGGAGGTTGCAGTGAGCCAAGATTGTGCCACTGCACTCCAGCCTGGGTGACCGAGAGCGCGTCTAAACAAAAAACAAAACAAAACAAAACAAGCCTCTTCGGTGGACTGAGTTTATTTCTATCATTTGGCTCCCCCTACTGGGGATTCTACTGAAAGCCAGTTTTAGAAACGAGCTTGGAAATATATATAAGCTTTGAACCACCTAATCTGAATGTATAGAAAACAATGATGTACTCACTAAAATCAGTCCTACTAGGTCACACACGTGAAAAAGTTGCAGATAAATTTCAATATTAAATAACAAAAAATGCAATGGGCTGCTGTTATTATCCAGAGTATAAGAGATGTCCATAAATTAATACATACCAAATTGATCAATGCTTCTTAAAAAGCCTATAAGTGTCCTTCCATCTCGAAGCAGAACCAAGTGCTTTTCTGGGGAGAGAGGAAAAAATCTTTTAAATGAAAACTGACAAGTTCAGCGAGTATTTAGGATAATAATTAACAGTTTAAGCTGTACCACTTCCTCGGCCAATGCATTTAATGTGAAGTTCAAGTTCATTGGAAAACTGAAAAAAGCAGCACAGCAACGCGGATTTAGATAACATCAGTAGTGAAAAGAATCAGAGCAGTGTGGCAGAGTGGGAAAAGGACAGGGCGTGGCACCAGGAAGCCTGACTAGCTGGCTCTAGACCCTTATGTTGGTTTTTTTTTTTTCCTTTTTTCTTTTTTTTTTTTTTTGAGACAGAGTCTCACTCTGTCACCCAGGCTGCAGTGCAGTGGCACAATCTCGGCTTACTACAACCTCTGCCTCCCAGGTTCAAGCGATCCTCCTGCATCGGCCTCCTTAGTAGCTGGGACTACAGGAGTTTGCCACCATGCCTGGCTAATTTTCATATTTTTAGTAGAGATGGTGTATCACCATGTTAGCTAGGCTGGTCTCAAACTCCTGACTTCAGATGATCCATCCACCTCCACCTCCCAAAGTGCTGGGATTACAGGCGTGAACCATGGCGCCTAGCCAAAGACCCTTATGTTTGACACTTAAACCATCTCATGTCATGTCAGTTTTTATATCTGTAAATTGACAAATTTAATCTAGATGACTATTATCTTATTTGTAGAATTATTTTGTCCTCAAAAGATGAGCTTCTATCTCACATTTTGTTTGTAACCATAGAAGGCTTTAAATAAAAACACAATGCTTCAGGCATTTAAAATGAAGACTAATAATAAGCTAGAGCAGAAATTCAATGTTTACTGAGGGGGCATGTGCTGTTCTGGGGTCTAGACATACAGTAGAGAATGAGACTTAGAAAGTCACCAACCTTATGAATTTATATTCATGTTGGAGGAGGACAAATAAATAAGAAAATAACCTATTGTGATTAGGACAATGGAATAATAAACTAGCAAGGCAGTATGATGAAGGGAGAGAAGTGGTTACAGAAGGAAGGGTGGCAAGGGAAAGCCTCTCTGAAGAGGTGACTTTGAGCTGACACTGAAGAATGAAAATAAGCCAGTTACTAGCGCACCCAGCAAAATTTCTTTCATTCCATGCCTAAAGTACTTTCTAGATGCAGAACAGAGGAAAAACACAGTGACTCTGCCCTGAAGGAATTTATACTCTTCCTTGCGCTATAAATAAGTACCACAGAAAGCAAATCTTAATTATATGAGACTACAGAGAGAGAAACTGTATTTCTGAAGGAGGTATCAGAGTTGGACCTTAAAAGGTAGATAATTTTAGGGCACAAGAAGAGTGATAGGAAGGGGGCGGGGGGGGAGAAGGAAATCTGTAAATTAAAGAGGAGGAAAAAAGGGCTATACATCCATGTTTAGCTAAAAGCTGAGGGTGTGAAGGGAAAGAACAGTAGATAAAGTCAGAAAAGTACTGGGCGCAGGCTGCATCTGGATTTGACTTCATAGGGAACAAGAAAACATTAAGTGATGGAGTCTGTTTACTGAGTTTGTATAAGTGGGTATGTGTGAGAGGGTGGGGTGCTGAAGATGTGAGGTAAAGATGTAGGAGTTTTATGAGACATCACAAAACTATTTACCAAGAGTTGGGAATAAAAGCAGCAAGCTCAGGGTGAAGGTTATTAGCTCTTTGTGATTCTAAAGTGCTATCAGGACACTTAATAGAAACACACGCAGATAGTTGGAAACAGTAAGACTGGAAAACCAAAGACATCAAGATTAGAGAAAGCAATTTTGGATAAATCTACAAAGAGGTGATATAAAAAACTAAAGTACAGGAGATCTACTAAAGATTTAAAGAAGTAGGCCACATGTAATCCAAGTGACCATCTATTTTGGAGAACAGTAAGAGCCAGAGAAGTAAGAAAATCACCAAGTACCAGTTGTTAGAGAAATCAAGAGAAGAGAATTAAAGAATCTGGTGGGGAGAGTATCACAGTGCTGCAAAGGGGAGAGAACACAGAAGAAGACCTTAGACGAATAACTTTGAAGAATGCAGCTTGAGTAATTTCAGGATAAAAATTAGATTGCAGGAGTAATGTAAGTAGTCTATTGAAGGTGATCAAGAAACAGACAAAATGAAAATGACTCGAGGTTTGGGGATAAAGATATGAAAAAAGGGATGGGCATATGAAGAGAACGGAGAAAATATTTGAGATGGATAGACAGTAACACATGAGGGGAAGAACGCAGGGGTTGGGGAGACAGAGGATATAAAAGAAAAAGGCTAACAACGAAAAAAGGTTCCAGAAGCAGTGAGAGGAGACAGTAACAACAGACAGACAAAAAGGGAGGAATCCTTCCTACTCAAATTAAAGGATGGGTGAAAATACAGAAACACAAGGAGGAAACTGTGTGTTAGGGTTGGGGAGCAAAGGGTGCATATCAAATGGCTTCAAAGTTTTCATAAAGTAGGGGGTCTGGAATCTACAAAGAGGTAGGGGTTAGAGGACCAAAGAGCAAAACTGATTTTTAGTAAAATGGCAGGATGTGTTAGAGGATATATAAGGAGAGATGAGGGCAAAAGAGCATCCTCGAGCAACTAAAACATCCTGTTACACGTAACAGGTTCATATAGATGTTAATATATATTTAGTCCAATTACACTACATTTCCCTTACATAGCACAATAAGTAATTTGTGTTTAAAAAAATGATCTGTCGGCCGGAGGCGGTGGCTCACGCCTGTAATCCCAGTACTCTGGGAGGCCGAGGTGGGTGGATCACCTGAGGTCAGGAGTTGGAGACCAGACTGCCCAGCATGGCGAAACCTCGTCTCTACCAAAAAATGCAAAAATTAGCTGGGCGTGCTGGCAGGCGCCTGTAATCCCAGTTACTTGGGAGGCTGAGGCACAAGAATTGTTTAAACCCGGGAGGTGGAGGTTCCAGTGAGTCGAGATCGCGCCACTGCACACTACAGCCTGGGCGACAGAGCAAGACTCTGTCTCAAAAAAAAAAAAAAAAAAAGAAAAGAAAAGAAAAAAGATCTGTCAACCATAAAATGATTTTTTTTTTTTTTTTGAGACGGAGTCTTGCTCTGTCGCTCAGGCTGGAGTGCAATGGTGCGATCTCGGCTCACTGCAACCTTCTCCTCCCGGGTTCAAGCGATTCTCCCGCCTCAGCCTCCCGAGTAGCTGGGATTACAGGCACCGCCATAGTGCCCAGCTAATTGTAGGAACGGGGTTTCACCATGTTGGCTAGGCTGGTCTTGAACTCCCGACCTCAGGCGATCTGCCCGCCTCGGCCCCCCAAAGTGCTGGGATTACAGGCGTGAGCCACCGCGCCAGGCCCGTAAAATGAAATTTTAACCATAGATTCTAAATTGCGTATTCACAGAGTAACTGAGACGATTGCAACTTATTTAAAACTATGTGTAAATCATCTTGAAACAAGTTAATGAGAAAGATCACATGATTAAAACAATAAAAAATGTTGCTTGAGGAATAATGCACAGACGGAATTTAGAAAAAAGGAAAGCCAGAACAACTGCAGACGGTTCTTTTCGCTTTTGTATAGGACTGAGCTCCTCTTCCGGACAAAAACCAGGAATAAGGGAGGTCTTCTTAGTAAAAGCAAAAGTAAATTGTCTTAAAAAAAAAAAAAAGGTTGCAAGTGATTTGGTCTTTCCAGAAAAGTCAATACCATGTCTAACAGTGGTCTCTACTACAATAACCTGAAGGTGCTAATGACCCTCACAGTAAAATAAGCTAGCAAATGGCCACACCGTAGAGCGCCTACATTTACTGCCAATTAAGTCCAACTGCCGCTGTCTTAATATTTTCGCTTTTTAATGAATCCTCTCTCTAGGTATTCCGATCCATCCACCGGTAACACGCTGATACTTCGAAATACTGCAGGCAGGAGTGGACGGGGGAGAAGCCCCCCCCCTCCCCGGGCTTCTTTCGTGTTCGGGCCTCTGCTGCCGCGATCCACGGAAGCAAGAATGAGTTCCATCGCTTGGGGCTCACCAGCTAGAGGGCTGGCGGAGGCTGCGAGGGGCAGAAGTAGCAGCAGGCTACTGGGTGGGCAAGCGGTGTGTACCGCAGCTGTGGAGGACATCGACGCGGAACGCCCGGATTGAGCTCAGAACACACCGGCCCCGCCCGGGACTCATTCTACAAGCTTCTTCGGAAGAGGCGCCCGCCCGGGAGGAAGGGTCTAACCCCGGGCTCCACCGGGAGGAGATAAACTACTCACTGTCAATGTCCTCGATGAGGCTGGCGGTGCCAGGCATATAGTTCATTTTGAACTGAAATAATGCTGCAATGCACAGCGGCGGGAGGCCAGCGCGTCCAAAACCTCTTCCCTCCTACCGCAGTCGCCGCCTCGGTGGGACCAAGCCCGGAATCCCGACCGAGACCAGCACTTCTGCCCCGGCTTTCAGCCGCCGGGGGCTGCCGGAAGCTCCTCCATATTACCCTTACCCACTTCCTGTAACACGTGTGGGCCCCCAGGAAGAGGCGGGGCAGCCGTACCGTTGGGGGACACCCTTTCCCTGTTCCTGTTAAGTAGGTAAGAGGAAACTCCATTGGATAAATGGCGAGGAAACGTATACTCCCTCTTAAGGAACACGGTGTCTTCCTTCGTCTCCGGGTTCCCGAGACCCCAGAGTCACTGACCTCCGTCCCTCAGCTTTCGGGGTTCGGCAGCAGAAGGGGCGGGCCCGGGCCTGGGATTGGCTGGCGTCGTCCGACCCCCTTCGCTGCTCTCCATTCGCAATCGCCCGCGGGCGCCTGCGCGATGGGTCGGCCGTGGGGAGCGGGGCGGGAAGCGCTTCAGGGCAGCGGATCCCATGTCGGCCCTGAGGCGCTCGGGCTACGGCCCCAGTGACGGTCCGTCCTACGGCCGCTACTACGGGCCTGGGGGTGGAGATGTGCCGGTACACCCACCTCCACCCTTATATCCTCTTCGCCCTGAACCTCCCCAGCCTCCCATTTCCTGGCGGGTGCGCGGGGGCGGCCCGGCGGAGACCACCTGGCTGGGAGAAGGCGGAGGAGGCGATGGCTACTATCCCTCGGGAGGCGCCTGGCCAGAGCCTGGTCGAGCCGGAGGAAGCCACCAGGTAAGCTTTGCACCCTCTGTCCTTGCGGGGAGGTGAGGGCCCTTGGGGCTGGGGTTCGTAAAGGATCGGGTTTCATACTTGTTTTCCTTATGTGGAGGAGGGTGTGTTGCGGGGGGTGTTGGAGAGACCGAGACTAAGATCAGAGGTTGGGGGGACATGCTTGTGTTCCCTTTGCCCCTCCTTTTCTGCTTCGACCCCAAAAAATATGTTTATTACCATTTAAAAAAGAAAGATCCTGCGCGGACTTACTAAGCTTAGCAGCAGGCTGCAGATCTCTCTCCTGGGAGCGGTGCTGGGTAGGGGTGGCACGGATCTACTGCTCCAGCTCTAGCAATTTATCCTGCGTGGCTGGCAGGCCGGCTCTCCCGGGGAAGGGAAGTGGCTGCAGCCCCCGATGCCGCTCAGGGACCCTCCCGAGGGGAAGGAACCTTTGCGAGGAGGAGGGATCTGGGCATTTAGCTGTTTGCCCCTAATGCCTTGCCTGAGATCGAATCATGAATAATCAGTGTTGTAAAGTACCTTTACGCGGATTGACTGATTTAATTTTCACGGCGACTGCAAGGTAAAATGGCATTACAGCGGCCCTTTTTTTTGTTTTCGAATAAGGAACCGGGGCTCTGCGAGGTTAACTCACTTGCCTAATACACTTGGACCTGCAACATTTTATTCTCCGTTTTCCTGCCGGACATATACTTCTGCTTTGTTAATACAGTCTTCTGGGTAGTGGGTTGTCGTTCTGCGGTGGCAGCATACCTCTCTGTTCGTTCAAGAATTATCCTCATTTGTTGAAAATGTAATAGTGAAATTCTCGTACATTGCTGGTGGGGATGTAAAATGGTGGAAAATAGTTTGGTAGTTCCTCAAAACATTAAGCATTAGAATTAGTCTATGACCCAGCAAGCCCACTCCTGGCTATATACCCAAGAAAACTGATAACGTATGTTCACATAAAGCTTGTCCGCCCATGTTCATAGCATCATTATTCATAATCGCCAAAAAGTAGAAATGTCGTTTTTTTTGTTTTTTTTTTTTTTGAGTTGGAGTCTCGCTCTGTTGCCCAGGCTGGAGTGCAGTGGTGCCATCTCGGCTCACTGCAACCTCCGCCTCCCGGTTTAAGCGATTCTCCTGCCTCAGCCTCTCGAGTAGCTAGGATTACAGGCGCCGGCCATCACACCCGGCTAATTTTTGTATTTTTAGTACAGACGGGGTTTCGCCATGTTGGCCAGGATGGTCTTGAACTCCTGACCTCAAGTGATCCCCCTTTCCCCTGCCCCTCGGCCTCCCGAAGTGTTGGGATTACAGGCGTGAGCCACTGCGCTCGGCCCCAAATGTCATTTTATTATTTGAGTTATAAAGTGAGTGAACCTCTTGGAGCCCTGGTTCTTTATTCGAATACAGGAATGTTGTAAGGACATAACGACTGATGCATCGATAAACAAAATATGGTGTTAATATATTCATTCAATGGAGTATTATTTGGCCTTAGAAAGGAATGAACTGCTGATGCATGCTACAATATGAATGAACCTTGAAAACATCACACTACGTGAGCTAAGTCAGTCAGAAAGACTGCATATTGTGTGATTCCATTTATATGAAATGGCCAGAGTAGGTAAATCTAGAGACAGAAAGCTTAATGGTTGCCAGAGGTTGGGGGACTGGCGGTGTAGGTGAGAATATTCTTTTTGGGATAATGAAATGTTCTAAAATCAGGGCCTGGTGAGATGGCTCACACCTGTAATCCCAGCACTTTGAGTTGCCGAGGCTGGAGGATTGCTTGAGTCCAGGAGTTCGAGACCAGCCTGGGCAACATAGTAAGACCTTGTCTCTAAAAATAAAAAAATAAAAAACAAAAAATAAGAAATGTTCTAAAATCAGTGGTGATGGTTGCACAACTCTGAATATACTAAAAACTACTGAATTGTACATTTTAAAAGGGTAGAGTTTATAGTATGTTGATTATATCACAGTGTAAACAATTGTATGAGAAAAACATGGAGCAGTGATAAATTATTTTTTATTTTTATTTTTTATTTTTGGGACACAGTCTTGCTCTGTCGCCCAGGCTGGAATGCAGTGGCGCAATCTCAGCTCACTGCAACCTCTGCCTCCCGGGGTCAAAGTCTCCTGCTTCAGCCTTCCTAGTAGCTGGGATTACAGGCGCCTGCCACCATGCCCAACTAAATTTTGTATTTTAAGTAGAGACGGGGTTTTGTCGTGTGGGCCAGGTTGGTCTTGAACTCCTGATCTCAGGGTATCCTCCTGCCTCGGCCTCCAAAAGTGCTGGGATTACAGGTGTGAGCCACAGTGCCCGGCCAAGATTAATTATAAATTAAAGAAAGATCCAGCTGGGTGTGGTGACATGCCTGTAATCCCAGCACTTTGGGAGTCCAAGGAAGGCGGATCACCTGAGGTCAGGAGTTCGAGACCAGCCTGGCCCACATGGCAAAACCCCGTCTCTACTAAAAATACAAAAATTAGCTGGGCATGGTGGCGGGCGCCTGTAATCCCAGCTATTCGAGAGGCTGAGGCAGGAGAATCGCTTGAACCCAGGAGGCGGAGGTTGCAGTGAGCTGAGATCACACCATTCCACTCTAGCCTGGGAGACAAGAGCGAAACTCCATCTCAAAAAAAAAAATAAAGAAAGAAAGATCCATATTTTCTCAGCCTAAATCTGGAATACATAGGTCATGGGACTATAGAATGGTGAAATGCTTGGCCAAATTAGACCAAAAATCAGTTGAAGTGGGGAAAGAGGAGAGGACCTCTAAACTGATGACTGACTTTTGCTGGGCCTGCTGTATTATCAAAACCAAAGTCTGTTTTCTGGCATAGAGTTAGGGAGGGTTGGATAGACTAAAGAAGTTAAGATTTTAGCATTGTGTAAGGGGTTGTCAGGTGTGGTTTGAGTACATTTGTGCCCACAGGGTGGGTGATGGTGCTGAAGTAGTTGGAGATAAAGGTGGAAATGTGTAATGGGCATTTGTAAACCATTTTAATAGTTTGTACTATCTTTCAGATTGATGATTCTGAAACTTTAAAAGTATAGGATGGTAATTTTTCTGCAGCAATAGAAAACTCATACCAAAGATATGTATGTTGGCCGGGCGTGGTGGCTCACGCCTGTAAACCCAGCACTTTGGGAGGCTGAGGCAGGTGGATCACCTGAGGTCAGGAGTTCGAGACCAGCCTGGTCAACATGGCGAAACCCCACCTCCACTAAAAACACAAAAATTAGCCAGGCATGGTGGCGCATGCCTGTAATCCCAGCTACTAGGGGCACTGAGGCAGGAGGATCATTTGAACCCGGGAGGCAGAAGTTGCAGTGAGCCGAGATCATGCCACTGCACCCCAGCCTGGGCAGCAAAGCGAGACTCCGTCTCAAAAAAAAAAAAAAAAAAAAAAAAAAGATATGCATGTTGTCACAGATGTTGCAATGTTTTTTCCAGATTTGTTATTTTGACTTTTTTTTATGTTTTGCATTTTTATAGTATACATCTGTCAAATTAAAAAAACAAACAGTATAGGAACCTTTTATAACCTTGCTACTCAAAAAGTGTGGTCCATGGACTAGAAGCCTCGGTGTCACTTGTGAGGTTGATAGAAATGCAAAATCTCTCCTCTTCCAGACTTACTGCTGCAATTTATTAAGATCCCCAGGTGATTCATATGCACATTAATATTTCAGAAGCATTGCTCTATAGAACTGATTATATTTAGATGATGTACTGAACTACAACACAGACTTGACTATATTAACACATTTAAGTATGGCAGGGAAAAAATTAGAAATCTATCACTATTTTTTTTTTTTTTTTTGAGACCGAGTTTCACTCTGTTACCCAGGCTGGAGTGCGGTGGCCTGATCTCGGCTCACCGCAAGCTCCGCCTCTTGGGTTCACGCCCTTCTCCTGCCTCAGCCTCCCGAGTAGCTGGGATTACAGGCACCCGCCACCACGCCCGGCCAATTTTTTTGTATTTTTAGTAGAGACGGAGTTTCACCGTGTCAGCCAGGATGGTATCGATCTCCTGACCTCGTGATCCGCCCGCCTTGGCTGGGATTACAGGCGTGAGCCACCGCGCCCAGCCTTTTTTTTTTTAAATTTTTTTTTGAGACGGAGTTTTGCTCTTTTTGCCCAGGCTGGAGCGCAATGGCGCCATCTTGGCTCACTGCAACCTCCACCTCCCAGGTTCAAGCGATTTACTGCCTCAGGCTCCCAAGTAGCTGGGATTACAGGCACCCGCCACCATGCCCGACTACTTTTGTATTTTTGGTACCCGGCCACTCCCTATGTTTTTTTAGAGTAAAACTTTAGGCTGGGTGCGGTGTCTCACGCCTGTAATCCCAGCACTTTGGGAGGCTGAGGCAGGCAGATCATCTGAGGTCAGGAGTTTGAGACCAGCCTGGCCAACGTGGTGAAACCCCGTCTCTACTAAAAATACAAAAATTAGCCAGGTGTGGTGGCTCACACCTGTAATCCCAGCTACTTGGGAGGCTGAGGCAGGAGAACCACTTGAACCTGGGAGATGGAGGTTGTAGTGAGCCGAGATCACACCACTGCACTCCAGCCTGGGCAACAGAGCAAGACCTTGTCCCAGAAAAAGAAAAACAAAAATTAGCCGGGCGTGGTGGCGGGCGCCTGTAATTGCAGCTAGTCTGAGAATTGCTCAAACCAGGGAGGCGGTGGTCGCAGTGACCGAGATCATGCCACGAACTCCAGCCTGGGCTGCCTAGCGAGACTATCTCAAAAAAAAAAAAAAAAAAAAAAAAAAAAAAGGAAGTAAGGGAAAAGAGTTAGAGTTGAGAAACCTTTTGAGCTAAAGGGAGAAAAGTAACAAGTTTGGAGTTGGAGCAGAGGGGCATTGACAGCTATTGGTCTCCTTTCGTGGTGGAGTAGGAAGCTAGGTCATCTTACAGTAAGGGAAGTAGAATGGGATGCTCTGCAAAATTTATGTGGTAAATGTTTGAACCAGATGCTGGGGCAAGAGGGACAACACAGAGAAGCATTTGGAAGAGATCCAAATGAGTTTGAAAAGTTAAAAAATTATGATGGTCAGTATAGGAGCATAAGGTGATTTGTTAGTGATTATGAACCATATAGCTATACAAATAACTTATGTACTTTACTAATAATTTTTGTCCAATTCTTATGAAAAATATAAGCAAATCTGTAAATGGAATTTATGTAGTACGAGTGCTACTGATTCCTCTGCTGTTAGATTTGCTTGGACTGGGGTTTCAGTTTGGGGGAATGTTGGTAAGTCATTTTGGAAAATGTAATCACATATCCACTTTAAAGGAATTGACTCCAGTCTTCAGCTGGGATTATTTATTTCTCAGAAGAAAGGAAATAAATTAGTTATCTTGCATAATTTTAATCAAATTTTCTTTGGCATAGAACTTTAATTCACATTATTGTGGCTTGTGAAAACATTTTATTACCTTTGTTTTAGTTTGTATTTCATTCAACAAATAAAAAGTTTGGAAAGAGTTAGGCACATGATAAAATTGGTAACTTAGTTTATAGAATAGAGTTCAGCTTCAGCCAGTTTCCTGTGAAACCAAATGCTATTTCATAGAATTAGTGTCATGTTGGGAGGGCCATGAGCTACAGACTTTCACTGTTACTAGGGATATTTTTAGATTTGTCCCATTTTGTCCAAAAGGAGGAAAAAAAAGACAAAGACATTATTTTTTTCCTTAAGACAATAAAATTATACTTTTTAGTGCTTCATTGAGGACATTCTTTTTTTCATTAAAAAAATTATGGCATAATTTACAAAAAGTAAATTTCACTGTCTTTAGGGTATAGTTCTGTGAGTTTTGATAAATACATACAATTACATAACCACCACCACCACCACCACCACAACTGAGCTATACATACTGACCCATCTTTTTTTTTTTTTTTTTTTTTTTTTTTAGACAGAGTCTCTCTTTGTCGCCCAGGCTGGAGTGCAGTGGCGAAATCTCGGCTCACTGCAAGCTCCGCCTCCCGGGTTCATGCCATTCTCCCACTTCAGCCTCCTGAGTAGCTGGGACCACAGGCGTCCGCCAGCAGGCCTGGCTAATTTTTTTTTGTATTTTTAGTAGAGATGGGGTTTCACCATGTTAGCCAGGATGGTCTCGATCTCCTGACCTTGTGATCCACCTGCCTCAGCCTCCCACAGTTCTGGGATTACAGGCATGAGCCACTGTGCCTGGCCACCTTTAAGCTTTTGCAAGTGTAATCAACCAGGTAAGGGTGGTAAGGGCTATTTCCCAGAACTTCTCCTGCCGACTCAAAAGTTAGATTCTTCTGAGTAAAACAGGCTCTTCACTGTTTTCAAGGTTATTCCAGTTTCCCTGTATTCTTCTATTTAATCTCAGCTGCCACAATCAGACAGACGGAAAGCATAAGGACACTTTTTTCCTTGCATCTGTACTGGAAACCTTAGCAGCAGATAGCAGTCATTCTTTTTGATGCTTAAATGATACCATATTATGTCAATGGGAGTCCCTTTTTCTTGGCTTCTGATTCCTTTGGACATAATCTATTGATTTTTTTTTTCTTTTTCTTTTTGTGGAGAACAGGTTCTCACTGTATTCCCCAGGGAGGTCTCAAACTCCTGGGCTCAAGCTATCCTCCCGCCTCTGCCTCCCTAAGTGCTGGGATTACAGGCGTGAGCTACCGTGCCTGGCATGACCCATTGATTTTTGATAGCTTCCTTGATTTCTGGTACAACAAGATGTCTCAGGCTTTGTATATATTTTGTCCCAAGACACATAATCAGCCATTCCTTAAGAACTTGATTGTATTTTTCTCCCAAGTGGAGAATTACATTTAGAAACCGTTAAGTCAGGATCTGAGCAGGAAAACAGAAACCACACTAGTTAGAATTTGATTTAGGAAATTAGCTAAACAGGTTATTGGAGTTATGAAAAGGGAAAAAGAGAACACAGAAGTAACAGAAAATAGTAAGTGGAGGAAGCAGCTACAATTCCTGGGGCTGGGGAATAAAGGGAAGAGGTTGGAGTGATTATAGCCAGGAAACTTGGAAGAATGGCCGGGCGCAGTGGCTCACGCTTGTAATCCTAGCACTTTGGGAGGCTGAGGCAGGTGGATTGCTTGAGCCCAGGAGTTCAAGACCAGCCTGGGCAACATGGCAAAATCCTGTCTCTACAAAAAATACAAAAATTAGCCAAATGTGGTGGTGGGCCCCTGTATTCCTAGCTACTCAGGAGGCTGAGGTGGGAGGATCACCTGAGCCCAGGTGGCCGAGGGTGTGGTGAGCTGTGATTGTGCCACTGCACTCCAGTCTGGGTGACGGAGTGAGACCCTGTCTCAAATAAAATAAAATAAAATAAAATAAAATAAAATAAAAATATAAAAAGAACCTGGAAACTTGGAAGAGTGGCCAGGAGGTGGCGCCTCCTACCTGGTGCAGATACCTCTGAGGACGTTCGGGTCGGAGAGTGTTGTTGACTGACTGCTGCGTACAGGTTGAATGGCATTGCGGTGTTGACACTGACAGAAACAGCAGACAGGAAGAAGCAAGTCCACTGTCTCCTCCTCTAGCCTAGCATAGTGTGTTGGCAGAACCAGAAAGCAAGCAAGCTGGGGAGGGAGAAAGGTTTGTAGACTTCCAGCCTTACATCACAGAGCCAAGTATAGAATGCTGTGCTTGCGGCCGGGCGCAGTGGCTCACGCCTATAATCCCAGCGCTTTGGGAGGCTGAGGTGGGCAGATCACGAGGTCAGGAGATCGAGACCATCCTGGCCAACATGGTGAAACCCTGTCTCTACTAAAAATACAAAAATTAGCTGGGCGTTGTGGCGCATGCCTGTAATCCCAGCTACTCGGGAGGCTGAGGCGGGAGAATGGTTTGAACCTGGGAGGTGGAGATTGCATTGAGCCGAGATCGCACCACTGCATTCCAGCCAGGGCAACAAGAGTGAGACTCTGTCTCAAAAAAAAAAAAAAAAATAGAATGCTGTGTTTGGACCTGAGGGGCAAGGGGCAATACCTTAATACTTGGTACAGAAATTACAGTTGGGTGCCTGGCATATATACTAATTGTTATTGTGTTGTCATTGTGTCTAGACCTTTCCAAAGGGCAGAATTATAAAATAAGTATTTTAAAATAGAAAAATAAATGAGTTCATATTTATATTAATTCAAATTTAACATTATAGGAATTTTAACTTCTTTGTATATTTTATATGAAAAAAATCTTGATTCCTAACTTAATTACAAATATTTGCACAATCTAACAATAATGTATAAAATAAGTTCAAAATAATGCCAGGTTCCAGTTCTGGCATGACAGCATGAAGAATTCTGTGGACCTAGTCCCCAGTGAAACTGGTGAACATTAATTTTAAAAAACAACAAATTACAGTTTCTGGAAATGGTCCTAGGGAATATAGCAAATGAAGAAACACCTTTTTTTTTAGACAGAGTCTCGCTCTGTCACCCAGGCTGGAGTACAATGGCGCCATCTTGGCGATCTCGGCTTACTGCAACCTCCACCTCCCAGGTTCAAGCGATTCTCTTGCCTCAGCCTCCTGAGTGGCTGGGGTTTCAGGTATGTGTCACCACACCCAGCTAATTTTTGTATTTTTAGTAGAGACAGGGTTTCACCATGTTGGTCAGGTTGGTCTTGAACTCCTGACCTCGTGATCCACCTGCCTTGGCCTCCCAGAGTTCTGGGATTATAGGTGTGAGCCACCGCGCCTGGCCATGAAGAAACACTTGTTCAAGAAAATCTACAAAAGTCAGTAAGAACATTGGGTCTGTGGTATTTGAACTAAAAGCTCCTCCATCCCTCCTTTTTTGCAGCTAGTGAGATAGAAACTTTACTCTAGAGGGTGTAGCCAAGAACACAGGGCTCCAGCTCCATGTATTCCACCTCATAGCCTCAGTCAGAAGGTTTTCATCCTAGGAGGAGGAGTAGCGTACCAACATTTCTCATTTTGCCTCAGATGCCTGTCACTGAGGCAAAATTCTAGGTAATTGTGGCTGAGTGGTGGTGGTTCCTTTCTTTCACCCAGTCCCTACTCCTAGGATGGAGACTTGACCTTGGGCAAGGCACTGCTGAAAATACTGGGGCTCTGATCTCCTTTACCCTTGCTTTTCAAGCCGAGAAGCCCTAAGTCTACAGCCTCCCTTCCCGTGGGTACTCCACTTCGTAAAGCAGGGATGCCATTCAGATAAACACACCATTGTCCCCACTCTAGCTGTAGAGAGTGGCTCAGATGTTTTATCTGGAAGCAGAAGTAGGCTGTAAAACAGGTAGCTCCTAATCTTTTCCTAAAGGAACAAAGTATGGAGAAGCTCAGGAGTGTGGAGAAAGTCAAAAAAACTGCGGAGGTTGTTGTGCAAAGCAATAGGGAAGAGACTGGTTAGATTCACTGGAGATGCAGGATAAACTAGTAGGCCAGCTAGTTTGCTGGAGAGAACCAGGAAAAGAAGAAGCTAGGAGGAGCCCTTTGGTATCAGAACAACTCTCAAACACTGACCTTGGGAACTAACTGTCCCTTTAGAGGGACCCAAATTTGATCTACTCAGTCTGTGGAGCAATTTATGCCTCAGGGTGTTATTAAAACCAGTAGAGCAATCAGCTGGAAATTAGTGAAGCTTTAACAACTAGATGTGGTCAAGGAAAGATACACTCAAAGAAAGTCTTACAAAAATCTTTGTCATCCAGGATGACTGTGGGCATACCCAAGGCTGTGCCTTCTAATGAGCAATATCACATACTTCATACTTGAAGTTTGAGGGCAAACAGACTTTGCAAAAATAATCCAGCTGGTTACTAAACAAATGAGCAAATGACAATAACAAGCCTAAGGTGGAAAAGGTGGGACCAGTAGTACTCAGAGTTGCTAAAATGTCTAGTTTCCAACAAAGAATTATGAGCTATGCAAAGACACAGGAAAGTATGACCCATACACTGGAAAAAAAGCAGGTAACAGAAACTGATTGTGAAAGTGACCAGATGTCACATTTAATAGACAAAGACTTCAAAGTAGCCATTATATATGTTCAAATAACTAAAAAACTATGATTAAAGAAGCAAAGAAAGGTGTGTGATAATGTCATGTCAAATAGGGAATATCAATAAAGAGATAGCAATTATATATTAAAAAAGAAACAAATAGAAATTCTGGAGTTGAAAAGTACAGTAACTAAAATGAAAAATTAACTAGAGGAGTTCAATAGGCTAGAACTGACAGAAGAAAGAATTCATGAATTTGAAGATAGATCAATACAGATTATGCAATATGAAGGAGAGAAAAAAGACTGATGTGTTGGAGAAGTGTCAGACACCATTGAACACACCAGCATATCAGAAATGATTAATAACAAGGTTAATATAACAAAAGATGCAAATATGCTCTTTTCTTCTCAGATTCTTTAAAAGACATTATATAAAGTAATAAGTATAACAATATAATGTTGAGTTTGTAACATTTGTAGACATAATGTGGATTACAATAAAATCACAAAAAAGGGGAAAAGGAACAGACTTATATAGGAATAGCATTCCTGTATCTCACTGGAATTAAGTTGGTATAAATCAGAAGCTGATTCTGATGAGAAGCATATTGTTAGCCCAGCTGGGTGCTGTGGCTCACGCCTGTAATCCCAGCAATTTGGGAGGCCAAGGTGGGCAGATCACAAGGTCAGGAGATCGAGACCATTCTGGCTAACATGGTGAAACCTTGTCTGTACTAAAAATACAAAAAAAAAAAAAAAAAAAAATTAGCCGGGCGTGGTGGCGGGCGCCTGTAGTCCCAGCTACTTGGGAGGCTGAGGCAGGAGAATGGCATGAACCCGGGAGGCGGAGCTTGCAGTGAGCCGAGATCGTGCCACTGCACTCCAGCCTGGGTGATAGAGTGAGACTCCGTCTCAAAAAAAAAAAAAAAAAAAAAAGGAAGAAGAAGAAGTGTATTGTTAGCCCAAGAGTAACTGCTAAAGAAAAAAAAAGTATAATCATTAAGTTATAATGCTACATTTGAAAATATTCACTTAATGCAAAAGAAAGCAGTAAAGGTGGAATAAAGGACAAAAACACATGAGACATATAAAAAACAAAAAGTAAAAATAAAACATGTAAATCCAGCTATATCAATAATATTAAATGTGCATGGATTAAGCAATCTAGTCAGAAGACAGACTGGATTAAAAAAAAAACAAGATCCAATTATATGGTGTCTAAAGGTGGCACACTTAAGGTTTAAAGATACAAATAGTTTGAAAGTAAATGGATGGAAAAAGAAATATAATGCAATAAAGAAAAGATAAATGTTTGAGGTGTCAGATATGCCAGTTACCCTGTTTTGATCATTACACTTTATATACATGTATCAAAATATCACATGTATCCCAAAAATATGTACTACTTTTATTAATTAAAAATTACATATATGCACATATAAATACATATATATACGTGTATACACATATATATATGCATGTATACATATATATACATGTACACATATATATACATATATACATGTATACATATATACATGTATACATATACATGTATACATATATACATGTATACATATATATGTATATATATATAAAAATATGCAAAAGGCAACTATGAGAAAGCTGGAGTGGCTACTTTAATATCAGCTTTTTATTTACTTTTTATTTATTTATTTGTTTATCTTTGAGATGGAGCCTTGCTCTGTCACCCAGGCTGGAGTGCAGTGGCACGATCTTGGCTCACTGCAACCTCCGCCTCCCAGGTTCAAGCAATTTTCCTGCCTCAACCTCCCAAGTAGCTAGGACTACGGGTGTGTGCCACCATGCCCGGCTAATTTTTTTTTTTTTTTTGAGATGGAGTCTCACCCTGTTGCCCAGGCTGGAGTGCAGTGGTGCAATCTCAGTTCACTACACCTCTGCTTCCTGGGTTCAAGCAATTCTCGTGCCTCAGCCTCCTGAGTAGCTGCCCGCCACCACACCCAGCTCATTTTTGTATTTTATTAGAGACGAGGTTTCACCATGTGGGCCCGGCCGGTCTTGAACTCCTGACCTCAAGTGACCCACCCACCTCGGCCTCCCAAAGTGTTGGGATTACAGACGTAAGCCACCATGCCAGGCCTGAATTATATACTTTAAATAGGTGAATTGGATGGTAGTGAGTAAAACTTGAAAATAAGAATACCAGTTTTATGAGTAACAACTAATGGATGCAGTTTCGGTTTCTTTGCAGTTCAGCTTGTCCTTAGAGAATAAATTCCACTGAGGACGTACAGTCAAAATAACGTGAGCTAAAAGTCATTTGAAGTAATTCTTTTTTCTCTGTGGTTATGTTACCAACTTGATTGTTAGTTATTGCATTAATTGACTTTTCCTATACTGAAACAACAATTCCAGAATTTTAGTAGCTTATAATGATAAACATTTATTTCTTGCTCAGGTTCTGTGAGTCCACTCTAGTGGTTCTTCTCTAGGCCCCAGGTTCAGTTCAGGTCTACCTGTGTGTCTTCTCATCCTGGGACTTCAGTTGAAAACACAGCTCCCATATAAGATAATGTAGGTCTTGTGGAGGGCATGGGAACACAAGAGGGTTGCTAGAATTTGCAGCGACTCCTAAATCCTTTGTGTGGACTGGCACACTGTCACTTTTATCCATATTTGTTTGTTTTGCATAAAAGGTTAAATTACGTTTTGTTGTTGTTGTTGTTGTTTTGAGACGGAGTCTCCCTCTGTTGCCCAGGCTGGAGTGCAGTGGCGTGATCTAGGCTTGCTGCAAGCTCCGCCTCCCAGGTAGCTGGGACTACAGGCGCCCGCCACCACACCTGGCTAATTTTTTGTATTTTTAGTAGAGATGGGGTTTCACCGTGTTAGCTAGGATGGTCTCTATCTCCTGACCTCGTGATCCACCTGCCTTGGCCTCCCAAAGTGCTGGGATTACAGGTGTGAGCCGCTGCACCCAGCCAAATTATGTTTTTTACTTATGTGAGTTTGTAATGACACCACCACATTCACTATCCCCCAGTTCTTCCTCATTTTGCCCCATTCCATATTTTATCTTTCCTTGTCCTCGTGACAATATCGGTTCCCAATAACACTACTGTATGTATTTATTCTATTCTACAATACACACAATATAGTTTAAAAATTAAGATAGTAATATCACTACTAATAACATTATATGAAGAGTTTAAGATATTTTTAAATTTCTTTTGCTTTTAGAAAGGTACCACTAAAGATGTCCATTCAGAAAACTGTTCAAGAATTATTTGAATTATATTCTGTGTGTGGTTATCAAGTCAGTAGGTTTTTTCTTTTTAAAGATGGGGTCTTACTCTGTTGCCCAGGCTGGAGTGCAGTAGCACAATCATAGATCATAGCTCACCATAACCTTGAATTTCTGGACTTTGCCTCTGCCTCTCACCTCTCAGCCTCCTGAGTAGCTGGGACTATAGGCACCCATCATCACGCCCACCTGACATTTTTTTTTTTTTTTTTGGGTAAAGACTGAGTCTCATTATTTTCCAGGCTGGTCTTGAACTCCTGGTCTCTGGCCCCAAGCAATCCTCTTGCCTCAGCTACCCAAAGTGCTGGGATTACAGATTGAGCCACTGCGCCCAGCCCAAGTTGGTGGGTTGTCTTTTTTTTTTTTTTTGAGACGGAGTCTCTGCTCTGTGGCCCAGGCTGGAGTGCAGTGGCATGATCTCTGCTCACTGCAACTTCTGTCTCCTGGGTTCAAGCTATTCTCGTGCCTCAGCTTCCTGAGTAGCTGAGATTACAGGCACCCACCACCACACCCAGCTAATTTTTGTATTTTTAGTAGAGACGGGGTTTCACCGTGTTGGCCAGGCTGGTCTCGAACTCCTGACCTCAGGTGATCCACCCGCGTCAGGCCTCCCAAAGTGGTGGGATTACAGGCGTGAGCCACTGTGCCTGGCCAAGTTGGTGGTTTTTTAAAGAAGATAAAATACAGTTTGAATTCATACTGATATTTACAATTCAAATTAAGGATTATAAGGTTTTAAGTTTCATTATTCTTATATCTGTGTCTCCTATCTCCCATTGTGAAAATACTGATTCCCAACAATACCAATGTAAGTATTCATTTGCAACTATAATACCCGCATAACAGTACCAAGATAACAAACAGTACCAACAGTGTTGATAATTATGATTACTGAAAAAAATTCAAAGTATTACTGAAAACAAAGTATTATGAAATGGATAAGTAGTGCAGTTAAGCTAATAGTGATAATCTCTCAGTTATTTCAGCTGCCAATGAATTTCTTTGTGAAATCATATTCAAAGTTTTAGAAAAAATGTCGAAGGTCCTGTTCAAGCTTAAAACTATACTTGGGCGGGCACAGTGTGGCTCACGCCTGTAATTCCAGCACTTTGGGAAGCCAAGCCGGGTGGATCTCCTGAGGTCAGGAGTTCAAGACCAGCCTGGCCAAAATAGTGAAACCCGGTCTCTACTAAAAGTACAAAAAATTAGCTGGGCGTGGTGGCAGGTGCCTGTAATCCCAGCTATTCAGGAGGCTGAGGCAGGAAAATTGCTTGAACTTGGGAAGCGGAGGTTGCAGTGAGCCGAGATCGTGCCATTGCACTCCAGCCTGGGCAACAAGAGCGAAACTCTGTCTCAAAAAAAAAAAAAAAAAAAAAACCCTAAATCTATACAGTTGAAAGCAAAATAACTCATAGGATAATAAATGTATGTAATAAACCAGATAATAGGTGCTCTGAGAAGTTTTGAGTATATTTAGTCTTTTATCAAAGTTTATTGGCTTATTGCAAATCATGCGTTAACTTTCTGAGTTGGAGAGAAAGGCTGATGAAATTATTGTCGTAGCTAGATTTTCTCTTTGGATTGGTAAATGTTCTGCATCAATGCCTGACACTGAGGCTGCCAGCGGAAAGCTTAGCCATAGCACAGAGTAGAATATGAAAAACTAGGGTGTGTCAAGGCAAAGAAGTTGGAGATTGAAGATGTATGTGCTTGAGCGAAACTCTAGTAGTAATGTCTTTGTGTTCCAAAGTTATTGGTAAATATAACAGTAGCAAAGAACCATTTTGTTGCACTAATTAAATTAGTAGTCTTGAGGATTAGTTATTGGAGAAGGATAGAGGTGATCTAATGTCTCTGATTTTGCTAATCATCTTGATGTAGTAGAATTCCTTTATATAGCATTTGGTGTGGTGGCATTGTCGAAACAGATAAGAACAGCTTTTTACTAGGTAATAATTGTTTTGTCATAGAGCATTTGATTTACCATGTACTGAATAATTAGCAGTTTTATAGTTGGGGTCCTATTCCCTTTTTTCTTTTATTTTTTGTTTTTAAGAGACGGGGTCTCTCTTGACCATACTAGACTCAATCACCTGAGCTCAAGCGATCCACCCACCTCAGCCTCCGCAGTAGTGGGACAAGAAGCGTGTGCCACTGTGCCCAGCTTATTGCTTTTTGTCTATTGCTTTTTTTTTTAATCCTTATAACCTGCCTCTATCAATCTATCTTAAAATGATGTATGAATGTTATTAAGAGTGAATTTATTTTTCTTTTTTTCTTAGGAGCAGCCACCATATCCTAGCTACAATTCTAACTATTGGAATTCTACTGCGAGATCTAGGGCTCCTTACCCAAGTACATATCCTGTAAGACCAGAATTGCAAGGCCAGGTATGGTTTAAAAACAGAGACTTTCTGAACTTTTTCTTAATGAATAGATTTATTTTCAAAACCTGTGCAGATTTTAGAGCAGTGATGAGTGTGTGTTTTTTTTCTTTGCTTTAATGGGCTCCATCAATCTCATCTTAATGTTTTTAGCTCAGAGATAAGGAAATATCTAGGCAAATATACCTATAGCTTGAGGCATAATAAATTATTTTCCAGGACCCAGAAGGAACAAACATAAAATATACTTATTTTTGAAAACTTTACTGATTACAGACATTTAATTTAAAATATTTTAAAATTATAAAAAGTACAGAAAATATATACATTTTAAATCTAGCATGCAGGGCTGGGTGCAGTGGCTCACAGCTGTAATCCCAGCACTTTGGGAGACCAAGGCAGGCAGATCACCTGAGGTTAGGAGTTCAAGACCAGCCTGGCCAACATGGTGAAACTCCATCTCTACTAAAAATACAAAAATTAGCTGGGTGTGGTGGTGGGCGCCTGTACTCCCAGCTACTCGGGAGGCTGAGGCAGGAGAACCGCCTGAACCCAGGAGGCGGAGGTTGCAGTGAGCTGAGATCACACCATTACACTCCAGCCTGGGCGACGAGTGAGACTCCGTCTCAAAACAAAAAACAAACAAAAAAACCCCACGAAAATCTAGCATGCAGATTTGTCAATTTCTGTTTGCCACATTTGTTTCAGATTTTTAAGAAAGAAGTAAACCAAATACAATTGAAGCCCAATGACACTTCTTTTCATTTACTGAAATTTTATTTATTTATTTATTTGAAACAGGGTCATTTTCTGTTGCCCAGGCTGGAGTGCAGTGGTATGATCTCAGCTCACTGCACCCTCCTCCTCACAGGTTCAAGTGATTCTCCTGCCTCAGCCTCCTGAGTAGCTGGGACTACAGGCACACACCACCATACCCAGCTAATTTTTTGATTTTTTTTTTTTTTTTTGAGATGGAGTCTTGCTCTGTCGCCAGGCTGGAGTGCAGTGGCATGATCTTGGCTCATTGCAGCCTCCGCCTCCTGGGTTCAAGTGATTCTCCTGCTTCAGCCTCCCAAGTAGCTGGGACTACAGGCATGTGCCACCACACCTAGCTAATTTTTGTATTTTTAGTAGAGATGGGGTTTCACCATGTTGGCCAGTATGGTCTCAATCTCTTGACCTGGTGATCTGCCTGCCTCGGCCTTTCAAAGTGCTGGGATTATAGGCGTGAGCCACCACGCCCGGCCAGTTTTTGGATTTTTAGTAGAGATGGGGTTTCACCATGTTGGCCAGGCTGGTCTCAAACTCCTGACCTCAGGTGATCCGCCCACCTTGGCCTCCCAAAGTGCTGGGTTTACAAGCATGAGCCATCGTGCTCGGCCTGAAGTTATATTTATTACCCCATTTGTGTTTTTGTGCCTTTACTACTTGCCTGTGTATCCATAAACTTTATATACTTTTATTTTACATGTTTTTAAACTTGAGATGTGTGATTTCATACTAACAAACACACTCCTGCAGCTTGCTTCTTTTGCTCATCGTTGGTTTTCATCTTTCTGTTATATAAATACGAGATAAGAATTTCCTTAGGGTCTGGAATTTTTGGGTTTAGGTGTGTACTTTTTTTTTTTTTTTTTTTTTTTTTGAGATAGAGTCTCACCCTGTCACCCAGGCTGGAGTGCAATAGCGCGATCTCAGCTCATTGCAACCTCCGCCTCTCAGGTTCAAATGATTCTCCGCCTCAGCCTCCCGAGTAGCTGGGATTACAGGTGTCTGCCACCATGCCCGGCTAATTTTTGTATTTTTAATAGAGATGGGGTTTCACCGTGTTGGCCAGGCTGGTCTCGAACTCCTGACCTCGTGGTCCGCCCACCTTGGCCTCCCAAAGTGCTGGGATTACAGGCATGAGCCACCATGCCTGGCCAGGTGTGTACATTTTTATTAGATACAGCCAAATTACTTTTCAAAATGGTTGTACTAACAAAGGAGTAATTGTCATATTTGCATATTTCCATTATATTTTTTTATCTAGCCATATTACTGGGGTGTTTTTTTTTGTTTTTTTTTTTTTTTGTTTTTTTTTTTGGCCGAGTCTCGCTCTGTTGCCCAGGCTGGAGTGCAGTGGCGCGACCTCGGCTCACTGCAAGCTCTGCCTCCCGGGTTCACGCCATTCTGCTGCCTCAGCCTCCCGAGTAGCTGGGACTACAGGCGCCCGCCACCACGCCCAGCTAATTTTTTGTATTTCTAGTAGAGACAGGGTTTCACTGTGTTAGCCAGGATGGTCTTGATCTCCTGACCTCGTGATCCACCCGTCTCGGCCTCCCAAAGTGCTGGGATTACAGGCGTGAGCCACTGCACCTGGCTTTTGTTTGTTTTTTTGAGACAGGGTCTTGCTCTGTAGCCCAGGCTGGAGTATGGTGGCATGATGACAGCTCACTGCATCCTCGACCTCCTGGCTTCAAGTGATCTTCCCACTTCAGCCTCCTGAGTAGCTGGGACCATGGGTGCACATTACTATGCCCAGCTAATTTTTAAAATTTGTTCTGTAGAGTTAGGGTTTCGCCATGTTACCCAAGCTGGTCTCCCAATCCTGGGCTCAAGAGATCCTCCCACTTCAGCCTCCTGAGTAGCTAGGACTAAAAGTGTACATCACCATGCCTTGCTAATTTGTTTGCTTTTTTTGTAGAGACAGGGTCTTGCTGTGTTGCCTAGGCTGGTTTCAAACCCCTAGCCTCAAGCTATCCTCCCAAATTGGCCTCTCAAAGCACTGGGATTACAGGTGTGAGCCCTTGTGCCTGGCCTATAATAATCATGTATATATGAACTTAAGGATGAGGTTGATCAGAGATAATGGAATGTAAAATAAAGATCATGTTAGTACTTACCACAAACTTTCATTTTACTTGTGTCAGCCTCATCCCTGTGACTGAAATTGAGAAGTAGACATTGTTATTGCTAAATGTTACATAGTTGTGGTTTGGCCACATACTATAAAATCCACCCTTCAAAGTGTACAATTCATTTGGTTTTTAGTATATTCACAAAGTTTACCCATTATCACTGTCTAATTCTGGAACACTGTCATCACCCCGAATAGAAACCCTGAACTTGAAATGTCATTACTCCCTCCCCTCAGCTCTTGGCAACCTGTAATCTACTTTTTTATCTCTCAGGATTTTTCTAACCAGACATTTTGTATGGAATCATACAGTATGTGGCATTTTGTTTCTGGCTTCTGTCACTGTGTAATGTTTTCAAACTTCTCCATGTTCTCAGGATATACCAAATTTCATCAATTGATAGATATTTGGGTTGTCTTTCGTTTTTGTCTTTTATAAATGATGCTGCTACAACCTTCATGTACAAATTTTTATGTGGAAATATGTTTTTATTTATCTTGGGTCTATACCTAGAAATGGAATTGCTTGGTCATAGAGTAACCCTATATGTATCAATTTGAGGAACTAGCAAACGGTTTTCCAAAGGGATTGCACCATTTTATAGTCCCATCAGCAATGTATGAGGGCTCTGATTTCTCCACATCCTTACCAATACTTATTTTCCTTTAAAAAAATTATTATAGGCCGGGCGCGGTGGCTCACGCCTGTAATCCCAGCACTTTGGGAGGCCGAGGCAGGCAGATCACGAGGTCAGGAGATTGAGACCATCCTGGCTAACATGGTAAAATCCCATCTCTACTAAAAATGCAAAAAATTAGCCGGGCGTGGTGGCGGGCACCTGTAGTCCCAGCTACTTGGGAGGCTGAGGCAGGAGAATGGCATGAACCCAGGAGGCAGCTTGCAGTGAGCTGAGATTGTGCCACTGCACTGCAGCCTGGGCAACAGAGCGAGACTCTGTCTCAAAAAAAAAAATTATAGCCATCTTAGTGGGTGCAAAGTGGTTTTGATTTGCAGTTCTCTGATGACTAATGATTTGAGCATCTTTTAGTGTGCTTATTAGCCATTTGTATATCTTGTTTGGAGAAATGTCTATTTAGATTCTTTGGGCCTGGTGCGGTGGCTCACACCTGTAATCCCAGCACTTTGGGAGGCCAAGGTGGGCAGATCACTTGAGGTATGGAGTTTGAGACCAGCCTGGCCAACATGGTGAAACCCCTTCACTACTAAAAATACAAAAATTAGCTGGGCGTGGTGGCAGGCGCTTGTAATCCCAGCTACTTGGGAGGCTGAGGCAGGAGAATTGCTTGAACCCAGGAGGCAGAGGTTACAGTGAGCCGAGATGAGATCACGCCATTGCACTCCAGTCTGCGTGACAGAGCAAGACTCTGTCTCAAAAAAGAAAAGATTCCTTGACCATTTTAAAATTGGGTTGTCTTTTTATTGTTGAGTTTTAAGCATTCTTTATACATTCTAGATACAAGTTTCTTATCAAATGTAGTCATTCATTGCTTAATAATGGGGATATTTTCTCAGAAATGCATCAAGAGGCAATTTTGTCATTGTGCAAACATCATAGAGTGTACTTTCACAAGTCTAGATGGTACAGCTTACTATATACCTAGGCTATATGGTATAGCCTATGGCTTCTAGGCTACAAACCTGTACAGCATGTTACTGTACTGAATACTGTAAGCAATTGTAACACCATGGTTAGTACTGGTGTATCTAAACACATCTAAATATAGAAAAGATACAGTAAAAATACAGATAAAAGATAACAAAATATTATATCACACTTGTACAGGGCATTTGCCATGAATGGAACTTGCAGGACTGGAAGTTACTCTGGGTGAGTCAGTGAGTGAGTGGTGAGTGAATGTGAAGGTCTAGGATATTACTGTGCACTATTGTAGGCTTTATAAGCATTGTACACTTAGTTTACCATAAATTTGTATAACAATTCTTTCTTCAATAAATACTGTAACTTTTTTACTTTATAAACTTTATTTTATTTTAAGTTATTTTTTTGAGACAGGGTCTCACTCTGTCCCCCAGACTGGGGTGCAGTGGCGTGATCTCGGCTCTCTGCAACCTCCATCTCCTGGGTTCAAGCGATCCTGCCACCTCAGCCTCCCTAGTAGCTGGGACTACAGGCGTGTGCCACCACACCTGGCTAATTTTTGTGTTTTTAGTAGAGGCAGGGTTTCATCATGTTGGCCAGGCTGGTCTTGAACTCCTGACCTCAGGTGATCTGTCCACCTCAGCCTCCCAAAGTGCCGGGATTATAGGCCTGAGTGAGCCACTGCACCTGGCCTTATAAACTTTTAAATTTTAAAAAGCTTTGACTCTTTTATAGTAATACTTAGCTTAAAATACAAACATACTGTACAGCTGTACAAAAATGTTTCCTTGGGGCCGGGCGCGGTGGCTCACTCCTGTAATCCTAGCAATTTGGGAGGCCAAGGCGGGCAGATCACGAGGTCAGGAAATCGAGACCATCCTGGCTAATATGGTGAAACCCCGTCTCTGCTAAAAATACAAAAAATTAGCCGGGCGAGGTGGCAGTCGCCTGTAATTCCAGCTACTCGGGAGGCTGAGGCAGGAGAATGGTGTGAATCCGGGAGGCGGAGCTTGCAATGAACCGAGATCACGCCACTGCACTCCAGCCTGGGCAACAGAGCGAGACTCCCATCTCAAAAAAAAAAAAAAAAGTTTTCTTTCTTTTTTTTTTTAATTTCTTTATATCCTTATTCTATTAAGCTTTTTCCTGTTTTTAAGGTTTTTTTGTTTTTTGTTTGTTTTTTGTTTTTTTTTTTTGAGATGGAGTTTCACTCTGTCGCCCAGGCTGCAGTGCAGTGGTGCGATCTCGGCTTACTGCGACCTCCGCCTCCCAGGTTCAAGCAATTCTCCTGCCTCAGCCTCCTGAGTAGCTGGGACTACAGGCGCCCACCACCACGCCCGGCTAATTTTTTGTATTTTTAGTGGAGATGGGTTTCACCGTGTTAGCCAGGATGGTCTCGATCTCCCAACCTGGTGATCTGCCCTCCTTGGCCTCCCAAAGTGCTGGGATTAAAGGCGTGAGCCACCATGCGTGGCTGTTTTTGTATTTTTAAAACTGTTTGTGTTAAAAAGGGAGACGCAAACATACATTAGCATAGGCCAACCTAGGGTCAGGATCATCAGTATCACTGTCTTTCACCTCCTCATCTTGGGGCAATAAGACAGGTGGGAACTGTCATCTCCTATGATAAATGCCTGGTTCTGGAATACCTCCCAAAGGACCTCCTTGTGGCTGTTTTCCGGTTAACCTTTAAAAAATGTACAAGTAGAAGGAGTACATGCTAAGATAATGATAACAAATGTCGTATGTAGTAAATACATAAACCAGTAACATAGTCAATTATCATCATCAAGTATTATGTATTACATATAATTGTATGTGTTATATACAACTGGCACACAGCAAGTTTGTTTACACCAGCGTCACCATAAACAGGTGAGTAATGCATTGTGCTATCCATATGACAGCTACACTGTTGCAAGGCAATACAATTATTTGGCTCCATTATAATCCTATGGGACCACTGTTATGTATGCAGTCCACTGCTGACTGAAACATAGTTATGCAGTGCATGACTGTATATGATTTGCAAATAGTTTCTTCCATTCTGTGGGTTGGCTTTTCACACTCTTGATGGTGTCCTTTGAAACACAAAAGCTTTTAATTTTGATCAAGTGCAATTTTTTTGTTTTTTATTTTGTTGCTCCTGCTTTTGATGTCTTATCCAAGAAGACTTTGACTAACCAAAGATCATAAAGATTCACTCCTGTGATTTCTTTTTTTTTTTTTTTGAGGCAGAGTCTCGCTCTGTCGCCCAGGCTGGAGTGCAGTGGCACAATCTTGGCTCACTACAAGCTCCACATCCCAGGTTAAAGTGATTCTCCTGCCTCAGCCTCCCAAGTAGCTGGGAATAAAGGTGCCCGCCACCACACCTGGCTAATTTTTTGTTTATTTAGTAGAGACAGGGTTTCACCATGTTAGTCAGGATGGTCTTGACCTCCTGACCTCGTGGTCCACCTGCCTCAGCTTCCCAAAGTGCTGGGATTACAGACGTGAGCCACTGCGCCCAGCCCGATTTCTTCTCAGAATTTTTTTATAGTTTTAGCTCTCACATTTAGGTCTATGATTCATTTTGAGTTAATTTTTGCAATATGGTGCAAAGTAAGGCCCAAGTTCACTGCTTTACATGTGGATAGTTATGTCTCAGTATCATCTGTTGAAAGACTATGTTTTTTCCACTGAATTATCTTGGTACCCCCTTTTTTTTTTTTTTGAAACAGAGTCTTGTTCTGTCGCCCAGGATGGAGTGTAGTGGTGCAATCTCTGCTCACTGAAACCTCTGCTTCCCAGGTTCAAGTGATTCTTGCCTCAGCCTCCCGAGTAGCTAGGATTACAGGCGGCTGCCACCATGCCGGGCTAATTTTTTTTGTATTGTTAGTAGAGACAGGGTTTTACCATGTTGCACAGGCTGATCTGGATCGCCTGACCTCTAGTGATCCACCTGCCTCGGCCTCCCAAAGTGCTGGAATTACAGGCATGAGCCACCGTGCCCAGCCTGGGTACCCTTCCTAAAAATCATAAATGTAAGGGTTTATTTCCAGACTCTCAATTCTGTCCCATTAATCTATATGTCTTCCTTAAGCCAATACCAAACTGTTTTGATTACTGTGGCTCTGAAGTAAAATTTGAAATCAGGAAGTATGAGTCTCTCCAAAGAGATGGACTCTCTCTCTCTTTTTTCTTTTTCTTCTTCCATATGGTTTCGGCTATTCTGGGTTGCTTACATTTTCATATGAATTTTAGGATCAGCTTTTCAACTTATGTAAAAAAGGCAGCTGAGATTTTCTTTTTTTCTTTTTTTTTTTGAGCTGGAGTTTTGCTCTTGTTGCCTAGGCTGGAGTGCAATGGCACGATCTTGGCTCACAGCAACCTCCACCTCCCGAGTTCAAGCCATTCTCCTGTCTCAGCCTCTGGAGTAGCTGGGATTACAGGCATGCGCCACCACGCCCGGCTAATTTTGTATTTTTAGTACAGATGGGGTTTCTCCATGTTGGTCAGGCTGGTCTCGAACTCCGGACCTCAGGTGATCCGCTTGCCTTGGCCTCCCAAAGTGCTGGGATTACAGGCATGAGCCACCATGCCTGGCCAGGCAGCTGAGATTTTTATTGAGATTGCATCA
Organism: Homo sapiens; assembly: GCF_000001405.40. NCBI lineage: Eukaryota > Metazoa > Chordata > Mammalia > Primates > Hominidae > Homo > Homo sapiens. The sequence continues at coordinate 38,200,930 of NC_000008.11, forward strand.
TAGATCAGTTTGGAGAGTAGCATGTGTACTTTTATAGTTAATGTAAGAGGGAGACAAAACTCATAGTCATGAATTATAAGTTAATGTTAATTTTTCTGATTTCACTGATCTTACTGATAAAGATTGCTTTTTCTCATAACATTTTCCCCCTTAGGTAAAAGTATTTATTACATTCATATGTAGGTTCAAAAAAGATTAACTTATAATTTAGTAGTAACTTTTTAAAAGCAACAGTAATAATGTGCAAATGTTTTTAGATACAACATACAAGTTGTTGGATTTAAAATAACCCAAAGGTGTCTAGACATACACCTTTTTGAGGTGAGCACATGTGTATTTTCTGGCGAAACATCACATGGGGATTATACATTTATCATCATCTTTTTTTTGTTTGTTTCTTGAGATAGATAGTCTTGCTCTACCACCCAGTTCATTGTAGTGGCATAATCATAGATCACTGTAACCTTGAACTCCTGGACTTAAGTGATCCTCCTGTCTCAGTGTCCTAGGTACAGGTGCGTGCAACCACACCTGGTTTAATTTTTAAATATTTTGCAGAGATGGGGTCTCATTATGTTGCCTAGGCTGGTCTTGAACTCCTGGGCTCAGGTGATCCTTCTACCTCAGCATCCCAAAGTGTTGGGATTACAGGCGTGAGCCATTGCACTTGGTCTAGCTTCTATCCAAGATAGACTCCTATAGTGGTATATAGATATGACTGGTTTCCTTTTTAAAAAATTAAGCAGTATCATGTCTTTACCTTCCGGCTACCTCCTTGGGTTAGCCTTGCCACATGGTCATTCTTCTGTTTGGTTGGTTTTATAAATCTTAAAAATTCTCATTCAAAAGTAGCTATAATAAGCCAAGAATATGTAATTTCATGCATTTATTCTGAGTGTGGAATTTATATATATATATATATATATATATATATATATATATATATATATATTTTTTTTTTTTTTTTTTTTTTTTTTTTTAAGAAGCTGTTAATGTTGCTAAGGTGTCTGACCAATCTTCCAAGTTGATTAGCCTGCCATGTGCCAGGTGCAGTTTATGTGCTATGCAAGTATTAGGGCAGCATTTGAACTAAAGCCTTCCTCATTTTTCAGAACTTCATTCTTTAACTAATAGTGTGGACTCTTGAGAGGAGCATGGAGGGCGATTCATGGAGTAGGGTGTGAACAGCACGGAAGTTCACAATCTCAGGCTGTATCTCTGGAAGCAGAAGATATTGTCTCACCCAACTGTTAATAAAGTTCGTGAGGTTTTCTCAGTATTATTCAAACTCGGTTGAGTTGCTTCTGCTTTGTTCTTAAGTCCTTCTTTTTCCTTTTCTTTTCTTTCTTTTTTTGAGACCAGGTCTCCCTCTGTCACCCAGGCTGGAGTACAGTGGTATGATATTGGCTTACTGCAACCTCCACCTCCTGGGCTCAAGCGATCCTCCCACTGCAGCCTCCTGAGTAGCTGGGACTACAGGCACATGCCACCATTCCCAGCTAATTTTTGTATTTTTTGTAGAGAGGGGGTTGCCCCCGCTTATCTTAAACTCTTTGAGTTTAAGCAGTCCACCTGCCTTGGCCTTCCAAAGTGCTAGGATTACAGGCATGAGCCACTGTGCTCGGCCCCCTTTTTTTTTTTTTTTCTGTTTCTCAGGCTGGAGTGCAATGGCATGATCACAGCTCACTGCAGCCTCAATCTCCTCTGGCTCAGGTGATCCTCCCACCTTAACTGCTTGAGTGGCTGGGACCTTAGGCATACGCCACTACACCTGGCTAATTTTTGTATTTTTTGTAGAGATGGGGTCTCACTTTGTTGCCCAGGCTGGTCTGGAACTCCTGACCTCAAGCGATCCACCTGCCTTGGTCTCCCAAAGTGCTAGAATTACAAGAATGAGCTACCACGCCTGGCCAAGTCCTTCATTTTTATGACATACTTTAATATGTAACAGAAATCTGTTCTGAAGTCCTAGAAGCATTTTCTTCCTTTTTGGATTCCGTCTTATGACTCTAAATGGTGCAAGGAACTCCTGTATTTTCTTTGCTGTGCTCCAAGTGTCAACCTAAAATAACAACAGAGAGAAGGACTCTTCAAAGAAATGAATCTGTTTGGAAATAAACAGAGAATTACAATTTCAGATGCGCATACCATAGATAATCATCCCCTACATATCTGGAGAAGTTGTAGTAAGGGGAAACTTTTAAAGGGAAAGAGGAGAAGTCCATATAAGCTGTTTTGAGACAAACATCATTGGTCACAGGGGCCTGTTGTAGGAGCTGATGTTACTGGAAACTCATTGCTAAGCGAGTGTTCTTATGAAGATGGCTTATGTGAAACTGCAGTCTTGAGGAATTTTTTTTTTTTCTTTTTTTGGACAGAGTTTCACTCTGTCGCCCAGGCTGGAGTGCCATGGCACGATCTTGGCTCACTGCAAGCTCCGCCTCCCGAGTTCACGCCATTCTCCTGCCTCAGCCTCCTGAGTAGCTGGGACTACAGTCGCCTGCCACCACGCCCAGCTAATTTTTTTGTATTTTTAGTAGAGACAGGGTTTCACCGTGTTAGCCAGGATGGTCTCGATCTCCTGACCTCGTGATCCGCCCACCTTGGCCTCCCAAAGTGCTCAGATTACAGGTGTGAGCCACCGTGCCTGGTTGAGGAATTTTTTGTGATAAGTCCTGTTACAGACATATGTAGGACAAGCAAGATGAGTAGGGCCTACAGGGATTTTTTGTGAGTTTTTAGAAAGCCCTGTGATATAGGCTGGGTGCAGTGGCTCATACCTGTAGTCCAAGCTACTTGGGAGGCTGAGGCAGGAGGATAACTTGAGCCTGGGAGATCTAGGCTGCAGTGAGCTATGATGGTGCCACTGTACTCTAGCCTGGGTGACAGAGTGAGACCCTGTCTCAAAAAAAAAAAAAAAAAAAGTCCTTGTGATAATACTTATCGCAGACATGTGTGCATGAGATCCCCTCCTTCGTGACCTCCCCCTCCATTTTGGGTCTGATGTAAGTGACTCCATCTTGGCATTGGCAACTTTCACACAAGCTGCTTTTCAGACAAAGACTTAAAAACTTTGCCACGTTTCTGAAATAGGATCTTTAGCTCATCCTTAACAAACATCTTTAGCAACTGCAAGGCTGTTATATAATCTGATTCTGTGTTCTTTTGTAAACATGCATGTGACAGCTTTGTGATCTGTCAGGACAGTGGTTATTTGGGAAAAGAAGCAATGAACTCATGAAGGCATCTCAAAACCAGGAAGTAATTCCAGGAATCAAGGAAATTTTCAAGCATCAAAAGTAATGGCTGGCCAGATGTGGTGGCTCACACCTGTAATCCCAGCACTTTGGGAAGCTGAGGCGAGTGGATTGCTTGAGCCCAGGAGTTCGAGATCAGCCTGGGCAACATGGCCAAACCCTGTCTCTACAAAAAATACAAAAATTAGCCAGGCATGGTGGTGCATGCCTGTGGTCCCAGTTACTTAGGATGCTAAGGTGGGAGGATTGCTTGAGCCCGGAGTTTGAGGCTGCAGTGAGCCGTGATTGTGCCACTGCATTCTACCCTGGGTGTCTTGGGGAGAAAAAAAGTAATGGCCAGGCATGGTATAATCCCAGCACTTTGGGAGGCTGAGGTGCCAGGATCACTTCAGCCTAAAAGTTTGAGACTAGCCTGGCAACATAGCGTGACCTCATTTCTATTTAAAGAAAAACAACAACAACGAAAAAAAAAACAAAAACAACGCCTGTGAGAAGGGAAAAAGAAAAAAAATAAACAACAAAAGCCACATAAAAGCAATGAGAATCACACACTAAAGTAACATGAACCCATCTATTGGTTTCAATGGGTTATCAGTACATGGCCGTCGTGTATTTATTCTTGGAGTATTTCCTTGGAGTATTTTGAAGCAATTTCAGATATCATTTTATCACTTATAAATACCTAAGTATGTTTCTTTAAAATATAAGGAAGTTTTAAAAACATAACCACAATGTTTTTAAACATTTTTAATTAAAAATTAAAACTTAAAAGGAAAAAAACAACCTTAAAAATAATTATTTCATATCATTAAATATCTGGTCAGTTCTAACAGTAAAATATTTATTTAGTTAGTTAGCTAGTTGAAGACAGGGTCTTACTGTCACCCAGGCTAGAGAACAGTGGCTTGATTATAGCTCACTGTAACATTGAACTCCTAGGCTCAAACGATCCTCCTGCCTCAGCCTCCTGTGTAGCTAAGGACTATAGCTGTGCCATACCACGCCCAGCTAATTAATTTTTTTTTTTTTTTTTTTTTTTTTTTTTGTAGAGATGAGGTCTTGCTGTTTGCACAGGCTGTTCTCAGACTCCTGGGCTCAAGCAATCCTCCCACCTTGGCTTCCCAAAACGCTGGGATTTTTACAGGCATGAGTCTGTGCGCCTAGCCATAACAATAAAATTTGAAGACTGAATACAATTTTTTCAATGAATAGTCTTTAATCTACTTAAAGATTCCATTGTTATAGGACATTTAGGTAGTTTACAATTTTGTGTGATTGTAAATAATGCTGCGATGAAGAACTTCATGTCTATAACTTTTTCTCTAGTTGAATCATTTCCTTAGGATTTCTAGAAGTTGAATAACAGTACAAAAAGTCACATAATGTTTTATTAAGTCTCCAATTGTGTGTGTGATGTATTACGGAGTTCTTTGTTTATGCCCGAAGACCTTAACAGCCTCTTAGTAGTTTTAACATAGTGGTGGTTCATGGTCTTCTGCTCAGGGAATGCATTGCTGACTGTTTATTATACCTCATCCTGCATGGAATTCTTTGGTCATGGGTATCCTCATACCTAAAGTGGGAAAGATTATATAGTCTTCGAGATAGAGATGAGTATAGGAAAACTGGATTCTGTGTTTTCACTGTTTTTAAAGGGTAAAGTAGAAATTAATAGAACACGTTGAGGTGATCATTTAAATTTAGCATTAAGCTTGAATCTTTTTTTAAAAATTACTTTTTTTTTTTTTTTTAAATAGATGGGGTTTGACTATATTCCTGAGGCTGGTCTGTAACTCCTGAGCTCAAGTGATCCTCCCTCCTAGGCTGGATGCAGTAGCTCATGCCTGTAATCCCAGCACTTTGGGAGGCTGAGGCGGGTGGATATGAGGTCAGGAGTTCGAGACCAGCCTGGCCAAGATGGTGAAATCCCATCTCTACTAAAAGTACAAAAATTATAGCATGCCTGTAATCCCAGCTACTTGGGAGGCTGAGGCAGGAGAATCGCTTGAATCTGGGGGGTGGAGGTTGCAGTGAGCCAAGATCTTGCTACTGCACTCCAGCCTGGGTGACAGAGCAAGACTCCATCTTAAAAAAAAAAAAAAAAGTGATCCTCCCTTCTCAGCCTCCCAAAGTGCTGGGATTACAGGCATGAGCCTGTGCGCCTGCCTAGCTTGAATCTTGTTTGGATTATTAAACTGAGGATTCTGGGTGTGGATAAGAGTCTGAATAGGTTATTTAAAACTACAGTGAGCAATATATGAGGAGTTTGTTGTTGGTATCATTTGGGATGCAGAGTGATGGTGTAATACAAAGAACTGGACTTCAGAGTCAGATCTGGGTTCATGTCATGACCCAGCCATGATAATACTAACAACAGTCATAATACAAATAATTACCATTTATTGAGCATACTATATGCCAGACACTATGCTAAACCTTTTATATATGTCATCTTATTTAATTTTGACAGTAATCCTCAAAGATACGTTTATGATCTTCATTTTCCTGATGGAGAAACTGAAGTTAGGGAAGGTTAAATACAAAGCCTATGGCAGAGCTAGGTCTGTCTCTATAGTCTTTTTAAATAATTTTTTTGTTTTCTTATACTTTCTGAGACAGAGTCTCACTCTGTTGCCCAGGCTGGAGTGCAGTGGTACAACCATGACTCACTGCAGCCTTGACCTCCTGGGCTCAAGCAATCCTCTCACCTCAGCCTCCTGAGTAGCTTGGACTACAGATGTGTGCCATGAGGCCTAGATAATTTTTTTTTTTTTTTTTTTTTTGAGATGAAGTCTTACTCTTGTCCCCCAGGCTGGAGTGCGATGGCACGATCTTGGCTCACTGCAACCTCCGCCTCCTGGGTTCAAGCGATTCTCCTGCGTCAGCCCCCCGAGTAGCTGGGATTACAGGCGCCTGCCACCATGCCCGGTTAATTTTTGTATTTTTAGTAGAGATGGGGTTTCACCATTTTGGCCAGGCTGGTCTAGAACTCCTGACCTCAGGTGACCCACCCGCCTCGGCCTCCCAAAGTGCTAGGATTACAGGCTTGAGCCACTGTGCCTGGCAATGCCTGGCTAATTATTTTATTTTATTTTTGTAGAAACAGGGTCTCACTATGTTGTCCAGGCTGGTCTCAAACTCCTGACCTCAAATGATTCTCCCACCTTGGGCTCCCAAAGTGCTGGGATTACAGGCATGAGCCACTGTGCCTGGCCTGCATTAGTGATTAACATCTTCTCAAAGTTTTCAAGTTTAGGCATTAAGTCAGGGCATTTCAGCTCTTCTACTAATTCATCTTTTTTTCACTCAACTTGGTTTTTTTCAGAGTTTGAATTCTTATACAAATGGAGCGTATGGTCCAACATACCCCCCAGGCCCTGGGGCAAATACTGCCTCATACTCAGGGGCTTATTATGCACCTGGTTATACTCAGACCAGTTACTCCACAGAAGTTCCAAGTACTTACCGTTCATCTGGCAACAGCCCAACTCCAGTCTCTCGTTGGATCTATCCCCAGCAGGACTGTCAGACTGAAGCACCCCCTCTTAGGGGGCAGGTTCCAGGATATCCGCCTTCACAGGTGAGTTGTTTTCTATTGGGAAAAAAATGAATTCAAAGTCTCTGCCTCTTGTAAACAGTGGAAGAGCATCTGTTCATACTAGTGCTGATTTAATAAGACACTTCTAGATTGGGAAGGCTTTTATATTGATGCCTTTCTTATTTGTGGCAGCTATTGCAGTAAATGGACTTTGGCTGAAGGTCATAATCATAAATTTTTATACTGAAAGTAATCTTTAGAGAGTTGCTGCTTGAAAGTTTCCCTATCTTAGCCTTTTTTTTTTTTTTGTGGCGTGATCTTGGCTCACTGCAACCTCTACCTCCTGGGTTCAAGCAATTCTTCTGCCTCAGCCTCCCAAGTAGCTGGGATTACAAGCACGCGCCATCACGCCCAGCTCATTTTTGTATTTTTAGTAGAGATGGGGTTTCACCATGTTGGCCAGGATGGTCTTGATCTCCTGACCTCGTGATCTGCCCCCCTCGGCCTCCCAAAGTGCTGGGATTACAGGCATGAGCCACCGTGCCAGGCAAATCTTAGCCTTTTTTAGCACCCTGTTAGGTTCTTTTTTTTTTTTTTTTTTTTGAGACGGAGTCTCGCTCTGTCGCCCAGGCTGGAGTGCAGTGGCACGGTCTAGGCTCACTGCAAGCTCCACCTCCTGGGTTCATGCCATTCTCCGGCCTCAGCCTCCCGAGTAGCTGGGACTACAAGCGCCCGCCACCGCGCCCAGCTAATTTTTTTTGTATTTTTAGTAGAGATGGGGTTTCACCTTGTTAGCCAGGATGGTCTCGATCTCCTGACCTCGTGATCCGCCCATCTCAGCCTCCCAAAGTGCTGGGATTACAGGCGTGAGCCACCGCGCCTGGCCAGGTTCATGTTTTTTTAATATTCTGTGAATAACTATGTTTATTTCTCTGTTCACTTCAAGAGGAGTTCTAACATGTCTTTATTTGTGCTTCCTTATAGCATATGGGTCCGTTTGTTTATAGTATCTATGGGACAGACTTGGGTTTCATCCATTGAATTTTTAGGCCTTATTCCTTCTGAGTTTTATTGTCATTAAATCTACCCCTGGTATCTTTGGAACCAACTTTTTGAGGCTTGGAGAAATTACTGCAGCTGATTAATTAGATTTACTACAGTTTAGTCCGGTAGCAGCTAATGTATACTCTGTTAAGAAGAGAGGAAGCATCTCAGAATCTGCCTGTAGCAGAATATTTTTATTATAAGTTTTTCACAATGACTGGTATATTTCTTCTTCTCAATCTAGAACCCTGGAATGACCCTGCCCCATTATCCTTATGGAGATGGTAATCGTAGTGTTCCACAATCAGGACCGACTGTACGACCACAAGAAGATGCGTGGGCTTCTCCTGGTGCTTATGGAATGGGTGGCCGTTATCCCTGGCCTTCATCAGCGCCCTCAGCACCACCCGGCAATCTCTACATGACTGAAAGTACTTCACCATGGCCTAGCAGTGGCTCTCCCCAGTCACCCCCTTCACCCCCAGTCCAGCAGCCCAAGGTAGGAGACCTAAATGTTGTTCCTTTAATGTGTGTGTAATTAGGAGAACATAACATGGTTTATATAGTTTCTGTACTGGTTTGTGTTAAATGGGGACTAATTACAAAAAGTTGGTGACTACTTATCTATAGCTTTACCTCAGCTCGGTTTCCTTTTTCTTTTTTTTAATAGACTTTATATTTAGAGAAGATTTAGATTCACATCGTTTTTGTTAAAAGACAGAAAGATACACATTTTCTGTTTGTTGTAATTCTTCTAAACGTTAAATGCAAAGATGCATTTTACTACTTCAAATAATCTATGAACAGAAGACAAAACCAATGTGAAATATCTGTAGCATGAGCTTGTATTTAAACCACAGACTTGAACATTATCACTTGTGGCTGTGTTCCTTTTCAAGACCTTGCTTGAGGTTTTTAACCTTTTAGGGGAAAAACTAATTCTTATTAATTAGGTCACAGGATGGACTATGAGGTGCTCATGGTGATGGACCTGCCACAGGGCAGGTTCCAGCCATTATAACTCAAAAATTCTGTGCCTTTTGTCTGACAGGGCACTCCCTTTTATCTTCTTAGGACTGTGTTTTTTTGCAAATGATTAAGGAGAGGGGTCCAATTTTATTGTTAGGGAATCTTTTCATGTACCTTTCTGGTCAAGTGAAAGATGTGGGCTAACAAATTTGATGTTGATGCATTCCCATTAAAACAGCTCTTTTCCTCTTTTTGCTCTCCCACTCCAAGGATTCTTCATACCCCTATAGCCAATCAGATCAAAGCATGAACCGGCACAACTTTCCTTGCAGTGTCCATCAGTACGAATCCTCGGGGACAGTGAACAATGATGATTCAGATCTTTTGGATTCCCAAGTCCAGTATAGTGCTGAGCCTCAGCTGTATGGTAATGCCACCAGTGACCATCCCAACAATCAAGATCAAAGTAGCAGTCTTCCTGAAGAATGTGTACCTTCAGATGAAAGTACTCCTCCGAGTATTAAAAAAATCATACATGTGCTGGAGAAGGTCCAGTATCTTGAACAAGAAGTAGAAGAATTTGTAGGAAAAAAGACAGACAAAGCATACTGGCTTCTGGAAGAAATGCTAACCAAGGAACTTTTGGAACTGGATTCAGTTGAAACTGGGGGCCAGGACTCTGTACGGCAGGCCAGAAAAGAGGCTGTTTGTAAGATTCAGGCCATACTGGAAAAATTAGAAAAAAAAGGATTATGAAAGGATTTAGAACAAAGTGGAAGCCTGTTACTAACTTGACCAAAGAACACTTGATTTGGTTAATTACCCTCTTTTTGAAATGCCTGTTGATGACAAGAAGCAATACATTCCAGCTTTCCTTTGATTTTATACTTGAAAAACTGGCAAAGGAATGGAAGAATATTTTAGTCATGAGTTGTTTTCAGTTTTCAGACGAATGAATGTAATAGGAAACTATGGAGTTACCAATATTGCCAAGTAGACTCACTCCTTAAAAAATTTATGGATATCTACAAGCTGCTTCTTACCAGCAGGAGGGAAACACACTTCACACAACAGGCTTATCAGAAACCTACCAGATGAAACTGGATATAATCTGAGACAAACAGGATGTGTTTTTTTAAACATCTGGATATCTTGTCACATTTTTGTACATTGTGACTGCTTTCAACATATACTTCATGTGTAATTATAGCTTAGACTTTAGCCTTCTTGGACTTCTGTTTTGTTTTGTTATTTGCAGTTTACAAATATAGTATTATTCTCTACTTCTTGGTACATTTTGTAGTAATATGTTTAATATAATTATTCAAGAGACTATATTGACAGCCAGATAGTATGGCAGTTCTGAAAAAATTTATATCTTTTCACCACTTGAATATACTGCAATGTGTAGTGAGTAAATTGTCTCCCTTTTTCTATAGATCATTAGGTTAGAGTTTTTTTCTTCTTTTTTTTTTTTTTTTTTTTTTACCACTTCTGCTGTTCATGGTAGTAGTGGAAGGTAAATTTGGAAATGGCATTGACATAAAATGAAAATGTTTACGGACACTTTTCTTTTTTGCTTTTTTATTGTATTTGGATAAAGATCCACTTAAAAGTTATCTGTTTTTTCCTGTTTTTTTTTTTTTTCCCCAAAGTGTAGTTATGTTTTCACTATTGCTGCTTCTATAGAGGGCATTGTGATAGAGAGTTACAGATGAAACATTAAATGCCACAGTGAGTAGAAATAATTACTACAAAAAGTAATAAATATGATTACTTGGTAATATCATTCTCCATCTAAAATACTAGTTTCACCTGTGAGCAGATTTCAGCTCAGTTTATAGTTAAAAACAATGAGGGTAAAATGGGATTCATGCTCAGGGAATGAATCAGCCATAGTTAGAGTGGGAAATTATTATTTTCTTCATTTAAAGGTAGATTTTATGTTTATTTCCCTAAATTGCATAAGATAAAATTGTCTGTTTAATAAAAAGACATTTATTACCATTATTAACAGTCATTTTAGAGCCAAATTTAAGAAAAGGATATTGAAAGGGTCTTTATTGGCCTTGTTTGGGTAACTCTATGCTGTTAGATAGAAGAGACTTAGGTAAATAACTTTTTATGTCTGAGGTGAGTACACAATATTGGTTCTTGGAAAAATAGCTGTTTCTTCATAAGATACCCAAGTGATAATTTTTTTTCCCCTAGACTGTCAGGCCTATGAGTAAATACTAAATCTATTAGCTGTCCCCACTCATAAACCAAACCAAACCAATACAAACAGATGAGGAGAGGAAATGTAGTAAAAATACTGGCTGGGTCTTATGATTGGGATGAGTGATTTTATAAGATAATATGGTGATAATTTTATTCTAGGATTTTATTTTTGGCCTAATATAGGAATGTTTAAAAAAGGCTTTTCTATGAAAATTAGAAATTTATACTTGAAATTAAAAGTCTAGAAGGGGGAGGACCTTAAAGCTAAGCTACCAGTAAGACAATGAATAATTCAGAAGAGAACACTATTCTTTTACTGACTGAGTGCCCAAGATGCCAATTTCCATGAAGTCTTGATTTATATATATGTACACATGTTATGCACATACATGTTTGTTTTCTAACAGTTATTTTTTAAGCTTTTGAGATAATTTTAGACTTACAGAAGAGTTGTAAAAGTAGTAGAGTTCTTGTATACTCTGCACCCACCTTGCCCTTATGTTAACATCTTACGTAACAATAGAACATTTGTCAAAATTAAGAAATTAACCTTGATATAATACTAACTAAAGTAGAAAGTTTAAAAAGTAGAGATTTTAGTCTTTTCACTAATGTCCTTTTACTGTTCCAAGACCCAGCCTTGCATTTAGCTATCATGCCTACGTCCTGTCTTCCAGTCTGTGACAGTGTATCATAACAGGGGATACCTGATGTTGTAATGTATTTCTGGTGTTGTTAACCTTGATCACTATGCTAAGGTGGTGTCTGCTAGGATTCGCTACTGTAAACTTACTGTGTTTTCCTTGTAATTATTGAATATTTGCTGGAGATACCCGGAGACTATGCAAATGTCCCGTTTCTGCTTAAACTTTTGCTCATTTTACTATCCATTGGCAGATCTTGCTTGTGGCAGTTACTACTGTGGTGTTCTAATGGTGATTTTCTATTTCTCTCAATCCTTCTACATTTATTATTGGAATTCTTCTGTAAGGAAGAGTTGTCAGTTCTGGATTTATATTTTTAACTATAATAAGATATTCAGGATAAGTATAGATTTAGAACTTAAAGATGTTAAATCATGTTAAAATTATTCCAAATACCAATATCAAAGAAAACTAAGTTGGTAATCTATCTCAGAAAATATATGAACTTAAGAAGGAAAATAGTATTTATGATTTGTAGAATTGGTTCAACTTTTGACTTAATACTGACTTTGGACTGAATTCAAAGTTTTCTTGAAATTTCACATCTGGACTTTTTAAAGTGTCTACATTTATATTACTTTGGGGATCATTTTGTCAAAGTCTTGAATAAAGTTACCCAGTCCTGGCATGATAAACACAACTATGTTTTTTTTTTTTTATAATAACCCTCTGTTGTTCCAAGTATGAATGCCAATGAAACTGTTTAAACAAATAAGCCCTAATGAAGTATACAGGGGTTGGATTATATGTGTCTCCACATGTTGGTGCAGAATTCTTTTAAATGCTTTTAAAAATGGGGTTCTGAAAACAGTTTTTCAGTTGGTTAATGTAAATAATACCATTAAAGCTAGGCAGGTTAAAAAAATTTTGAAGAATGTAGATTAAATAGGCATAAAAAAGTTTTTGGGGGATGGATAGTTGATGGAGCTTTTCTTTTACAACTTTACTTTTTTTTACTTATTTTTTTAAAAAAGTAAGGAGTTTACCTCAATTCGTAGAAGTTACGAGTTTAAAAAGTCAGTTCTATGAAAGGCAGCATTCTCCTGATCCCACCCCCATTTCTCCTTCTCTAAAGGCAACCACTTTCAACTGAGTTTTTCTTTTGTTAATCAAAAAATTTTGTTTTTAGAGACAAGAGTCTTGCTATGCTGGTCTTAAATTCCTGGGCTCAAGTGATCCTTCTGCCTCAGCCTCCTGGGTAGCTGCGACTACAGGCATGGACCACCTCAACCAGCTTCAACTGAGTTTTTATGTTTTTTTTGAGACGGAGTCTTGCTCTGTCGCCCAGGTGGGAGTGCAATGGCGCGATCTCGGCTCACTGCAACCTCCACTTCCCAGGTTCAAGCCATTCTCCTGCCTCAGCCTCCTGAGTAGCTGGGATTGCAGACATGTACCACCACGTCCAGCTAATTTTTGTATTTTTAGTAGAGGCGGGGTTTCACCATGTTGGCCAGGCTGGTCTCGAACTCCTGACCTCAGGTGATCTGCCCACCTTGGCCTCCCAAAGTGCTGGAATTACAGGTGTGAGCCACTGTGCCTGGCCAGGTTTCCAGGTTTCTCTCTCTCTCTCTTTCTCTCTCTCTCTCTCTCTCTCTCTCTCTCTCTCTCTCTATATATATATATATATGTTTTCTTTACTTTTTTTTTTTTTGAGACAGAGTCTTGCTCTGTCACCCAGGATGGAGTGCAGTGGCATGATCTCGGCTCACTACTGCCTGAAATTCCTGGGCCCAAGGGATCCTCCCGCCTCAGCCTCCCCAGTAGCTGGGAGGCATGCATTATGGCACCTGGCTAATTTTGTAATTTTTTGTAGAGATGGAGTCTTGCCATGTTACCCAAGCTAGTCTCAAATGCCTGGCTGGGCTCAAGTGATCCTCCCTCCTTGGCTTCCCAAGTGCTGGGATTACAGATGTGAGCTACCACACCTGTCCTCAATATACTTATTTGGTAGTTTCATTGTACGTTATCCTGACTATGTAAATGCTAAGGAGAGTTTAGCTATATAGTAACCTGATTACTTTTCCTTTCCTAACAACTTGTTTTCCCTGGAATTAATCATCTGTCATATTTGTTTTGTTTGCTTATCTACCTAAGACTGATTTGACCTTCTCTCAGTCGTCTAAGTCTCTCAAGATGCTCAGACAAGGCCCGGCATGGTGGCTAATGCCTGTATGCCCAGCACTTTGGAAGGCCAAGGCGGGAGGATTGCTTGAGCCCAGGAGTTCAAGACCAGCCTGGGCAACATAGTGAGACCTCGTCTCTATTTAAAAAAAAAATTAAAAAATTAAGATAAATACAAAATGATTAAAAATTATTAATATTGGCTGGGCGCGGTGGCTCACACCTGTCATCCTACTGCTTTGAGAGGCTGAGGTGGGTAGACAACTTGAGGTCAGGAGATCCTCCTGGCCAATATGGCAAAACCCCATCTCTACTAAAAATACAAAAATTAGCTGGGTGTGGTGGCGCATGCCTGTAATTCCAGCCACTTGGGAGACTGAGGCAGGAGAATCACTTGAACTCAGGAGGTGGAGGTTGCAGTGAGCTGAGATCGTGCCACTGCACTCCAGCCTGGGCAACAGTGAGATTCCGTCTCAAAAAAAAAAAAATAAATAAATATATATATATAAAACATATAAATATATATTAGAAATATATATTTAAAATATTAAATATACATTAAATATGTAATATATATTTAATATATAATATATATTTAAAATATATATAATATAAATATATATAATATATATATATAAATATTTTATCAATTTCAAACTTCTGAAGAGTCTATCCTGAACCCTTCTGACTGGAAAACTAGTATGTTCCTGGCATAGTACATAGGGTCATGCTGTGGATTCTTTTTGTCTCTTCTTTTGGTTTTCTGTTTTTTGTATCCTATGTCTTTCTCTTTTTGTTTATTCCGTCATTTGGTGGAGCATATTCTCCAGGTGCTTCCTGGAAAAGGGTGCATGGGAAATAATTTATTTTGATCTTGCATATTTGAAAATGTCTGTTCCACCTAGCCAATGGATTGATAGTTTGGCTGGGTATAGAATTCTAGGAAATGATTATCTTAAGGATTTTGAAGGCATTGTTATATTGTCTTGTAGATTCCAGAATTGCTGTTGAGAAGCATATGCCATTCTGATTCAAGATCCTTTGTATAAAACCTGATATTTTTCTCTAGAAGCTTATAGAATTTTTGGGGGGGCCCCATTTGTTCTGAAATTTCCTAAGAATAGCTTTGGTTTAGGTCCATTTTTATCCGTTTTGCTGGGGCCATTTCATTCTGGCAACTCATACCATTAAGTCCTGTGAAATTTTTTGATTTTTTGTTTGTTTGTTAATTTCCCTCTTTCCTCCATCCCAGTCTTCTCTGTTAATACTTTCTAGAATTACTACTGTTTTGACTGTAGGCCTCATAGACTGGTTCTTTAATTTTCTTATGTTTTCTGTTTGTTTGTTTTTTTTTTAATGTTTTGCCTTTTTGTGGTACTTTGTAGGAGATTTATACAACTTTATCACTTTTTATTTTTATTTTCTGTGTGACAGGGTCTCATTCTGTCATCCAGGCTGGAGTTCAGGGGCACAATCTCTGCTCACTGCAACCTCTGCCTTCCTGGTTCAGTTGATCATCCTGCCTCAGCCTCCTGAGTAGCTGGGTTACAGGTGCACACCGTCACAACTGGCTAATTTTTTTTGTATTTTTTTGTAGAGACAGGGTTTTGCTAAGTTGCCCAGGCTGGTTTTGAAATCCTGAGCTCAAGCGATACACCCACTTTGCCTTCCCAAAGTGCTAAGATTACAGGCATGAGCTACCATGCCTGGCGAACTTTTTCTTCTGACTTCTAAAACATTGTGTCTTACATTTCTTCCATCTTTTTTTTTGGTTTTTTTTTTAGAAAGACTGTCACTCGGTCACCCAGGCTGGAGTGCAGTGGTGTGATCTCAGCTCACTGCAACCTCCAACTCCCAGGTTCAAGCAATTCTCCTGCCTTGGACTCCCGAGTAGCTGGGACTATGGGGACCCACCACTACGCTGGCTAATTTTTTGTATTTTTAGTAGAGATGTGGTTTCACCCTGTTTGCTAGGCTGATC
Organism: Homo sapiens; assembly: GCF_000001405.40. Lineage (NCBI taxonomy): Eukaryota > Metazoa > Chordata > Mammalia > Primates > Hominidae > Homo > Homo sapiens. The sequence goes on from NC_000008.11 coordinate 38,216,764, forward strand.
TTGAACTCCTGACCTCAAGTGATCCACCCACCTCCACCTCCCAAAGTACTGGGATTATAGGCATAAGCCACCATGCCCAGCCTCTTCTATCATTAAAAAAAAAAAAAAAAATTGGCTGGGCGTGATGGCTCACGCCTGTAATCCCAGCACTTTGGGAGGCCGAGGCGGGAGGATCACAAGGTCAGGAGATCGAGACCATCCTGGCTAACATGGTGAAACCCCATCTCTACTAAAAATACAAAAAATTAGCCAGGTGTGCTGGCAGACACCTGTAGTCCCAGCTACTGGGGAGGCTGAGGCAGGAGAATGATGTGAACCCGGGAGGCGGGCTTGCAGTTGAGCTGAAATCGCACCACTGCACTCCAGCCTGGGCGACAGAGCGAGACTCCATCTCAAAACAAACAACCAAAAAAACAAACTTTTGGCCAGTTGCAGTGGCTCACTCCTGTAATCCCAGCACTTTGGGAGGCCGAGGCGGGTGGATTATGAGGTCAGGGGTTCGAGACCAGCCTGGCCAACATGGTGAAACCCCGTCTCTACTAAAAATATAAAAATTAGCTGGGTATGGTAGCACATGCCTGTAATCCCAGCTACTCAGGCTGAGGCATGAGAATCACTTGAACCCAGGAGGCGGAGGTTGCAGTGAGCTGAGATCGCGCCACTGCACTCCAGCCTGGCGACACAGTGAGAGTCCGTCTCAAAACACACACACACACACACACACCATTTTTTTAGAGACAGGATCTGACTATATTGCCCAGGCTGGTCCTGGTCCTGAATTCCTGACCTCAAGTGATCCTCCTGCCTCAGTCTCCAAAAGTGTTAGGATTACAGACATGAACCACTGCGCCTGGCCCTATCATATTTTTAACTTCCAAGGATATTTTTGTTTGCTGGGTTCCTTTATGAGATTCTGCTTTTGTTTACAGTTGGAGCATCTTGTATCTCTGAGGATATTAATGATGATTTCTTGGTGTTTTCTTCTTTCGAATAATGGATTTCCTCAAAATTGCTTTTTTCTTTTAGTCTTTGTCATTATCACATTATCACGTTAGAGGTATTTCTCAGATATCCGTTTTTTTTGTTTTTTTTTTTTTTTTTTTTTTTGAGATGGAGTTTCACTCTTGTTGCCCAGGCTGGAGTGCAATGGCATGATCTCTGCTCACTGCAACCTCCGCCTTCCGGGTTCAAGAGATTCTCCTGTCTCAGCCTCCTCAGTAGCTGGGATTACAGGCATGTGCCACCACACCCGGCTAATTTTGTATTTTTAGTAGAGACGGGGTTTCTCCATGTTGGTCAGCTGGTCTCAAACTCCTGACCTCAGGTGATCCCCCCTCCTCGGCCTCCCAAAGTGCTGGGATTACAGGCATGAGCCACCACGCCTGTTCTTGCTTGTGTGTTCGTGTGTGTGTGTGTGTGTGTGTATTTATTTTATTTTGGAGACAGGGTTTTATACCATAGCCTAGGCTAGAGTGCAATGGTGTGATCCTAGCTTGCTGCAGCCTCAACCTCCCAGGCTCAATTGATTGTACCCTAGCCTGCCCAGTACCTGGGACTACAGCCATGCGTCACCACACTCAGCTAATTTTTGTATTTTTTATAGAGATGAGGTTTTGCCATGTGGCCCAGGCTGGTCTTGAACTCCTGGGCTTAAGTGATCTACCCATCTCAGCCTCCCAAAATGCTGGGATTCCAGGCATAAGCCACCATGCCTGGCCTTGTATTCTTTGAAGTATGGTTTTGTTACTCTAGAGACCCAAAATTATTTTTATTATTATTTTTTTGAGACGCAGTCCTGCTGTGTCACCCGGGCTGGAATGTAGTAGTGAAATTTTGGCTCACTGCAACCTCTGCCTCCTGGGTTCAAGCGATTCTTGTGCCTCAGCCTCCCTTGTAGCTGGGATTACATGCGTGTGACATTGCGCCCAGCTAATTTTTGTATTTTTAGTAGAGATGGGGTTTTGCCATATTGGTCAGGCTGATCTCGAACTCCTGGCTCCAAATGATTCTCCCATCTCGGCCTCCCAAAGTTGTGGGATTACAGGTGCCAAAATTACCTTTAGAAAATGTTTCTTGACTATTCTGCTTAATTACTTTTTTATAATCTTTCTTGGAGCGGATAGCTATTTTAAGTCTGAAATTGGGAAGAGGAGGCTAGCTGCATGATTTTCACTCTTATATGAAAACAGGAAGGTTTTACATTCTGGCTTTTCTCATGGGGAGTAGTGACCACATTTGTCATGATAAGTGGAAGGCAGAGTAAGGACCAGCTGCGAGTGAGGATTTAGGTGCTTCTGGGATCATGGCACATTTTCTCTCAGCCAACCCCTAAATGTCCTTTTATTTTGCAATATATATTTCCAAAATTGGCTAAGACCAAGAGTAGAATTGACAGATGAAATACAGAATTCCCAGTTAAATTTGAATTTCAAACAATAAATCATTTTTAATATCAATATGATCCATGCAATGTTTGGGAAATACATATACTAAAAGATGATTTGTTATCTGAAATTCAAATTTAACTAGGAGTACTGTTTTTGGTTTGTTTGGTTGGTTGGTTGATTGTTTGAGACAGAATCTCACTCTATTACCCAGGCTGTAGTGCAGTGGCATGATCTCAGCTCACTGCAAGCTCTGCCTCTCAGGCTCAGGCAATCCTCCCACCTCAGCCTCTCAAATGGCTGGGACTACAAGTGCATTCCACCACGTCTGGCTAATTTTTGTATTTTTTTTTAGAGATGGGGGTTTTGCCATGTTGCCCAGGCTGGTCTCGAATTCCTGAGCTCAAGCAATTCGCTCACCTCAGCCTCCCAAAGTGCTGGGATTACAGGTGTGAGCCACTGTACTTCGCTGTATATTTTACATTATAGTTTTTGAGGTACTTGTAGATTTACATGCAGTTTAAGAAATAATACAGAGGCCAGGCACAGTGGCTTACATGTGTGAGCAGCATAGTGAGACCCCGTCTGTACAAAAAAATTTAAAAATTAGCCAGGCGTTATGTGGCATGTGCCTGTAGTCCCAGCTACTCAGGAGACCGAGGCAGGAGGATCACTTAAGCCCAGGAGTGCAAGGTTACAGTGAGTCATGATGGTGCCACTGCCCTCCAGCCTGGGCAACTGTCTTTAAAAAAAAAAAAAAAAAAAAAAGGTACTGCAGAGATTTCATGTACCCTTTACCCAGTTTCCCTTGGTGGGTAAAATGTAAAACTTTACTGCAAAGTTACAACCGGGATACTGAAATTGATATAAAGATGCATCACTGCTGTTTATCCCTCCTGTTGACCTTTTTATAACTACATGATTCCCCTCTCCCCCTACACTAAAACCCTGGCAACTACTAGTCTGTTCTTCATTTCTAAATTTTGTCATTTCAGGAATGTTATGTAAGTAAAATCATACAGAATGTAAGCCTTTAGAGACTTGACTTTTTTTTTTTTCGATCAGCATAATTATCTTGAGATTCATCTCAATTGTTTTCTGTATAAATCATTATTTATTTTATTTATTTATTTTTTTTGAGACAGAGTCTTGCTCTGTTACCCTGGCTGGAGTGCCATGGTGTGATTTCAGCTCACCACAGACTGAACCGCCTGGGGTCAAGCGGTCCTCCCACCCCAGCCTCCTGAGTAGGTAGGACTATAGGCGTGCACCACCACTCCTGGCTAATTTTTAACAATTTTTTGTGGATTTGAGATCTCACCATGTTGCCCAGGGTGGTCTTAAACTCCTGGGCTCAAGTGATCCTCCCACCTCAGCCTCCTGAGTAGCTGGGACTACAGGTGTGCACTACTACTCCTGGCTAATTTTTTTTTTTTGAGACAGAGTTTCGCTCTTGTTGCCCAGGCTGGAGTGCAATGGCACGATCTCGGCTCACCACAACCTCCGTCCGCCTCCCGAGTTCAAGCGACTCTTCTGCCTCAGCCTCCTAAGTAGCTGGAATTACAGGCATGCACCACCATGCCCGGCTAATTTTTTGTATTTTTAGTAGAGACAGAGTTTCTCCATGTCGGTCAGGCTGATCTCAAACTCCCGACCTCAGGTGATCTGCCCACCTCAGCCTCCCAAAGTACTGGGATTACAGGCGTGAGCCACCACACCCAGCCGACTCCTGGCTAATTTTTTATAGATTTGGGGTCTCACTATGTTGCCCAGGCTGGTCTCGAACTCCTGGGCTCAAGGGATCCTCCCATCCTGGCCTCCCAATATACTGGGATTACAGACATGAGCCACTGTGCCCAGCCAATTGTTCTTTTTTTATTCCTATGTAGTTATCTGTAGTATGGATGTGCTATAGTTTGTTTAAGCATCCACCTATTGAAGGACATCTGGGTTGTTCCCAGGTTTTGGCTGTTGAATGAAGCTTCTGTGTACATTCTTGTACAGGTTTTTGTGTGGATATAAGTGTTTATTTATTGGCGGGGCGCGGTGGCTCACGCCTGTAATCCCAGCACTTTGGGAGGCTGAGGCGGGCAGATCACGAGGTCAGGAGATCAAGACCATCCTGGCCAACATGGTGAAACCCCGTCTCTACTAAAAATACAAAAATTAGCTGGGTGTGGTGGCGCGTGCCTGTAATTCCAGCTACTTGGGAGAATCGCTTGAACCAGGGAGTCAGAGGTTGGAGTGAGCTGAGATTGCACCACTGCACTCCAGCCTGACGACACAGCGAGACTCTGTCTAAAAAAAAAGAGTTTTTATTTCTTATGAAATGAAATAATGCCTGTGAGTGCAATTCTGGGTCATATTTTAGTTGCACATATAATCCTTAAAGAAACTGCCATATTTTTCTGGAGTGGCTATACCATTTTACATTCTTACAGGCAATGTATGAGTTTCTCTGTATCTGTGCCAGTATTTGGTATTATCACTATTTTTTATTTTGGCCATAATGATAGGTGTGTTTTGATATGTCATTGTTGTTTAACTTGCATTTCTCTAATGGTTAATGATGTTGAATATCTTTTCATGTGCTAATTTGCCATCTGTATATTCTCTTCTGTGAAATATATTGCAAGTGTTTTGCCTATTTTCTAATTAGGTTTATTTTAATAAACTTTTAATGTTAGGATAGTTTAGTCTTACAGAAAAACTGTGATGATACTTGATACTACAGAGAATTCCTATACGCCCCTCACCCAGTTTCCTCTATTAACACCTTAACTCAGTGTTGTGCGTCGGTCATAATGGATCAATACTGATTCTTACTAACAAAAGGCCATACTTTATTTAGTTTTCTCAATTTTTACCTAATATCCCTTTTCTCTTCTGAGATTCCATCCAGGATACCACCTTACATTTGGTCATCATGTCTCAGGGGCCTCTTGGCTTTGACACTTTCTTAGGCTTTCCTTGTTTTTGATGACCTTGACAGTTTTGCCGAGTACTGGCAAAGTAATTTTTTAGGACATCCCTCTATTGGGATTTGTCTGTTTTTCTCATAATTAGATGGGGGCTATGGGTTTTGGGGAGGAAGACCACAGAGGCGACTTACCCTTCTCATCAATCATATCACGGGCATATGCTATCAACATGACTTGTACTGTTAACATTAACCTTAATCACCTGGCTGAGGTAGTGTTGGTCAGACTTCTTCACTATACAGTTAGTCTTTTTTGTCCATTTTTCACACTATACGCTGGAAGAAAGTCACTATACACAGCTGTACACTTAAGGAGTGTGGAACTTATTCTTCATCTCCTTGGGAGTGGAATATCTACATAAATTATTTGGAATTTCCCTACAAGGAAGATTGACCTAATCTCTTGTTTATTGAGTATGGACTCATGGATATTTATTTTATACTTTGGGTTATGCTCTAATGCTACCTTATTCATTTTGTTGCTCAAATTGTTCCACTTTGGCCACTGGAAGCTCTTTTCATTGATTCCATTATCCTTCTGACATACACCCATCGTTTTGTGGGTTTTTTTTTTTAAGCCCTTCTAAACTTTCTGCTACTGTGAGATGCTCCAGGCTCATCCTGTATTTTTCCTATTCCAGTCCAAGAATCAGTTATTTCTCCAAGGAGTCCTGTGTCCTCTAATTGAAGAATGGTAGTAGAAACCAAGATTTAGCTCTAATTTTTTTTTGTCTTTTCATTAGTGAGTTTTGAGAGTTCTCTGTTTTCTAGATACTAGACCTTTGTCAGATATGTAGTTTGCAAATATTTTATCCCAGTCTGTAGCTTGTCTTTTCATCCTCTTAAGAGAGTCTTTCACAGAGTAAAGTTTTTAATTCTGATGATGTCCAGTTTATCATTTTTTCCTTTAAAGGATGGAGATTTTGGTGTAAAGTCTCTAAGAACTCATTGTTTACCCCTAGTTCCTGGAGATTTTCTCCTGTTTTTTTTCTAAACATTTTACATTTTATATTTCCATTTGCTACATTTACATTTGCTCAGTCTGGCAACCCTAGCTGAGAAGAAACCTTGGCTTGTTGGAAACCTCCCAGGGCTAGAGGAGAGCCACCTTGCTGCACAGCTTCAACTGAAGCTATTACTTGCTCTCAAAACAAATTTGGCCCTCATTTAAGTAAGACAGAGAAATCATAAATATAAATCACCTTCCTCAAAGTGAAATATCTAAGAGAAATTATTCACGTTGAGGGCAGGAACTTTTCAGTTGTGGCTGTAAAGTAATAAAATGCATTTTCATGTTTGGTTTATGAGCTTATAAAAACCACTGAGTTTGGGCTGGAAGATAACATCACTGTGGTGTCTCTAATGTTTCTTCTAATTCTAACATTCTTACTTTATCAGTAAGTGGTATAGCTGAAAACTCAAGTCTTCTTGTTTCCTGATTCAAAGAATCTTGCCTCACAGCTGTAGCTTTCATATTCTTGATTAAAGTATAGATTCATTTTCTTAGAGTTCTCCAGAGAGACAGGACTAATAGTATAGACAGAGAGATGACAGGGGATTTATTAGGGAATTAGCTCATGTGATTATGGAGGCTGAGAAGTCCCAGGACATGCCATCTGCAAGCTGGAGACCCTGGGATGTCCGTAGCGTGGCTCTCTCCAAGTGTGAAAGCCTCAGAACCAGGGAAGCCAATAGTGTAATTCTGTCTGGGGCCAAAGGCCTGAGAACATGTGAGGCTGCTGGTGCAAGTCCTGGAGTTCTAATGTCCAAGGTCAGAAGAGTGTCTCAAGCTCCAGGAGAGCGAGAGAGAGAAAAGAAATCGCCTTTTCTTTTTCTTTTCTTTCTTTTTTTTGATGGAGTCTCACTCTGGAGACTCAGAGCTGGAGTGCAGTGACTGATCTCGGCTCACTGCAACCTCTGCCTCCTGGGTTCAAATGATTCTCCTGCCTCAGCCTCCTGAATAGCGAGGATTACATGCACGCGCCATCACGTCCGGCTAATTTTTGTATTTTTAGTAGAGATGGGGTTTCATCATGTTGATCAGGCTGGTCTCGAACTCCTGACCTCGTGATCCGTCCACTTCGCCTCCCAAAGTGCTGGGATTACAGGCATGAGTCACCGCACCCGGCCCTTTTCTCTGTCTTCTTTGTTCTGAGACCCCAGCTGATTGGATGGTGCCTTCCTGCATTGATCTCCCCCACTCAATCCACAGACTCACATTCCAATCTCCTCCAGAAACACCCTCATGGACACACCCAGAAGTGATGCTTCACCAGTTCTATAGGTATTCCTTAATCCAGTCAAATTGACACCTAAAATTAAGCATCACAAGTCCACCTCTTATCAACTTGGCACCCATATGCATCTCTGTAAACCATATTTAATCTCAAAATAAAGATAATAGCAAGGTATTATTTCTGCCTACCATGATGCAACTATCCTATGTACAATGAGAAATGCATTAATCCCATCCCGAGAAGAGAAGGTGAAGTTCTTGGGTGATATTTACTCTTTTCCTGATATCCCATAACTTAAATACTATGATGTAAAATTAACAGTACTTAAATGTTGATGTAAAGTCAATATGTCTTATGTTGTATTATAAAGAAATAAGGAATAAAAACAGATATTTGCTCAATATATGCATATGGCTGGGTACTGTGGCTCATGCCTGTACTCTCAGCACTTTGGGAGTCTGAGGTGGGAGGATCACTTGAGCCGGGGAGGTCGAGGCTGCAGTGAGCTGTGTGATCATGCAGCTCTACACTGCAGCCTGGGTGACAGGGAGATCCTGTCTCAAAAAAAAGTATATATGTGTGTGTGCGTGTGTGTGTGTGTGTATATGTGTGTGTGTGTATAAATATACACACGTGACTTTTTTTTCAGACAGAGTGATATGGTTTGGCTGTGTACTCACCCAAATCTCATCTTCAATTGTAGTTCCCATAATACTCATGTGTCATGAGAGGGACTCGGTGGGAGGTAATTGAATCATGGGGGCGGTTACCCCCATGCTGCTGTTCTCGTGATAGTGAGTTCTCATGAGATCTGATGGTTTTGTAAGGGGCTTTTACTCCTTTTGCTTGGCACTTCTTGCTGCTGCCATGTGAAGAAGGACGTATTTGCTTCCCCTTCTGCCACGATGGGAAGTTTTCCGAGGCCTCCGCCACTATGCTGAACTGTGAGTCAATTAAACTGCTTTCCTTTATAAATTACCCAGTCTTGGGTATGTCTTTATTAGCACTGTGAAAACAGGGTAATACACAGGGTCTCACTCTGTTGCCCAGGCTGGAGTGCAGTGGCATGATCTTGACTGACTGCAACCTCCACCTCCCAGGTTCCAGCGATTCTCTTGCCTCAGCCTCCCAAGTAGCTGGGATTACAGGTGTGTGCCACCACCCCTGGCTAATTTTTGTTCTTATTTTATTATTATTATTTTTTTGTAGAGACAGGGTTTCACCATGTTGGCCGGGCTGGTCTCAAACTCCTGGCCTCAAGTGATCTACTCAGCTCGGCCTCCCAAAGTGTTGGGATTACAGGCATGAGCCACCACACCCAGCCTGTATGTGACTGTTTCTTAATGAAACAGTCTTTGTTTCTGTAACATGGTTTTAGCTGGTATTTATAACTACTACCGCCCATTTGTAGAATAAGTTAGTTATAAATACCAGCTAAAACCCTTATTCTGTATTCCCTTTGCCTTCAGCAAGCACCTTAGCTAGTTGTTGTGGTTCTTTACCTGGCAGGGTGACCCAAACCTTCATTCCTGAAGAGTCTGGGCCATTTGTAGTCCTGTCTAGATTGGGTTGTTGTAGTTTCCCACAGACCTTAATCTCGGAGCATGGTAATACTGAGAGACGCCCTAAGGCACCGCCCATATTCCACACTTACTCTTCCTTACCTTCACTAGGGAGTAGTAGGCCAATTTCCCCTTGATAGTCTGGATCAGTCACCCCAGCAACATAGTAATTCCCTTCTTGGCCTTTTGACTCAGATGCATGAGGAGCCCAAAGTGGCTGGGTGTCAGTCTGAATTTCCAGTTCAGTGGAATCGTTGTGGTTCCTGGTGGCAGCATTCCTCCCTGTGGAACTAAGACCTTTAGGCCAGCAGAGCATAAAATCTTGGGAATAGGCAGCAAAAATTTTGCTAGTGGGTCACTAGGGATAATGGTGAGTGCTGCCACTCCCATTTCTGCCCCTTGATTCCTGGATGTATGAATCCTGGCTATGGGAGAAACAGTTCCATATATTGGATGCCGATTCAGAGCACCTATAGGTTGTCCCAGTCCGGCTAAGTATTACCACCTAGCTGGTGCTGTAACTGTGATTTCAAAAGACCATTTCACCACTCTGTCAAGCCAGCTGCTTCAGGATGGTGGGCAACATGGTAAGACCAGTGAATTCCATGAGCATGAGCCCATTTTCACACTTTCTTGGCTGTGAAGTGAGTCAGAGCACTGCTGGGTCAGAGCACTGCTGTATGGAACACTATGACAGTGGATAAGGCTTTCTGTAAATCTAGGGATGATGGTTTTGGCTGAAGCATTATGGGCAGGGAATGCAAATCCTATCCAGTGTCTATTCTAGTAAGAGCAAAACATTGCCCCTTCCCTGATGGAAGCCATCCAGTGTAATCAGCCTGCCACCAGGTGGCTGGCTGATCACCCCAGGTAATGGTGCCACAATCAGGGGCTCAGTGCTGGTCTCTATTGCTGTCAGATTGAGCACTCAGAGGTAGCCACAGCCAGGTCAGCCTTGGTGAGTGGGAGTCCATGTTGCTGAGCCATGCAAAAACATTTATGCCTGCTACCATGGCCAATTTCTTCATGAGCAATGACAGGGGTGACTGGGCAATGACAGGGGTGGCAGGGGCCAGAGGCTGACTAGTATCCACAGAATAGGTCATCCTATCTACTTGGTTATTAAAGTTCTCTTCTGCTGAGGTCACCCTTTGGTGAGCATTCACATGGGACACAAATTTATCTTCACACCTTCTGCCCCCTCAAAGAGGTTTGTTCACCACCTCACATGCCAATCTCTTCTGGAAACACCCTCACAGACACATCACAGACACACCCAGAAGTAATGTTTTACCAGTTCTCTAGGTATTCCTTAATCTAGTCAAGCTGACACCTAAAATTAACCATCACAATATGGACCCCTCTGATTAAGTGTTCTAGTCAAATCAGAATCTTGTTGGATTCTGAAAATCTACGTTTTAATCTATGTTTCTGAATCTACATTTCAGATCATGTTGGATCTGAAAATCTACATTTTAAGAACCTACTTAGGCCTGGGTGTGGTGGCTCATGCCTGTAATCCCAGCACTTTGGGAGGCCAAAGTGGGAGGATCGCTTGAGCCCAGGAGTTTGAGACCAGCCTGGGCAACATAGTAAGACCCTGTCTCTACAAATAAAAAAATTCGCAGGATGTGGTGGTGCACACCTGTGATCTCAGCTACTTGGAAGGCTGAGGTAGGAGGATCATCTGAGCCTGGGAGGTCGAAGCTGCAGTGAGTGGTGAAAGTTTGAAAATCACTGTCAGAGCCCAAAGCCCTGGTCTTGTTATTGTATAGTCAGCGTCAGAGACAACTGTGAAGTTTTCTTCACTCTGGATGCCTAGGTGTTAATCTGGGATTGAGGACTTCTGCCTCTAAAAACAATGATTCCAGCTTTGGATATAAGATCCAGTTGTTTATGACCCCTACATTCTTGGTTTTGCTCTTTAAACAACTTACTGGCCATTAGCGTTATCTTCTGCACTAGGAGCATGGGGTCAGCAAGCTACTACCTGAGATCAAATTAAACCCCTGCCTGCACTTTACTGGGACACAGCCACACTCATCAGTTTACATCTCCTCTCTGGTTGCTTTAGTGCTGCAACAGGAGAAGTGATTAGTTGTGACAGAGCCTTATGGCCTACAGAACCTAAAGAATTTATCTGGCCCTTTACAGAAAAAAAGTTCGCTGCCTCTTGCACTAGAACATTGAAAGGGAAAAAGTAGAGATTGTTTTACATTTTACCTGTTAAGGCTTGTCTGGTAAAAGGCTGATATACAACCACAAACAACAGCCAGTAACATTAAGTGTGTTTTTATTATTTATTATTTAAGACAGAGTCTCGCTCTGTCGCCCAGGCTGCAGTGCAGTGGCAAGATCTCAGCCACTGCAAGCTCCGCCTCCCGGGTTCACACCATTCTCCTGCCTCAGCCTCTTGAGTAGCTGGGACTACAGGAGCCCACCACCAAGCCTGGCTAATTTTTTGTATTTTTAGCAGAAACAGGGTTTCACCGTGTTAGCCAGGATGGTCTCGATCTCCTGACTTCGTGATCCACCCGCCTCAGCCTCCCAAAGTTTTTACAGGCATGAGCCACCGCGCCCGGCCATGGGTTTTTATTTTTAAGGGGCACAGTAAGATATTCTATTTGTCTGAAACTACCTATGTATGCAGACTTTTGGGGAACCTAAAATTTATACTGTGTGGATCCCAAATACTTGCATCCAGATCATGTGTGGTAACTATTTAAAATGCAGATTCCTGCTGGGCACTTTAGGAGGCCGAAGTGGGAGGATCACTTGAGCCTAGAGTTCAAGACCAGACTGGGCAATGTAGTGAGACCCTGTCTCTAAGAAAAATTTAAAAATTAACCAGATATAGTGATTACGGCTCACTGCAACCTCCCCTTCCTGGGCTCAAGCCATTCTCCCGCCTCAGCCATCTGAGTAGTTGGGACTATAGGTCTGTGCCACCATGCTCAGCTAATTTTTTTTTTTTTTTTTAGAGGTGGGTTTCGTCATGTTGCTCAGGATGGTCTCAAACTTCTGGACTCATGCAATCCGCCAGCCTCAGCCTCCCAAAGTGCTTGATTACAGCATGAGTCACTGTGGCCCATAAAACCATTTTGTTGCATACCAAAAGTAAGATGGTGGTGTCTTGAAGAAAAAGAACTTGAGTGACTATTTGAATTGGAAGCTGAACTAGATGCTCTTTTTTCATGCAACATCATTTTTATTTGAAAGTATAAGGGACAAACTATGGCTATTTGTATGTAAGTATTTAGCAGAAATTTATTTGAAAACAAAGGAGACTTGTCACTTCAAGGAAGACAATTTATCATTTGTTGCCAATGATAAAATTTGACCTTTTAAGAAAAAAGCAGAATATTGGAAAACTTGTACCTGCTACTCTGAGCTTGACAGCTTCCCAATATTAAAGACTTTTCTGATGAGATCGGTAATTTTTAAAAAATTGTATAATAAAATATATTAACATTTGGAAGATCTACATAGCTCAGTGAACTGATACTTTCCCAAATGAACAATACATGTCTTAAGTCACACATGGGTAAGAGATCCATTCAAAGTGCAAGATAGGCTGCTTTGCCTATGGAGTAGCCATTCTTTTATTCCTTTACTTTCTTAATAAACTTGCTTTCACTTTACTCAAAACAACAAAAATAAAACAAAGTGCAAGACAGAAAAATGGATTTTAATAGTATCAGAATATGTGAAGTTTACTGATATATTTTCAAACTGCACATTGCAATCCACTTTTTTTTTGAGACAGCCCTCCAAATTTGAGAACAGCTGGTATGGAGGCTACAACAGGATTTGAAGATAGAAAACCTAAATTCAAGTTCCAGTTCTGTCACTTACCTGACTGATTTTAGACAAGTTACTTAGGTGCAGGCTCTGAAGTCACACTGTGTGGGTTCGTGATTTTAGCTCCACCCCTTGCTAAATCGGCCTGCCTGGGCCTCCCAAAGTGCTGAGATTAACAGGCGTGAGCCGCTGTGCCCGGCCTTGCAGAAGCTATTCTAAGTGTAATAAATTTGAAGGGAAGGTGTTAACTTGGGGATATTTGTGTGTGGCTGTTAATTTGCAAAGAGAATAAATGTGTTATAAAAAATTGTTTTCTTTTTCTGTTTGTGAAGAAATAACAAAACTGAAATAGGCCGGGCAAGGTGGCTCACGCCTGTAATCCCAGCACTTTGGGAGGCCGAGGCGGGTGGATCACGAGGTCAAGAGATCGAGACCATCCTGGCCAACATGGTGAAACCCCGTCTCTAGTAAAAATACAAAAATTAGCTGGGCGCGGTGGCGCATGCCTATAATCCCAGCTATTCCGGAGGCTGAGGCAGGAGAATCGCTTGAATCTGGGAGGCGGAGGTTGCAGTGAGCCGAGATCGTGCTACTGCACTCCAGCCGGGTGACATAGTGAGACTCCGTCTCAAAAACAAAAAACAAAAAACAAAAACACAAAAACTGAAAAAAAATGCCCTATAATCTAGTTAGAATATAGGAAAATATCTTTTTAAATACCAAAAGGTATTAAAATGAAATACTAAGGAGAGTCGGGCAGGGCCTGTACTCGACCTCATGACTGCGGGAAATTTCTCTTTTTTTCTTTTTTTGAGATGGAGTCTCCCTCTGTTGCCCAGGCTGGAGTGCAGTGGCTGCGATCTTGGCTCACTGCAACCTCCGCCTCCCGGGTTCAAGTGATCCTCCCACCTCAGCCTCCCAAGCAGCTGGAATTACAGGCGCGAGCCACCACCCCCGGCTAATTTTTATATTTTTAGTAGAGATGCCGTTTCACCATGTTGGCCAGGCTGGTCTTGAACTCCTGGCCTCCCAAAGTGTTGGGATTACAAGCGTGAGCCACTGCGTCCAGCCCCTTTCAACTTTTCACCTCAGTTATGTCTTCCTGTTTGGACAGCAGTATCTCATCTCCAACCTCCCTGGCATCTTTTAAATCCTGTTAAGGTTGCCTCTACAAAACAAAACAAAAAAAAATTATTAATTTTATTGTTTGTTTAGAGACTAGTGTCGCAGTGTTACCCAGGCTGGAGTGCACTGGCGCCATCTGGGCTCATGCAGCTGGCACCAATGGGCTGGGGCGCTCCTTCAGCCTCAGCCTCCTGAGTAGCTCAGACCCAGGCGCTGACACCACGCCCGACACCTCTACATTTTTTAGGGATACCTTTTTGGTAACCTCTAAATCATAATAAATGCACGGAGGACGGGCCAAAGCCTTTTTGCCTGGCAAATGCTAGTGACACCCGTTCTCAGCACCCAGAAGCAGAGGCCAGGAGCGGGGCGGCTGTGGCTGCGCCCTCCGCCCTACTCCGCTAATCCCGGGGCCGCGCAGTCCCTGCGTCCGGTGATCACCGCGCTGCTCCTGGCGCACTAGTAGGGTCTGTAGCGTATCCCGAGGATCATTCCGACTTTCCCGCCCCGTACGTGAGGGGCCGCCTTGAAGCCTCTTCCGCCACGGACACTCGAAACTGATCTTGAAGCCCCTGCCGTCACGGATACTAGAAACTGATCTCGAAGCCCCTTCCGCCACGGACACTCGAAACTCTCCCCCACTGTTAGACCTCAGCAGCCAGCAGCCCGCCGCCCGGCGCTGCAGCTCCCTGCCCGCAGGAGCCACGTCTCGCGCGACTCCCCCCACCTCTCGCGACACTTGCCGCCCGTGCCCTGCGGCCCTGCACGCCCCACCCGCGGTCGCGCGCCGCGCTCCCCGCCGCCTCACCTTTTCGCCTGGCATCCGGGCCCGCTACTCGCCCACTGGGAGCGCCGTGGCGCCTGGTGTTCGGCGCGAGCCCGGCGGGGCTGCAGGTTCCGCCCTGCTCCGCCGCGCCCCGCCCGGGCTGGGGTAAAGGCCGCGGCCGGGCCATGCAGTGTCCTCCTCAGGGAGGGCAGGAGAGCCTGAGGAGTGGCGGGGCCGCCAGGTGAGACCGCGTCGGGCGGGCGGCTGGACCGAGGGAGGCCAGGCTGGGTGCAGGTGGGCGGCGCAGCGCTGCGGGGCCGGGATGCGGGGCGGGGGAACCTCGGCTCCCGGGAAGCCCCGAGCCTGGGGGAACCCTGGGCACCCTGTGAACCCTGTGGTCTGCACTGGCTGCCCTGCTGCTGTCGCGGGGCTGCGGGCGGACGACCTGAGCCCGAGCTCCGAGGGCCCGGAGCGGGGCGCCAGGGCCTAGGGTCGCGGGGGCCAGGGGCGCGCCAGGGTGGCTGAGGTAAGTCTGTGTGGGGAAAAGGACAATGGAGCCGAAAGCCGGCGTCTGCCGTCCCGCCGGGCCCGCGCGAGATGCCCTCCTGCCCCCCGCCCTACGAGGCAGCTTAGAAGTGTCCTTCTGGTGCCTGCGGCGCTGATCGTTGCCGAGTGGAAGGAGTGTTGGAGAGGTAGAAACAGCTGGTCAGAGCCGCCTCTGCGGGAGGAGGCTTTTGAGGTCGCTTGTTAGCTTTCATCTGAGATTCTGGCTATGGGAGTGGGCGTGCGTGTGCGCACCGTGGCCCCAGGCGAGGTTTCGTCTTTTCCCAATTTGTACCACCACCCATTAAGCGACTTCAAGGATCCATCAAAAATGATTGGTTCCTAAGCGAACAGTTTTATTTTTTGTATTTTAAGATTCCATTAGTTGTGTAATGGTAGGGGCCTGGAGCCCAAAACCTTGGCGTTACTAGGACAGGGCATGACCCAGCTGACTTGGAGTAAATTTTCTGCCTTTAACTACATTTAGATTGGAAATTAGGGTAAAATGTTTTTGTTGCAATCTAGTTTCGAGCATGTGGTCCTGTGATTCTGGGTTTGTTTTATAACTTATGGACTGAGTAAAATTACCCAGTTTACTGAGAGAATTGAGAACTCTGTGCAATGGTTGATCTAATAGAAGCATTTTATTTAAAGCTTCCACCCATCCAGTTGCTAATTTATGTTATTTCTCTTTTAAATTATGTAGATTTTGTTGTTGTTGTTGTTGCAGAAATGGCTCCGTAAAATGATTAGTTTTGTGCGTGTGTGTGTGCGAACAGTTACACAGTTAAGTTCGTTTTCCTGATAGTTTTCTTTTGTCTTTAGAGAGCGAAATGTCATCAGTGCAGTCACAACAGGAGCAGTTGTCCCAGTCAGATCCATCTCCGTCACCAAACTCATGTAGTTCCTTTGAGCTAATAGACATGGATGCTGGCAGCTTGTATGAACCAGTTTCTCCCCATTGGTTTTATTGTAAGATAATAGATTCTAAGGAGACATGGATTCCTTTCAACTCTGAGGATTCACAGCAGCTGGAAGAGGCATATAGCTCTGGTAGGTGAAAATTATGACTTGGAATAGACAAAGACTCTCCCCTCTTCAAACTATAATATAATGGTCCTTATAGTGAGTGCTATGAAAACCAAATTTTAGATTTTTCCAGTTACATAATTTCTTACAGCATTTTATATAGAACTTCTGCACTAATACCTAGCCAATCAATAATATTCAAGAATTTGGTCTGTATTTTGAAAACAGTATCTATTATTATTTCTGCATAGTTACCCAATAATTTTTTTTTCCTTAGAGTTGGGGGCCTAATTATATTGTCTAGGCTGGTCTTGAACTCCTAGGTTCAAGCAATCTTTCTGACTGGGCCTCCCAAAGTGCTGGGATTACAGGCGTGTTACACCCTGTGCCCAGCCCCCCAGTAATATCTTTAATGTTCTAGCTTATGTTTTACTTTGTTTTATAAAGAATGTGTAAGGCTGGGCACAGTGGCTCACACCTGTAATCCCAGCACTTTGGGAGGCCAAGGCGAGCAGATCACTTGAGGTCAGAGTTTGAGATTAGCCTGGCCAGCAATGGTGAAACCCCTTCTCTACTAAAAATACAAAAATTAGCTGGGCGGCGGGGTTTGTGCCTGTAGTCTCAGCTACCTGGGAGGCTGAGGCAGGAGAATTGCTCAAACCCGGGAGGCGGAGGTTACAGTGAGCCAAGATTGTGCCACTGGACTCCAGCCTGGGTGATAGAGTGAGACTTGTCTCAAAAAAAAAAAAAGAAAAGAAAAGAAAAAAGTATGTATAGAGTGGGGTGCAGAAGAATGAACTCTCTAACTTGTCACTTGTCTTTTCTTCTTTTATAAAACAAGAATGATTCTATTTATACTGAATCATCATGATGGTTATTAATTTACCTTATGGTTCCTCAAGCAAATTCAGAAAAATCACATTATATAATTTTTTTAAGGGGCACTGCTATCTTTCCCCAGAAAAAGAACAAAACTGGGTAGTATTTTTTTCATATTTCATTAAAATCAGGAATGGTTTTGACGGTTTGTAAAGTAGGTAGTGAAAAAGATATGAATTAAATTCCATTTTGTTTGGTGTTTAGTCAAGTAGGAACTTTTCATTCATGTGTTTCATAACATTATTTAGAGTATAACTGAGAATTGTATGTTGGGAGATTTATTTTGAAATATGTACTTCTTTTCCCCTTTTCAATCCTTGAAAGGAAAAGGTTGTAATGGGAGAGTTGTTCCTACTGATGGGGGCAGATATGATGTTCATTTGGGGGAGAGGATGCGGTATGCTGTATACTGGGATGAACTGGCATCGGAAGTGAGACGATGTACGTGGTTTTACAAGGGGGACAAAGACAATAAGTATGTTCCCTACTCGGAGAGCTTCAGCCAAGTTTTAGAGGTATTCTTTTGACTCTTTTTTTACTTATTCTTTCTTTCTCTTATTTAATAATCTTTTCTTTCCTTTGTAATTTATTTTGTGAAATTTCCAGAAAGACTTTGGTTCTGTCTGCATCACATTATAAAACATAATAAAGCATTTCTATTTACAAGCAAGTTTCAGGATAAAGTAGTCTTATTTTCAGATTTTTTTTTTTTTTTTGAGACGGAGTCTCGCTCTGTTGCCCAGGCTGGAGTGCAGTGGTGCGATCTTGGCTCACTGCAACCTCCACCTCCCCGGTTCAAGTGATTCTCATGCCTCAGCCTCCCAAGTAGCTGGGATTACAGGTGGCCGCCACCACACCTGGCTAATTTTTTTTAAGGGGCACTGCTATCTTTCCTCAGAAAAAGAACAAAACTGTTTGGGTAGTATTTTTTTTCATGTTTCATTAAAATCAGGAATGGTTTGACGGTTTGTAAAGTAGGTAGTGAAAAAGATATGAATTAGATTCCATTTTGTTTGGTGTTTAGCCAAGTAGGAACTGTTCATTCATGTGTTTCATAACATTATTTAGAATATAACTCAGAATTGTATGTTGGGAGATTTATTTTGAAATATGTACTTCTTTTCCCCTTTTCAATCCTTGAAAGGAAAATATTGTAATGGGAGAGTTGTTCCTACTGATTTTTATTAGAGATGGGGTTTCACCATGTTGGCTAGGCTTGTCTCGAACTCCTGACCTCAAATGATCTGCTGGCCTCGGCCTCCCAAAGTGCTGGGATTACAGGTGTGAGCTACTGTGCTTGGCCTTTTTCAGATTTTAAAATACGATGGAAATGGTTGTGGTGTTTTAAGGTGTAAAAAAAGAAAAAAATACTCCGGGCCTGGTGGCTCACGCCTGTAATCCCAGCAGTTTGGGGGGCTGAGGTGGGCGGATCACCTGAGGTTGGGAGTTTGAGACCAGCCTGACCAACATGGAGAAACCTCGTCTCTACTAAAAATACAAAATTAGCTGGGCACGGTGGTGCACGCCTGTAATCCCAGCTACTTGGGAGGCTGAGGCAAGAGAATTGCTTGAACCCGGGAGGTGGAGGTTGTGGTGAGTGGAGATCGCACCATTGAACTACAGCCTGGGCAACGAGCAAAACTCCATCTCAAAAAAAAAAAAAAAAACTGGTGGGCACAGTGGCTCTCACCTGTAATCCCAGCACATTGTGAGGCCAAGGCAGGAGGATGACTTGAGCCCAGGAATTTGAGAACAGCCTGGGCAACAAAGCAAGACCCCACCACTACAAAAAAAAGTACACGCGCACACACACACACACACACACACACACAAATACAAATGCAAACTGTATTATGCTATGGTCACAGGATTGATCTTTTTTAGCTTTTATTTTTCTTGCTCTGAAAACTGAAATTTTTCTTTAAATTGGAGTAGAGCGTTAGTATTTTTTGTTGTTGTTGAAACAAGAGTGTCGTTCTGTTTCCCAGGCTGGAGTGCAGTGGCACGATCTTGGCTCATTGCAAGCTCTGCCTCCTGGGTTCTTGCCATTCTCCTGTCTCAGCCTCCCAAGTAGCTGGGACTACAGGCGCCCGCCACCACGCCCAGCTAATTTTTTGTATTTTTAGTAGAGACGGGGTTTCACCGTGTTAGCCAGGATGGTCTCAAGCTCCTGACCTCGTGATCCGCCCGCCTCGGCCTCCCAAAGTGCTGGGATTACAGGCGTGAGCCACCACGCCCAGCCTTTTTCTTGTTTTTGGTTTTTTTTTTTTGCTTTTTTTGTTTTTGTTTTTGTTTTTGTTTTTGAGACAGAGTCTCACTCTGTTGCCCAGGCTGGAGTCCAGTGGTGCGATCTCGGCTCACTGCAACCTCTGCATCCTGGGTTCAAGCACTTTTCCTGCCTCACCCTCCTAAGTAGCTGGGATTACAAGCGTGCCTCACCACACTGGCTAATTTTTTTTTTTTGAGACGGAGTTCCACTCTTGTTTCCCAGGCTGTAGTGTAGTGGCGCGATCTCAGCTCACCGCAACCTCTGCCTCCTGGGTTCAAGCGATTCTCCTGCCTCAGCCTCCCGAGTAGCTGGGATTACAGGCATGTGCCACAATGCCTGGCTAATTTTGTATTTGTAGTAGAGATGGGATGGGATTTCTTCATGTTGGTCAGGCTGGTCTCGAACTCCCAACCTCAGGTGATCCACCCGCCTTGGCCTTCCAAAGTGCTGGGATTATAGGCGTGAGCCACCGCGCCCGGCTCACACTGGCTAATTTTTGTATTTTTAGTAAAAATGGGGTTTTGCCGTGTTGGCCAGGCTGGTCTCGAATGCCAGACCTCAGGTGATCTTCCTGCCTTGGCCTCCCAAAGTATTGTGATTACAGGCATGAGCCACCACGCCTGGTCTAGAACATTAATATTAATATATTAAAATGTGAACACTAATTATCTAGCGTAGATGATGGAATTAGGAGTATTTTTCCCCCTTTGTCCTGGTGCTACTATCAGTTGTAATTTCAAAATAATTTAAAAATAGGCTGGGTGCTGTGGCTCATGCTTGTAATCCCAGCACTTTGGGAGGCCGAGGCAGGCAGATCACCTGAGGTCAGGAGTTTGAGACCAGCCTAGCCATTATGGCCAAACCCCGTATCTACTAAAACTACAAAAGTTAGCCGAATGTGGTGGCGGGTGCCTGTAATCCCAGCTACTTGGGAGACTGAGGCAAGAGAACTGCTTGAACCTGGGGGGCGGAGGTTGCAGTGAGCCGAGATTGTGCCACTGCAACCCAGCCTGGGCGACAGAGTAAGACAAACAAAACAAAACAAACAACAACAACAACAAAAAGATTTAAAAATAAATTTGATAAATTGGAGTAGGATATTCTTATTGAAACTCATTAATACATAGTATTCTTGTTAATAGGTTCAGTTTAATAGGAAAGCTACTAGAGAACTCTAATGAAATGTGTTTTCTTTTAAGGAAACTTACATGCTTGCTGTAACTTTGGATGAATGGAAAAAGAAACTGGAATCTCCCAACAGAGAAATTATTATTTTACACAATCCAAAGGTAAAACAAAGCATTTCTCTTGTCGGGATAAAAAGTTAATTGCGCTATTAGGGAGAACTCAATTGGTTTCTTTTGCTAAGCACTCTGTGTAGGATAACCTTTGTCAAATTTTATATTGAATTCACAGTTATGAAACTTAAAAACTTGTAGCCACTACTGTTATTTACCCAACTCAGCTTATACAAAATAATTTTCTTATGGAAAATTATGCCACTGTAGAATAAGAAAATCACTGACATATTATGTGAGCATGTCTTCCATGTAGAAAGGGACTATTGACAGATCTGTTAGCCTAATATATTTTCACGGTTCTCATTTCAAGCCATACGAGTTGTATATCAAAACTCCAGTTCAGATTTTACTGTGTGGTTTGAAAGACATGATTCTACACTTAAAACTGCATTGTATAGAGATGATTGTATTGCAGAATATTTTTATTGCTCTGATCTGTTCTGTTTAAGCTTATGGTGCATTACCAGCCAGTTGCAGGGTCTGATGATTGGGGTTCAACACCCACGGAGCAGGGTCGACCAAGAACTGTGAAGAGAGGAGTTGAGAACATCTCTGTTGACATTCATTGTGGTAATGTTAATCGTTTATTTTTTCTTACCTTTGGATGTATTTGTTTACTCCTTAAATTGTGACCTTTTTCTGTGGATTTAGATTACCTCAAGGCTTAAAAATCATCTTTAATCATATGGGTTTATTCCAAGTTGAGATTAGCATCACTTCGTCTACTAAGAATCTTAATAGATGTAAAAATATCTTTTAAAACATATGGTAGGATGGGTAAAATTTGGCAATACTATCCAGGAAGTCACTAAGTACAGATGAACTGATTTAGTCCTAATTCCAAGAAGTGTGATTCCACCTACTTGACTAGAAATTTATACCTGGTAATAACTCCTTGTCCTTGAAGATTTTCAACTAAGGAAAACTGTTTTTCAGCAGGACCTGATTATGCACTGCTATCTAGGTAGGGTCACTTATGGTTTTATAATATATTTAATTGGATTATAATATTCCTTTTTTCTTGTCTCTTGGACAAAATCCTAGCTTTACTGTAATTTAAAAAGATGAGTTTAAAATTTCAGGCTTTAAAAACATACCAAACATTGATAAAAATGAAATACTAGATAAAAGTATTTTATCAATGTTCAGTTGCCTGGATTCAATAACTGTATTATGGTTATGTAAGATAATATACTTAGGAAATACACATTATGGTATTAAAGGGTTAAAGAGGTATGGTGCATGCAACCTGATGATGTATGTAGTCTGCTTTCTAATGATTCAGAAAAATAAATGTGTGTGTGTGTGTGTGTACACACACAGAGAATCATAAAGCAAATGTAATTGTTAAAAAGTTGAATCTCTGTAAAAAGTATGTGGGAGTGTCTGTACTATGCTTTCTAGTTTTCTGTACATTTCTAGTTATTTAGAAATAAAAAGTTTTAAAAACCTGGCTGCACGTGGTAGCTCATGCCTGTAATCCCAGCACTTGGGGAGGCCAAGGTGGAAGGATCACTTGAGCCCAGGAGTTCGAGACCAGCCTGGGCAATATGGCGAAACCCTGTCTGTACAAAAAATACAAAAATTAACTGGGCATGGTAGCACACATCTGTAGTCTCAGCTATTTTGGAGGCTGAGGCAGGAGGATCACTCGAGCCCAGAAGGTTGAGGCTGGAATGAGTGTTTATCATGCCACTGCACTCCAGCCTAGGCGACAGAGTGAGACTCTGTCTCAAAAAAAAAAAAAAAAAAGTTTTTAAAACCTGAAAAAAGGCCAAGTGTGTTGGCTCACGGCTGTAATCCCAGCACTTTGGGAGGCTGAGGCGGGCGGGTCAGGAGGTCGAGACCATTCTGGCTAACACGGTGAAACACCCTGTCTCTACTAAAACTACAAAAAATTAGCCAGGTGTGGTGGCGTGTGCGTGTAGTCCCAACTACTCGGGAGGCTGAGGCAGGAGAATCGCTTAAACCCGGGAGGCAGAGGTTGCAGTGAGCCAAGATCGTGCCACTGCACTCCAGCCTGGGTGACAGAGCAAGACTCTGTCACAAACAAAAAAAAAACCATAATTTAAAAAAAAAAAAAAAAGAGTTTTTTTTTTTGGAGACAGAGTCTTGCTCTGTCACCCAGGCTGGAGTGCAGTGGTGTGATCTCGGCTCACTGCAACCTCTGCCACCTCCAGGGTTCAAGTGATTCTTCTGCCTCAGCCTCGCGAGTAGCTGGGATTACAGGCATGTGCCACCACACCCGGCTAATTTTGTATTTTTAGTAGAGATGAAGTTTCACCGTGTTGGTCAGGCTGGTCTCGAACTCCTGACCTCATGATCTACCTGCCTTGGCCTCCCAAAGTGCTGGGATTACAGCCGTGAGCCACCGCGCCCAGCCGAGTTTTCTTTTTCAGAGATCAGAAAAAAAAGAAAAAAGTCCTGAAAAAAATTTTACAGACTTATTTCAAGATAAATTAGAAACCAAGTAAAATCAGTGTATTTTTGCTAGGTACTTAAAGGACTATTTTGTATCTTTTAAATTATCTGTTCATCTTTTAACTTGCTCATATTTATAACCTTTTCATGATGAATGATATTAGAATACATGACTAATTATACAGAATAATTTTCTTTTTAATTTCATTTATAGGAGAACCTTTACAAATAGATCACTTGGTTTTTGTAGTCCATGGGATTGGACCAGCTTGTGATCTCCGCTTTCGAAGCATTGTACAGTGTGGTAGGTTTGCAAAGCATGTGAGAGAATATTAATCAGTGCTCTTGTGAGCTGAGATAAAGCCTTGTCTTTGGTCTATTGTCTTAGCTGCATAAGAAGATTTGGAGAGTTAAAGACAGGTGGCAAGGTAGTAAAGCTTCTCAGCTTAGACCTGAAGTGCTAGGAAATTCCTGAGTCTAATAGTTTATACTCTTAACTATTGTAATAGTCTCAAATGAACAAGCAGTTAATCCCTATAAAATTGTGTTTTATGATGTGGTGGTCCTATTTCTAACTATTTCAAATTTACAGGGAACCATAAAGATGATAGAGTTTAATGAATAACAGAAGCATCAATCATTTTTGTAATTCATACTGTGATAAACCTTTGATATTGTAATTGGAGGATTTAAGTCATTAGTATAACTAGATTTTGAAAGGTGTCCTCTAGGCTGGGTGCGGTGGCTCACGCCTGTAATCCCAGCACTTTGGGAGGCCAAGGCAGGTGGATCATGAGGTCACGAGTTCAAGACCAGCCTGGCCAAGATTGTGAAACGCTGTCTCTACTAAAAATACAAAAATTAGCCGGGCGCAGTGGCAGGCGCCTGTAATCCCAGCTACTCGGGAGGCTGAGGCAAGAGAATCACTTAAACTCGGAGGGCAGAGGTTGCAGTGAGCCGAGATCGGGCCACTGCACTCCAGCCTAGGCAACAGAGTGAGACCTCAAAAAAAAAAAAAAAAAAAGGTGTCCTCTAAAACCTGATAGTATTCAAAGTTTAATTGTTCCAATTAGGGTGTCTTATTCTAACTGGCTAATGGTTCTAAACATAAACTAGAATTGTATTGTGGAAGGTTGAGACTGATGTGATATGAATTTCAAACAACAGTGTATTTTTTTTTCTTTAAAGTATTGGGTGGTGCTTGTTTATAAGAACCAGAAAGTTAGGGTAGGAATTCAACTGCAAGACTGTTGTTATATTGTCATGTGATTAAAAAAAAAATGAAACAGTTCTCATGATGCCGACGTTTTGAAGTTTAGCTTTCTTTTTTTTTCCTTTTCCTTTTTTTTTGTTTTTAAATATATTATTTTCTTTCCTGAGACAAGAGCTTTGCTCTGTTGCCCAGGCTGGAGTGTAGTGGTGTAAACTCAGCTCACTGCAACTTCTGCCTCCCGGGTTCAAGTGATTATCCTGCCTCAGCCTCCTGAGTAGCTGGGATTACAGGCGCACACCACCATGCCTGGCTAATTTTTGTATTTTTAGTAGATGGGGTTTCGCCATGTTGGCCAGGCTGGTCTTGAACTCCTGGCCTCATAAAATCCACCTGCCTTGGCCCCCCAAAGTGCTGGGATTACAGGCATGAGCCACTGCTCCTGGCCTGAAGTTAGCCTTCTTTTGATGAAATATTTTGTATGGTAAAAGCAAGTTGTTAGGCCAGGCACGGTGGCTCACACCTGTAATCCCAGCACTTTGGGGGGCCAAGGCAGGCAGATCACCTAAAGTCAGGAGTTCAGGACCAGCCTGGCCAACAGGACAAAACCCCATCTGTACTAAAAATACAAAAATTAGCTGGGCATGGTGGTATGTGCCTGTAATCCCAGATCCTCAAGAGGCTGAGGCAGGAGAATTGCTTAAACCAGTGAGGTGGAGGCTGCAGTGAGGTGAGATCTCGCCACTGCACCCCAGCTTGGGTTACAGAGCAGTACTCCATCTCAAAAAAAAAAAGTTATTAAAGAAACATCTTTTCCTATATGCATTCATAATTTTTCCTGAATACCACTTTATTTTTGACGGAAGTCAGTATGTGTTCTGTGCAAATGTAGTTAGAGTATAATTACATGATTTGTTGCATCCAGATTCTACAGATTTGTTACTTCATTGTTGATGCATAAGTTAATTTTCTTTTCCAGTTAATGATTTTCGCAGTGTTTCCTTGAACTTGCTACAGACACATTTTAAGAAAGCCCAAGAAAATCAGCAGATTGGGAGGGTAGAATTTCTTCCAGTCAACTGGCACAGTCCTTTGCATTCTACTGGTGTGGATGTGTGAGTAATACTTAATACCTTCGAGTTGTTAGCTGTGATTATATTTTCTGATCATTGCTATGCTTGGGGACGTTTTTATGCTATAGCTGACTGAATATTTAAAATTTCTTAGAGATATGCTATTAAATGCTGATCAGTCCCTTGGTTTAATTAGCCCTGGTTAGGAGTGGAGAGCTGTGTGTATCTTCAGTATGTTTTACTGGCTCACTAGTATTTACTGTTACAGCTTCATTGTATCTTTAGCATTAAAGCCAAATATTGCTATCTTCCCATAGTGTATAACCATTTCCATCTTCAGATGTCAAAAGCTAGCCATACCCCAAGATGTACAAAGTATTTTGTTGTTCCTTTTGTTATTATATTTAAATAATATTTGTCCAAATTTAGAAAAAAGGGGGGATTTCTCAAACATTAAACTACTAGCATTTAAAACTTGAGGTATAATTGGTACAGTGACTTTTAAGTGATGGCTTTCTTAAGGTACAAGACCATTAGTTTTGTTTGTAAATTTTATGGTAATGACAGAGAATGTTGCTTAAATTGAGGATATCTAGCTATGGGGCTCTCCAGCAAGTAGTGTGTTTCTAATGTAGTTCTAGAATAGAACCAGGAGATGCAGGAAGTAGTCAGCATTGTTTCCATGCTGGTCTCAGAAATGGCTTTTCTGATTCTGTGTCTCAGTTCTCAGTACCCTGTGATTTGGGTATATTCTGTTTGCCAAACACTGTGGTGGGGTCCGGATTCTTCAATATTTGAGCAGATGCTAAGAGGTTACTAAGGGCACGTAGCCCTTATAAATTGCAGAAGTGGTTGAATATTTGAGGAATCTTTCTGGGAATTTTAAGAAACCTTTAACTGGATGTTAGATTTTGTCAGCGTGGTCTTCCTCTCCCAGATATGAATTCTGTTTGCTTTTGGCACCTGGCACTCACACCTTTTTCTGCTTTTAGAAATTGTGCATTGAGAGAGGGAGCTGATCTCTTTATCGTTTGACCTGTAATTAAAAAACCTTACTGCTGAGAATTCCAGGAAAAGCCTTTTACATTTTTTGTTTTGTCTTTTTAGAAAACTTTTTTTTATTAGAGATAATTTTGTTCACAGAAGTAGTATATATGATGAATCCTTGTATACTGATTACCCAGCCCTAACAAGCCTCAACACATGGCTGGTTCTGCCTCAACCGTATCTTCATACCTTATCTAATGCCCCTTCATCACCATATGATTTTTATCTTAGACATCCTGTAATTTCATCTGTAAATGTTTCAGTTTGTATCTTTTTTTTTTGGTTGGAGTGCAGTGGTGTGATCACAGCTCACTGCAGCCTGGACCTCCCTGGGCTCAGATGATCCTCCTGCCCCAGCCTCCCAAGTACTGCTGGGACTACAGGCATGTGGCACCACTTGCAGCTGATTTTTTTTATCTTTTTTTTTTTTTTTTGAGATGGAGTTTTGCTCTTGTCCAGGCTGGAGTGCAGTGGCGTGATCTCAGCTCACCGCAACCTCCGACTCCCGGGTTCAAGCAGTTCCCAGTCTTGGCCTCCCGAGTAGCTGGGATTACAGGCATGCGCCACCATGCCTGGCTAATTTTGTATTTTTGGTAGAGACAGGGTTTCTCCACGTTGGTCAGGCTGGTCTCGAACTCTTGACCTCAGGTGATCCGCCCGTCTTGGCCTCCCCAAGTGCTGGGATTACAGGCGTGAGCCACCATGCCTGGCCCAATCCAGCTGATTTTTCTATTTTTTGTAGAGATGGGCTTTTACCATGTTGGCCAAGCTGGTTTTGAACTCCTGGGCTCAAGCAATCTGTCTGCTTTGGCCTCTTAAAGTGCTGGGATTACAGGTGTGAGCCACAGTGCCTGGCCTGAACAGTATATTTTATTTTTTATTTTATTTTTGAGATGGAGTGTCGCTCTGTCACCCAGGCTGGAGTGCAGTGGCACGGTCTCGGCTCACTGCAACCTCTGCCTCCTGGGTTCCAGCAATTCTCCTGCCTCAGCCTCCCAGGTGGCTGGGACTACAGTCATGCGCCACAATGCCCAGCTAATTTTCGTATTTCTTAGTAGAGACAGGGTTTCACCATATTGGCCAGGCTGGACTCCTGACCTCATGATCTGCCCGCCTCAGCCTCCCAAAGTGCTGGGATTACAGGTGTGAGCCACTGCGCCGGCCTGAACAGTATTTTTTTTGTTGTTTTTTTTGAGACAGAGTCTTGCACTGTTGCCTGGGCTGGAGTGCAATGGCACAATTTCGGCTCACTGCAACTTCCGCCTCCTGGGTTCATGTGATTCTCCTGCCTCAGCCTCCCAAGTAGCTGGGGTAAAGGTGCACATCACCACACCCGGCTAATTTTTTGTATTTTTAGTAGAGACGGGGTTTCACTCTGTTGGACAGACTGGTCTCGAACTTTGGACCTCGTGATCTGCCCGCCTCAGCCTCCCAAAGTGCTGGCATTACAGGCGTGAGCCACCGCTCCTGGCCCTGAACAGTATATTTTAAAGGACTTAAAAAATGTATAACCATAACACTATTATCACACTTAAAAATTTCTTAATATCATCAAATACCTAGTCTGTTCAAATTTCCAGTTGTCTATTATATTTTTATACATATTTTATACATATTTTTATATACATTAATTATATAATTATATACATTAATTTTTGTATACATATTTATATAATTACAAACATGTTTTAAACTGGGATCCAAATAAAGCCCATACCTTGCAATTAGTTGATATGTCTTTTATTATAAGTCTCTCTTGGGCTGGGCATGGTGGCTCATGCTTGTAATCCCAGCACTTTGGGAGGCCGAGGCAGGTAGATCATCTGAGGTCAGGAGTTTGAGACCAGCCTGGCTAACATGACAAAACCCTGTCACTACTAAAAATACAAAAATTAGCTGGGCATGGTGGCACATGCCTGCAATTCCAGCTATTTGGGAGGCTGGGGCAGGAGAATCGCTTGAACCTGGGAGGCAGAGGTTACAGTGAGCTGAGATCGTGCCACTGCCCTCCAGCCTGGGCAATAGAGCGAGAGTCTGTCTCAAAAAAAAAAAAAAAGAAAAGTCTCTTTAATTTATTTTCTTGATTACCACTTACCTCTCTGTCTACATCTGTTGTTTTCTTGCAGTTTATTTATGGAAGAAATGGGTTTGACTTGAGGGTTTTTTATACTCTGAATTTTGCTTATCACATTCCTCTGGCTTCATTACACATGTTCCTTTGTCCTCTTTTTGTTTTTTCCTATAAATCGACAATTGTTTGTTATAAAATGTTTAAGCTTGAAGGCTTAAAATTGGAAGCAGCTATTAAGTGTATTTAGGTTTCCTGCTTATATTATTTTTCCTTTTTTCAGAGATCTGCAGCGAATAACCCTGCCCAGCATTAACCGCCTCAGGCACTTCACCAATGACACAATTCTGGATGTCTTCTTCTACAATAGTCCCACCTACTGTCAGACTATTGTGGACACAGTTGCTTCTGAAATGAACCGAATATACACACTTTTTCTACAGAGGAACCCTGATTTCAAAGGGGGTGTATCCATTGCTGGTCATAGTTTAGGTAACAAAATGAGTTCTGTGTGACCAGAGAAGACTATCACATTTTAAAGACACCTGTTTTTGAAGCACAATGTCTTTTATCAGTATGAAATTCAGAGGTCTAGAAGTGGTCTGTGGTCAGGAAATTTGGAAGGGGTTGGAAGGGTGGCGGTAAATTGGAAAGAAAGACTCCTTGCTGTATAGATTTGCTTACATATGTAATTGGCTTATGCCTTTTTTGTATAACAGAGAGCCATTTAGTGCTAATGCTTAGAAATTGTCCCTTCTTCTATTTTACTTATAGGTTCGCTTATATTGTTTGATATCCTAACAAATCAGAAAGATTCTTTGGGGGATATTGACAGTGAAAAGGTAATTTAGATGTTCAGCTAGGTTTTCTTGTAGTTTTCCTTAGTAAGGATTTATAGATTTTAGACTTATTTTTTGTTTTTAGCTGAGTTTAGTTTCATGTCATGACATTACATTTACACTTATTTTCATTTTAACAGACTTTTAATTATCTCTGTCATTCTTGGATGATAGAAGGAAGATAGTAACATGCTTCTACAAATAATAATTGTTATATTCTAAACCATAGTTATCTTATTTTCTTTTGTGAATATGCACCACTGGCTGGGCGCGGTGGCTCATGCCTGTAATCTCAGCACTTTGAGAGGCTGAGACTGGTGGATCACCTTAGGTCAGGAGTTCAAGACCAGCTTGGCCAACATGGTGAAACCCCATCTGTACTAAAAATACAAAAATTAGCTGGGCATGGTGGTGTGTGCCTGTAATCCCAGCTACTTGGGAGGCTGAGGCAAGAGAATCGCTTGAACCTGGGAGGTGGAGGTTCAGTGAGCTGAGATCGTGCCACTGCACTCTAGCCTGGGTGACAGAGTGAGACTCCGTCTCAAAAATATGCACTGCTGATCTGTTAATAGAGTTATGGAATCATTGAGCTAAATGAAGTTTGCATATGAACAAATGAATGAATTGGCTACAAATTGATATGATTTATAGAAACTCTGTTCGAAAGTATTGGGGACTTGATGTTTAAACATTATTTTAGTAAAAATTCCTATAACCATGTATCATCTGTAGGATTGATTTGGTACCTATTTCTCCTGTTGGACCATGAGTTCCTCCAGAGCAGAGCTTTTGTCTTAGACTATTTTATTTCTATTTCTATTTCTTTTTTTTCTTTCTTTTTTTTTTTTTTTTTGAGACAGTCTCTTGCTCTGTCACCCAGGCTGGAATGCAGTGGCATGATCTCGGCTCACTGCAACCTCTGCCTGCAGGGTTCAAATGATTCTCCTGCTTCAGCCTCCCCAGTAGCTGGGACAGGCGCATGCCACCGTACCCGGCTAATTTTTGTATCTTTAGTAGAGACAGGGTGTTGGTCAGACTGGTCTTGAACTCCTGACCTTGTGATCCGCCCACCTCGGCCTCCCAAAGTGCTGGGATTACAGATGTGAGCCACCATGCCCAGCCTAGACTGTTTTATTTCTTAAGCACTGTTTTCCTAATTTCTTAAGCACTGAGCTCCCTTAAAATTCAGCAAATGTTTGTTAATGATGATGAATATTTTACTAATTTCTTTAAAAACATATTTTCAATTGAAGTTGCAAAACCTTGGAACCTCTTAATTTATATCTTGCATAAATGACAATTTGTTAAAGTTAAGATACATTGCTGTGGAAATCTATGTATTTCTTTACTGCAAAATAGTATTAAAGGAAACTAAATGAATTTCAAGAATATGAGCTTTATAATTTAATTTTTAGGATTCGCTAAATATTGTAATGGATCAAGGAGATACACCTACACTAGAGGAAGATTTGAAGAAACTTCAGCTCTCTGAATTCTTTGATATCTTTGAGAAGGAGAAAGTAGATAAGGAAGCTCTGGTAAAAATAATCTTTTAAAACTTTATGCCAAGCCATTTTCAGTATTTTTGTTTATCGTGTTTACTAAGAGCCTACCCTTTAGACACTTTTTAGTCATAAATACTTTATGATTAATGTTCCTTAGCATTATTTATTTGCTTTTTATCATATCAAGTGACCTTTGCTTTGTGGAAGTTCAAAGGTCAGATGGCCATATTGATATTCATAGAGCAATGGAGCAGACTAACCAGTACGGCTCATAGAAAACATGAGTGCAAGAACAAACAAATAAATAACCATTAGCTATTCCAACTCTAATTTTCTGTTGTACTTTCAAGAGCTCTACTGTTATTTGCGAGTAGCTGGGATTACAGGTGCCCGCCACCACGCCTGGCTAATTTTGATATTTTTAGTAGAGATGGGGTTTCACTGTATTGGCCAAGCTGGTCTCTTGGCCAGGCTGGTCTGGAATTCCTGACCCCGTGATCCACCCACCTTGGCCTCCCAAAGTGCTGGGATTACATGTGTGAGCCACCGTGCCCAGCCAGCTGATTTGTTTTTTTTTTTTTTTTTCCATTTTTGTCGTGCCTTTTTCTGGTTTGTGATACATTCACTCATTTAACAGATATTTAGAAAATGCTTACTATACCAAGTACTGGATAGACTGGTGAATAAGACATATGATCCCTGACCTCATAGTGTTTATAGTTTACTGGGGAAGACACATGTTAAATAATCACACACATCATGGCAATTACAATAAGTAAGTAGGAAAAGTACACCGTGTTGTAAGAATTAACCTGGTCTCATAAGGTGCAGGAAGGCTTCCCTAATCAAATGAGTGATAGCTGGCTGGGTGTGGTGGCTCATGCCTGTAATCCCAGCACTTTGGGAGGCCGAGGTGGGCAGATCACGAGGTCAGGAGTTCGAGACCAATCTAGTCAACATGGTGAAACCCTGTCTGTACTAAAAATACAAAAATTAGCTGGGTGTGGTGGCACACACATGTAGTCCCAGCTACTTGGGAGGCTGAGGCAGGAGAATCGCTTGAACCCAGGAGGTGGAGGTTGCAGTGAGCTGAGATCACACCACTGCACTCCAGCCTGGGCGACAGAGCAAGACTCCATCTCAAAAAAAAAAAAAAAAAACGATGAGTGACACTTGAGATCTTGATTGTTAGTCTGTTCCATACTTGTGTGTTTGCTGTATGTTCTCAGTGCTTGCGTTCATCAGCAGGAGTATAATCCTTCTCAGGCATGTGACATCTAAGTCAGTATAGAAATCAAGGAAGTTTTTTTGTTTTGTTTTGTTTTTTTGAGACGGAGTCTTGCTCTGTTGCCCAGGCTGGAGTGCAGTGGCGCGATCTCGGCTCACTGCAAGCTCTGCCTTCCGGGTTCACGCCATTCTCCTGCCTCAGCCTCCTGTGTAGCTGGGAATACAGGTGACTGCCACTGCGCCTGGCTAATTTTTTTTGTATTTTTAGTAGAGACGGGGTTTCACCATGGTCTCCATCTCCTGACCTCATGATCCACCCGCCTCGGCCTCCCAAAGTGCTGGGATTACAGGCGTGAGCCACCGCGCCTGGCCAGAAATCAAGGAAGATTTTTATGTCCTGAAGTCCTTAGATACCCAACTTCTCTGTTTTTTTTTTTTTTTTTTAACAATAACAATGTCTATATTATTGTAACATTGATATTATAAGTATTGATATTTTCTATTCTTTTTTAGGCTGTTTCATGAATAAAACAGGTCCTTTTTTCTGGAAGTTATTCTATGATGTTTTACTACTAGAGAGACAGGCAGCAACAGAGTGCCTAGGCCTTGTTCCTCTTAGGGGACAGGATTGATTTTATTTTGTCTAGAAATAAGAAAGACTTGATTTTCTATGCCTAGGCTTTATGTACAGACCGAGATCTTCAGGAAATAGGAATTCCTTTAGGACCAAGAAAGAAGATATTAAACTATTTCAGCACCAGAAAAAACTCAATGGTATGTGCCTAATACAGCTTGTTGGACTAAACAATTCTTTGATGTCCATAGTGTGTCCTTGTGCTTTGTGGGATGTTTACTCTGGGGAGCCAAGCAGTTTTTTGGTAATTGATCTTTGGCTCTTTTTTTTTGAGACAGGGTCTCGCTCTGTCACTCAGGCTGGAGTGCAGTGGTGTGATCCCAGCTCATTGCAACCTCTGCCTCCCGGGTTCAAGCGATTCTCCTGCCTCAGCCTCTCGAGTAGCTGGGACTACAGGCGCCCACCACCATGCCTGGCTAATTTTTGTATTTTTAATAGAGACGGTGTTTCACCATATTGGCCAGGCTGGTCTCAAACTCCTGACCTTGTGATCTGCCCGCCTTGGCCTCCCAAAGTGCTGGGATTACAGGTGTGAGCCACCCGCCTGGCCGATCTTTGGCTCTCTTTCTAGAAATTAAACACATTTTCTTTTTTACATTCTTTTTTTTTTCTTTTCCTGGAAATGAAATCTCGCTGTGTTGCCCGGGGTGGAGTATAGTGGGTGGTCTCGGCTCACTGCAACCTCCACCTTCCAGGTTCAAGCAATTCTCCT
The DNA here is from genome assembly GCF_000001405.40 of Homo sapiens. NCBI lineage: Eukaryota > Metazoa > Chordata > Mammalia > Primates > Hominidae > Homo > Homo sapiens. The sequence continues at coordinate 38,250,376 of NC_000008.11, forward strand.
GCTTCATCCTCTTGAGTAGCTGGGATTCCAGGTGTGCACCACCATGCCCAGCTAACTTTTTGTATTTTTAGTAGAGACGGGGTTTCACTATGTTGGCCAGGCTGGTCTTGAACTCCTGACCTCAGATGACCCATGTGCCTCAGCCTCCCAAAGTGCTGCACCGCTCCTGGCCCTTCTTTTTTTACATCCTTAAAAGTATTATTAGCTTCAGAAGTCTTCTCTCCTCTGGAATTCTCCTACCATTTATTTATTTATTTATTTTTTGCTTTTTTCTTTTCATGAGAGTTTTACCAATATCTACTTCACATCACATACCATAAAATTCACCCTTTTAAAGTTTACAATTTAATGGTTTTTAGTATATTCATAGAGTTATGTAACCATTACCACTATCCAATTTCAGCACATTTCCATTGTCCCTTAGGGAAACCCCATACCCATTTGCTGTCACTCCCCATTGCTCCCTGCCCCCAGCCTCTGTCAACCACTAATCTACTTTCTGTTTCTACAGATTTGCTTATTTTGGACATTCCATATAAATGGAATGTCCTTTTGAGCCATGTGTCTGACTTCTTTCACTTAGCATAATATTCTGAAGGTTTACCTGTGTTAACAGTACTTCCACATTCAGTTTTTCTGGTCACTGAATTTCTAACTCCATATCTTATTAGTTAGTTTTTTTCTTTTTGAGTCGGAGTGTTGCTCTGTCGCCCAGGATGGAGTGCAGTTGCACGATCTTGGCTCAATTGCAACCTCCGCCTCCTGGATTCAAGTGATTCTCCTGCTTCAGCTTCCTGAGTAGCTGGGATTACAGACACGCGACACCACACCCAGCTAATTTTTGTATTTTTAGTATGGGGTTTCACCATGTTGGCCAGGCTGGTCTTGAGCTCCTGACCTCAAGTGATCCGCCCACCTCAGCCTCCCAAAGTGCTGGGATTACAGGCGTGAGCCACCATGCCTGGCCAGTAGTTAGTTCTTTTCCAACTTTTTAGCAGGTGGCTCATTTCTTTTTAAAGACTCAGTTCTTGGCCCAGCCCATCGACATCCTACTTCCCTTGATTACAGAGGCACAGCACTTCATAGAACTCTAGCAATCCTCAGCATTATCTTCCCACAGTGCCCTGCTATTGTTTTCTCTTATGATTGTTGCCTAAAGTTTCAACGCTACTGAAATGGCTATGTACAACTTTCATCATTTTAGAGCATCTAAGAATGTCAATTAACAATTTAAGGCAATAATTTAATCTTGTTTTCTGAGGAAATCTTCCTAGAATTTTTGGCTGCCATTTCAGAACTTTCCCAAGGGTCCTTTCAAACCAGTAGAAAACTATATAATCCTTTGGCTATACTTTTACTATATAGTAGCTCCCCATACTTTTTTTTTAAATAGAGACTATGTTGCCCACGTTGGACTTGAACTCTTGGGCTTAAACAATCCTACCTACCTACCTACCTCAGGGTCCTGAGTAGCTGGGACTACAGGTGCATGCCGTCATGCCCAGCTTCTCCACATAACTATTTTTTATTCTTTAGGGTATTAAGAGACCAGCCCCGCAGCCTGCTTCAGGGGCAAACATCCCCAAAGAATCTGAGTTCTGCAGTAGCAGTAATACTAGAAATGGTGACTATCTGGATGTTGGCATTGGGCAGGTAACTAATTCTCTTTGATCATTTTACAGCCTGCTATTTGTATGGTAGAAACAGATGTAACTTTTGTTATTAATGAGAGATGCTTTTATTTTCCTCCTTTGAGGTGTCTGTGAAATACCCCCGGCTCATCTATAAACCAGAGATATTCTTTGCCTTTGGATCTCCCATTGGAATGTTCCTTACTGTCCGAGGACTAAAAAGAATTGATCCCAACTACAGATTTCCAACGTGCAAAGGTTTCTTCAATATTTATCACCCTGTAAGCATTGTACAGCTATTGTGGTTTTACCTAAATATCAGGGCTTATTGTTAAAGAACATAGGATTTTCTGTTGTGTTGATTTTTTTTTCCTATTCCATTGTCTAGCAATGAGACAACTTATAATAGTATTGATTTGGAAGTGATGGAGCAGAACTGTACATTTTTTTAAATGAACTTATGATTATTGTTTAAGATACATAGTTCTGGTTGTACATGGTGACTAATGCCTGTCATCCCAGCACTTTGGGAGGTCAAGGCAGGAGGATTGCTTGAGCCTAGGAGTTGAAGGCTACAGTGAGCCATGATTGCACCACTGCACTCCAGCCTGGGTGACAGAGCGAGACCTCATCTCAAAAAAAAAAAAAAAAAAGTTATATAGTTTCCAGACTGTGCTTAGCAGAGGTAAATGTAGCTCTTGTTTTTCCTATGTAGTTTGATCCTGTGGCCTATAGGATTGAACCAATGGTGGTCCCAGGAGTGGAATTTGAGCCAATGCTGATCCCACATCATAAAGGCAGGAAGCGGATGCACTTAGGTAAGTCCGAGCATAGAACTTGATAATTCTAGACCTTTTGGCCAGTGCAAAGGGCATCATTCACTCTGTTCAGCTATGTTGGACCCTAAGCTCTTTGTAAATCATTTAATGTTCTTTATTTATATGTTTCAGAACTGAGAGAGGGCTTGACCAGGATGAGTATGGACCTTAAGAACAACTTGCTAGGTTCGCTGCGGATGGCCTGGAAGTCTTTTACCAGAGCTCCATACCCTGCCTTACAAGCTTCAGAAACACCAGAAGAAACTGAAGCAGAACCTGAATCAACTTCAGAGAAGCCTAGTGGTCAGTGACACTGTACACATTGACCAGCTGCCAGATAAGAGGGATGCCATGGTGTGGCGTTTTTCATAGTTAATTTAATTTAATTTCACATTTAATTTCATAGTTAATATTGCATTCTTTTGCTTTAGTTTTCAACTTCTAAAGAGCTCTATTCCTGCTTGCATTTAGTATAAACCCAAGGCAAATGACCTAGCTATCAATGGTATAGGTAATGAGATGTGTTGCGCAAAAGCAAAAAAGGGGATTGGACAAAATTACTGTGACCTGAGAAGGAGCTTGAAGGAGATTGAGAGGAGGAAGATGGGAGAGAGCTCTCTGAACAGAGAGTAGCTCATTCTCTGGTAAACTTGGAGTGTGAGGAGAAGTTAACAGGATAACCCTGAAGGCCAAAAGGTTTTAGATTCTTATTATGGTTCTTCCATATCCAGATGTTAACACAGAAGAGACCTCTGTGGCAGTTAAAGAAGAAGTCCTGCCTATCAATGTGGGGATGCTGAATGGAGGCCAACGCATTGACTATGTGCTACAGGAGAAGCCTATTGAAAGTTTTAATGAGTATTTATTTGCTTTACAAAGCCATCTATGCTACTGGTAAATGTTGTTTATTTTTGTCTGTTTTGTTTGTTTACCTGTTTCATAGATATTTGATAGATGTAGAAAAAGGAGGATAGGCCAGGTGCATTGGCTCAGGCTTATAATCTCAGCACTTTGGGAGGCCAAGGTGGGAGGATTGCTTGAGTTCAGGAGTTTGAGACCGGCCTGGGAAACATAGCAAGACCTCATCTCTACAAAAACTAAATTAGCTGGGCGTGGTGGTATGCGCTTATAGTCCCAGCTACTTGGGAGGCTGAGGCAGGAGAGTCACTTGAGCCCAGGAGTTTGAGACCACAGTGAGCCATGATCACACCACTGCACTCTAGCCTGGGTGACAGAGCAAGACCCTGTCTCAAAAAAAAAAAAAGACCTGTGTACCTTTGGAATTAAAATGACTTCTCATTTAGACAGCACAAGCACAATCATGTCATTTCAAGAATCTGGTTTAAACACACTGTTGTTTTATTTTGCAGCTGGGTAGAACATGGTTGAGGCTAATGATGCCAACAACCATAAGTTCAATTATCTTGGTGTTAAAAATGTGTCTTTTGGCCATTTAGGTGCACATGAATGAACTGGAACAAATATTACTGTTGCTGGAAGTCTTATAGCAAACCCATTTGAAAGCATTTATGGTAGCTGTGACAGAATTAATTATTATTATTTTATCATTATTTGAGACAGGGTCTTGCTGTGTCACCCAGGCTGGAGTGCAGTGGCATGCTCATGGTTCACTGCAGCCTTGACCTCCTGGACTCAAGTGATCCTCCCCCCTCAGTCTCCCTAATAAGTAGGATGACCGTTGTGCACCACCATGCCCAGCTAATTTTTGTACAGACAGGGTTTCGCCATGTTGCCCAGGCTGGTCTAAACTTCAAGCAATCAATCCGCCTCCACCTCTGCCTCCCAAAGTGCTGGAATTACAGGCATGAGCCACCACGCCTGGGCAGAATTATTATTAAATATAATTGGTTACCTGATGGATTGTAGAATGGATTAATGATGCTTATTGAAATTCAGGCCGGGTATGGTGGCTCATGCTTATAATCCCAGCACTTTGGGAGGCCGAGGAAGGAGGATTGCTTGAGGCCAGGAGTTGAAGGCTGCAGTGAGCCATGATGGTGCCACCGCACCCTAGCCTGAGTGACAGAGCGAGACCATGTCTGAAAAAAAATAGTATAAAATAATACTAATTAATCCCTGAAGAAGTTGACATAAAAATAAAGTAAGGGAAATAAGATGGGTCAGAGATAAGTGTTTTAAAAATGAAAGCTCAGACCAGCATGGCCAACATGGCGAAATCCTGTCTCTACCAAAAATACAATTAGCCAGGTGTGGTGGTGCATGCCTGTAGTCCCAGCTACTAGGGAGGCTGAGACAGGAGAATTGCCTGAACCTGGGAGGCAGAGGTTGCAGTGAGCGAGATCACGGCCACCGCAGTCCAGCCTGGGTGACAGAGCGAGACTCCATCTCAAAAAAAAAAAAAAAAAAAGCAAGCTCAAAGGTCCTAAGAATAATTTTTCCCTTGAATTCTGATGAGGAATTATCATCTGATGCAATCACTATCGTTTGTATATAATATATACAGTAGAGGCCAAAAGCAATCTTGTAAGGGGCTAAAATAATGCTAAGAATGATCTCTGGTGATCTGGCTTGATAGAAAAGAAAGCAGAGTTCTTTTAATATTTCTGTGTGGGCAGTACATTCATATGGTTTGAAATTCAAAGAAAGAAAAATAATGAAAAGCCTCTTTTTTATTTTGTTTCTTGCAATCAGTTTCTTCCCCATATACAACTAATGTAAAATGTCTTCCAGCCATCTATTTTATGCCTCCATAATAAATATATGTATGTGAATATATTCTTTCCCTTATTTTAAAAACATAAATAGTAAATTAAAGGCAATGTTCTGTGCCTTGTTTTTTCTACTAGTATATCTTGGCATTTTTTAACCTATTATATGTTGTTTCCTCATTTTTTTTTTTAGCTGCATAGTCTTCCGTTATGTAAATACACCATAATTTATTTAAGCCGTCCTCTACTCATGGACTTTCAGGTTTCCTTTTCTTTTGCACACACCTTGTTCATGTCATTTCACCTACTCATGAGTATATCTGTAATGTAAAATACTTCGAATTGAAATCAATGGCATAAAGGGTATATACATTTGTAAAATTTGATAAATATTGACAAATAAGAGGTTGTACCTTTTTATACTCCCAGCAATAATGTACGAAAGTGTGTGTTTCTCCACAGCTTTTCCAACAGTTTTAATATTTTTAAATCTTTGCCAATTTGTTGGGTGAAAATGTACAATATACTGTACATATTAAAAGAATACACATTTGATGAGTTTTGACATGTATACACCTGTGAAGCCATCACTACAATCAACTTAACATATTCATCACTCTCAAAAGTTTCCTTGTGCCTTTTGTAATCCCTCCCTTCTTTTCTCTTCCCCACTCCTCCTAATTTCCAGGGAGCCACTGCTCTGTTCTGCCACTGTAGATTAGTTTGCTTATGACTTGTATTTGGAATCCTACAGTATATACTTTTGTTGTTTGGCGTTTAGCTTATTTATTTATTTATTTATTTTTTTGAGATAGTCTTGTTCTGTCATCCAGGCTGGAGTGCAGTGACACAATCATGGCTCACTGTTGCCTAGATCTCTGGGCTCAAGGGATCCTCTTAGGCTCAAGGGATCCTCCCATCTCAGCCTCCCAAGAAGCTGGGACTGCAGGCATGTGCCACTGGGCCTAATTTTTTTTAAATTTATTTTCGTAGAGATGGGGTCTCACTATGTTGCCCCTGCTGGTGTCAAACTCCCGGCCTCAAGCAGTCCTCTTGCTTTGGCCCCCCAAGCTGTTGGTATTATAGACATGATCAATGTTGTGTATATCAATAGCATATCCTTTTTATTGCTGAGTAGTATTCCATTATATGGATATATCAGTTTGTCCATTTACCTGTTGATGGATATTTTGATAGTTTCCAGTTTTTGGCTATTAACAAAGCTGCTAGGAACATTCATGTATAAGACTTTACATGGACATATTCTTGGGTAAATAGGAATGGAATGGGTGGATACTATATGGAAGTGTATTTTTAAAAGAAACTGCCAAACTGTTTTGCCACCAGCAGTTTACATCTCCATCAGCAGTGTTTGAGAGTTTCAGTTGCTCCACATCAACTTTTTTTTATTTTTTATTTTTATTTTTGTGAGGCAGTCTCACTCTATCACCCAGGCTGGAGTGCAGTGGTGCGATTATAGCTCACTGCAGCCTTGACCTTGGACTCAAGCCATCCTCCCATCTCAGCCTCCTGAGCAGCTGGGAGTAGCTAGGACCACAGGTGTGTAACACTATGCCCAGCTAATTTTTCAAATTTTTTTGTGGAAATGGGGTTTTGCCATGTTGCCCAGGCTGGTCTTGAACTCCTGGGCTCCAGTGATCCTCCCACTTGGCTTCCCAAAGTGCTGGGATTACAGGTGTAAGCCACCATATCTGGCCAACAAGTTTTTTTTTTTTTTTTTTTTTTTTTTTTGAGAAGGAGTCTCACTCTGTCACCCAGGCTGGAGTGCTGTGGCACGATCTTGGCTCACTGCAACCTCTGCCTCCCAGGTTCAAGCAATTCTTGTACCTCAGCTTCCTGAGTAGCTGGGATTACAGGTGTGCGCTACCATGCCTAGCTAATTTTTGTATTGTTAGTAGAGATGGGGTTTCACCATGTTGGCCAGGCTGGTCTCAAACTTCTGACCTCAGGTGATCCACCTGCCCCTGCCTCCCAAAGTGCTGGGATTACAGGCATGAGCCACTGCGCCTGCTCAAAATTTTTATTTTTATGTAATCAAATGTGTTGTCATTTGCTTTTTGGTTTCTGGAATTTGTGTCATACTCAGAAAGATCTTCCTTACTTTCCAAAAAAATTCTTACCACAGTATTTTTTTTTTTTTTTTTTTTGAGATGGAATCTCACCCTGTTGCCCAGGCCAGAGTGCAATGGTGTGATCTCGGCTCACTGCAACCTCTGCCTGCCAGGTTCAAGTGATTCTCCTGCCTCAGCCTCCCAAGTAGCCAGCATTACAGGTGTGCACCACCATACCTGGCTAATTTTGTCTTTTTAGTAGAGACAGGGTTTCACCATGTTGGTCAGGCTGGTCTCAAACTCCTGACCTCAAGTGATCCCACCTCAGCCTCCCAAAGTGCTGGGATTACAGGCGTGAGCCACTGCACCCAGCCAACACAGTATATTGTTATATATATAATTTTTTTTAGAAACAGGATCTTGCATGCAGTGGCTTCTCACAGGCATGATCTTAGTGCACTAGACCCTTGAATTCCTGGGCTCAAGCAATCCTCTTGCCTTGGCCTCCTGAGTAGTTGGGACTGCAGGTGTGCAACACCATGCCTGGCTATTCTAATATTTTATATCTAATTTTTACATATAAATCTTTGATTCAGATTCAGGTCCTTTTTTCCCCACGTCTCAACACTATTAATAGATTTGAGATTCTAAATTAAATTAATTAAATTCTTTTTTTTTTTTTTGAGACAGAGTCTTGCTGTGTTGCCCAGGCTGAAGTGCAGTAGTGCAGTAGTTGGCTCACTGCAACCTACGCCATCTGGGTTCAAATGATTTTCCTGCCTCAGCTTCTTGAGTAGCCGGGACTATAGGCATGTGCCACCATGCCCAGCTAATTTTTGTATTTTTAGTAGAGATGGGGTTTCACTATGTTGGCCAGGCTGGTCTCGAACGCCTGACCTCAGGTGATCTGCCTGCCTCGACCTCCCAGTGTTAGGATTATAGGTGTGAGCCACCGTGCCTGGCCACTTAATTAAATTCCTATACATAAATGGGACTATTTCTCAACTTCTTACTTGTTGATTTGCTTATTTATGTACCATTTTAATATCTGATAGAGCTAATTCCCACTTGTTGATACAGGAATTTCTTAAGCTGGGGTCTGTGTATATGAGTTTGTGGGAGATGAGGGAAGTCTGTGAATCCAATGAAATACACATTTATAATTGTGGTTGCAATGTGATCCTTTCTGGGGAAGAATCCGTAATTTCATTAGATTCTCAAAAGGATGCATGACTCAATAAATGTTGAACCACAGATCTAGAAGAATAATAGAGGCTTATATCCTTAAGGCAGTCCCTCATGAGTGTTAATCTTTTTAAATCAAATTTTGTTATGAAGTGTGGATATAAGTAATTGCTTGTGCATACGTAGAATAATATCTGGAAAACGCATGAGAAATTGATAACATTGGTTGTCAGAAGATGGGAACTGGTGGTGGTTGAGGAACAAAGGTGGGAGGGAGACTTCGTTACTTTCTTATATTGTTGGAATTTGGAACCTTATGATTGTATTACCTTTTCCAAAAAGTGCATAATATTTTAAAAATTAAGGTGACCAACTGGATAACTCTTCAATAGTGTCTCTAGAATGATCTCTGTGGAAAAGGAACAATTCTTGGTTATTTCTTACTGGCTTTTTTTTTTTTTGAAATGGAGTCTCACTCTGTCGCCCAGGCTGAAGTGCAGTGACACTCTGCAACCTTCGGCTCACTGCAACCTTTGCCTCCTCGGTTCAAGCGATTCTCCTGCCTCAGCCTCCTGAGTAGCTGGGACTACAGTCGCATGCTGCCACGCCTGGCTAGTTTTTTTTTTTTTTTTTTAGACGGAGTCTCGCCTATCTGCCAGGCTGGAGTGCAGTGGTGCAATCTCGGCTCACTGCAACCTCCGCTTCCTGGGTTCAAGCAATTCTTCTGCCTCAGTCTCCCCAGTAACTGGGACTACAGGCGCATACCACCACACCCTGCTAATTTTTGTATTTTTAGTAGAGATGGGGTTTCACCATATTGGCCAGGCTGGTCTCAAACTCCTGACCTTGTGATCCACCCACCTTGGCCTCCCAAAGTGCTGGGACTACAGGCGTGAGCCACCGTGCCCAGCCCTAGTTTTTGTATTTTTAGTGGAGATGGGGTTTCACCATGTTGGCCAGGCTGGCTCAAATTCCAGACCTGTAGTGACTTGTCCACCTCAGCCTCCCAGAGTGTTAGGATTACAGGCATGAGCCACCGCACCTGGCCTCTCTTCCTAGCTTTTTTATATTACTAGACTTAATGCCAGAGTTCTTTGCCAGGTCACCTTCCAAACCACTGCCAATTACATTACTTCTGAATCTCATTTCTTTGCAGAAGTAAAAAATAAACTTGCAAGATGGTTGTATGGATTAAATGAGATAATATATGTAAAACATTTGGCACAAGTGTTAGTTCCTTTTCTCAACATAATTTTTTCTCTTTATAGGGAGTCTGAAGATACAGTATTGCTCGTCCTCAAAGAGATCTACCAAACCCAGGGTATCTTCCTTGATCAGCCTTTACAGTAAAAATGACCCATCTATGGCTGCTTAATGTAAGTTTTAAAATGTCATATATATAGTGTAATTCTTACATATTAACATGTTATAATGAACTATGGAGCCTCAAGCTCTTTTTAAATATACTAGCTGTTGCCTGTCACCAAGATCTAGGCTGCTATTCATTTTTAGAGGGACTGGTAGAAATTCATGGGGAAAAAAACACAGTAGCCCATTTAGAGGAAGATTAGTGTATGTCTGTTTTGCTAGAGATTTTGTCCAATGACACCTGTCATTTTTTAGGATCTAAACTCAGAGTTTTAATGGTTCTGTTATCTAAGAGTTACTGTGGCAACAGTTATGATTTTAATTACCAACCACCCATCCTGAGATTTAAATTACTCAGCCTTTTAGATGTGAAATTACAAAGTCTGTGTATTCGACTCTGGCATTCTCTGTGGTTGCCTTCCAGTTGTGACTGCAGCTCTTCTCCCACTTTCTTCCCTAGACGGACATTGAGGGATCCTTCCCCAGAAAATCCACCTGTTTGTTGCTGCAATTTTCCTCTCCTCAGCTGCGTCATTTCCTGCATGTTGCCTGCCACTTACTCACCACTGGGGTCTTTGGAAGATAATCTTCCTCTTTGGAAATGAATGGAAAAGCAAAAGGCCCTATTACTTTTAACCACTGGCTTCATATAAACACTTGCCATTTTTTTCTGCATAGCTGGGGGTGGTTTGTGTCTTTAATTCTTTGATGATAGTTTATAGTTGCCACACTTTATTGATTAGTACTTGACAGGGTGTAAAGCCTATTTTGGGTTTGATTTGTTTTGGGTGGGGTAGACATGTTTTTAAGGAACTTATTGCTTATCTTTAGAAAATGTTCTAGTTTGGAAACAGATTCTTGAGATTCAGAAGGCATTTTGGAGTACACTTATCTCTTGTTTGTGTTGAACTGAAGGCTAAGTCTCAGTGGACATGGAAAAGACTTTTGGGTGATTTATTTTTGAACCTGCATTTCTTTCTTATGTGTAGTGTATGAAGAAAGACTAGAATGTAGCTTTAAAAAAGTGTTGTTTACTCTCTTAGAACTGACAGACTTATTGCCAGAAATCACTGATGTTCATTGTTTTTGCAACTGTTTGAGCTGCTGTAAGAGTCTAAAGTTGACAAGTTAGTTCATGTTAGGTGCATCTTTATAAAGCAAAGATGTTGTATATCCTAGGCCTCCCTTTTATATTTGATAGAAGTTATTTGCTAATAGCTTCTATTCTTACGTTGAAAATAGTTGTAAAAGCTGATGAACCTGAAATTGTGTAGCCTCTACAGGCTGCTGAGGTTCTAAATAAAACCTTTTAGTGGTGCCTTTATGGTGAAACAGAATTTGTCACCTGCCATTTCTACTTGAGCTAAGGTAGTATTGTGTATCCTCTTTCCTTCTTAGGTATCCATAATCCACAAAGCATATTTAAAAGGCTCTTGGCACGGGCAGCATTGGTTGAGCAGGTAGGTTTGGCTAGGGGGAAATGTTTAACTTGTTCTGAAAGAAAAACTTATGTCTGTAGGGTCCAAGAAACAGCTATTCCAGAGTCAGTGTCAGCTGAGTCTGGAACATATGAAGTGAGGTTTACTTCTAAGAACACAAGTGACTGCACACTAATTTTGTCAAGGCATCTTTTCACTACTTTGCTGTAGATTTTTCTTCTTCATTGGTCAGTTTGTCATTGTCTTTGTAGTTCTCTTTATGATAATCCTTTATACTTGCTCTCAGATTCCACAGGCCTCTGTTTATAGAGTGGCAAAGGCAGGCGAGCTGTGGTTTATTGTTTATAAATTTTTTTATAAATGTTATGGTATTCAAAGCCACTGACATTTAATATTTACTGAAGCCATTCCTTAGACAGCAGTGGTCTTTATCCCTTTCTGGAAAGAAAAGGAAAATGAAGGGTAATTACTGTCACCATGGAGATTGTAGAGGTAAGGTTGGGGTATAGGTCAGGCCTGGCCTTTCTTTGTCATCTGCTTATAGTCTAGTGCTAAGTATGCCACTAAGTTTCAGATATATGGAATACTTTATTTTTTTAAAGGTATATAAACTCTGAGTTATTGAGAATTAAGTATTCACTGTATATTAAGGGGAAGCTTTTGCCAAGTTGTGGTCTTCAAATTTATGTTTACTCTTCCTATTGGCAGAATAGGTGCTATTTAAGAGTAAACCAAAGGATAAGCAGAGGGAGTCCCTATAACCAAAGATGGACAGCATAGCCCTGGATAGCCAGATAAACCACTCTTTGTATTAAGAAATGTTTCTTTCCTAGTGGTGAGGGGTGGGTAACTGTGAAAGAGCTTTATATCTTGTCTATTCATGGTATTATAGCTGTATATTCCCAGGATGATAAGCTTGATTGAAATCCTGTATTTAGTCATATATTATTTGCGCTGCTTCATTTGTATCATGTGCAATCTCTAGACCAACCCTATTTTTAAACTCTGGTACAGCATCATTTTGTACATATTCCCAGCTGCAGAACTAGTATCACTTATCTCAGCAAAAGAGATTGTTTGCATGGAAAGATTAATAGCACTGATTAGATTTCTAATATTTTGCATTTTTGAAATGTTTGTTTTCTACGTGATTATATTTAAAACTTTAGTAAATACTAACATGAAACCATATTGACTAGTGGCCTACTTTTACCTGGACTCACCCGTCTCAAAGTCAAGAAAATCAGTACAGTCACGATTTTCTCTGTCTTTATGTATTACTAAAACAAAAAAATAGGTTTTGGGCAAAGAACTAATATGTAAGTTCTTTCCTGTTGACTGGTATTTTAATTGTCATAGGCAGAATTTAAGTTCAGAATTTAAAGCATGGCAATTATAAGAGACTTTCCTTTGGTATTTATAAATATTAGCCAGTACTATAGATAACAGCAGTTGAATCACTTAGGGCGGATGGGGAATTCAATGTTTTGCTTTACTAAAGTTCCAGCCCCTTAATGTACTTTAAATATTTAAAAAAGCACACATTTACCATTTTATTTGAATATCAGGTTTACTGAAGGAAAAAGATACATTGAAAATATAGGAACATACACATAAAAGACAATGTCATATTTAAAGTATAATCACAATAAAGAGAAAGGGAGCTGTAGGTCCTATGGCATCCATTCTGATGACATCCCATAATTGTTCCTTATATTCCATTGTGAAGAAGGGGCAGAAAAAGATTCATCTGTCCTTCAGATGACGATACCTGTCATTTTTCTTTTCTACCTTAGTCACTTGGCAGTGTTGGTGCATTTGAGCAGATCTTCAGTCATGAATGGAAGGAAAGAAGCTCACAAGTACAGTTATGGTCAAATGAGGTAGAAACAGTCATCTGTTAGTAGTGCTGAAACCACACTCCTGACCATTTTCTTCTTTATTATTGTTTTCACTTAGTAATTCAACAAATTGTTTATGCCCACGGTGTTCAAAATGCACAGCAGTACCAGATGGCTGGACTCAGATAAGATGCACACAAAAGTGATAAATTACCCTAGATTCGACATTTTCCTATTTAAGGCTTGATGGAATTGTCATCAGAGAAGGTAAACAGAATCAAAGTAATTTAGTTGGCCATGCCCTAGATTTTAAGATTTTGAGCTATATGAAATGGAAATTAAGTTTTGATAATGAACTCTAGCTTCTGAGACAAGGTGGGGCTATGTAAAGGCTTCTTTGTGACAAGATCCTTCTAAGAATGGCATTTAAATTAAATGTAAAAACACTGTAGATCTTCAGATATTAATCTGATAGACCAGATTCATAAGGTGTTGGACACCTTTGAAAGATCCTTTTACTAGAACATGTGGCATACAGTAGTGGAAAAGAACCGTAACTCCTCAAGATAGATGAGCAGGGGCAAAAGTGTGTAATCATTTGGAGGCAGAATACAGTGTGGCTTATGTCCTCACTTGCACCTTGGAAGGGGAAAAAAAGGCTAGAATTTCTTGTCTTGTGCATGGTCCGGTTAGGAGGGCTAGTTCACCTGTTCTCTATTGAGATAGATTCAATTTTTTTTTTTTTTGAGATGGGGTCTCACTCTGTTGCCTAGGCTGGAGTGCAGTGGTGCGATCTCGGCTCACTGGAACCTCCAGCTCCCAGGTTCAAGCAATTCTCCTACCTCAGCCTCCCAGGTAGCTGGGATTACGGCACACAACTCCTGGCTAATTTTTGTATTTTTAGTAGAGACAGGGTTCACCATGTTGGCCAGGCTGGTCCTGACCTCAGGTGATCCACCCTCCTCAGCCTCCCAAAGTGTTGGGATTACAGGCATGAGCCACCACGCCCGGCCAGATTCAATTTTTAAATATCAAAACAATAAGAATCCCCAGGCTTCTGTGCAGTGGAAAGTACAAGTTTGTCTTGAAATGGTTTATGGCATTCTGCATCAGTCAGAGGAGGATAATACTGCCGATAGCAGACATAGGCAAATGTCATTCCAATCATGGATCCAACTAGTACATCTGAAGAGAGTGGAAACAAGGTCTTCTCTTAATATTAGGCTCCTAAATCCTATTACATACACATAGCATAGAGGACCTGGCCCTCCAGGATACTCTACTGTGGGGCTAAAATAACCTCAATTCCAGACTTATGATTTCTAAATAAAATCTTTTTATTCTCAATTTTATCATAGTTACAGTATTATCATTGTCAGGTTGCTTTCTGAACACCAAATCAAAACACATCTTAAGTAAGTATAATAAGCTTTGTTCAGAGTGTACTAAATTAGAATTTTTCTAACTCAGAAGAGTAACAAAGGTCCACTTATTGCTATTCATCTGCCCATTTTCACCATTTAAAGGGTCCTAGAGGAAGGAATAAAGTATTTTAAGAGTTGCTTCTCGCCGGGCACGGTGACTCACGCCTGTAATCCCAGCACTTTGGGAGGACCAGGCAGATGGATCCCGAGGTCAGGAGATTGAGACCAGCCTGACCAACAAGTGAAACCCTGTCTCTACTAAAAATACAAAAATTAGCCGGGCGTGGTGGCATGTGCCTGTAATCCCAGATACTCAGGAGGCTGAGGCAGGAGACTTGCTTGAACCCAGGAGGTGGAGGTTGCAGTGAGCCGAGATGGTGCCACTGCACTCCAGCCTGGGCGCAGAGCTAGACTCTGTCTCAAAAAAAAAAAAAAAAAAAAGAGTTGCTTCTCTTTGCAAAAAACTAGTTTATTTAAAAATTTAAAATAGGGTTCCTGAGGACCTGTGGGCAATACCTCCAGCGTTTTTTTTGGAATTGTGTCAGGTTCAAGCCATTCTCCTGCCTCAGCCTCCCAAGTAGCTGGGATTAAAGGCGTGTGCCACCATGCCCAGCTGATTTTGTATTTTTAGTAGAGATAGCGTTTCACTGTTGGTCAGGCTGGTCTTCAACTCCTGACCTCAGGTGATCCACCTACCTCACCTTCCCAAAGTGCTGTGATTACAGGCATGAGCCACTGCACCTGGCCTCAATTTTTGTATTTTTAGTAGAGACGGGGTTTCAATATGTTGGCCAGGCTGGTCTCGAATTCCTGACTACAGGTGATCCGCCTGCCTCAGCCTCCCAAAGTGCTGAGGTGTGAGCCACCGCGCCAAGCCAGGTGTTCTGTAATTTGGATATTTTACTTACTATAGCATTCAGCTTAAATTTGTTTGGTTTAATTATAATTTTATGTTTTCTTGAATTTTACTTATGTTTTTGAACAAAAGTCCTATGACAATGAACCTGATTTTTAAGAGAGTAAATTGAACTTTGAGGTTTTAAATTTCCTGTAGATGCAGTTTAACTTGAACTTACAATGCTTCAAATAATGGAAAAATTAGGATGTTTATCTTTGGTAAACTCTTTTTGTCTTATCTTTCCTATAATTTTAAATGTACTTAGTACAGAACCCAGACCATCCATACTCATTAATTTGTTCATTCAGCAGATATTTAGTAAGCATCTCCTCTGTGCTAGGTGCTAGGAATAAAATGAGTGAAATATGCAAGCTTCCATAGCCTGAGTACTTTGCTTACCTTGCCAGTGATGCTTGTAGTCACATGTGCGGGACAGTGCAATCACAGCTGCAAAAAGTAGAGGTGACAGAAAGGCACAGAACCTCCAAGATTTCCCACGGCCTTGTGGTGTGAAGCAGTGTAACTTCCCTGCCAGGTAGAAGGACGCAAAGGCCAGACCAGCAAATGCAACTGGAACAAGAAAAACTTTTAAGTGGTTTGTCTTTTAAAGGAAGCTACCTCATTCATCCCCACATAGGAGGCTAGGAAGCATGAGTATGTTTTTATTTATTTATTTTTTGAGACAGTCTTGCTCTGTCGCCCAGGCTGGAGTGCAGTGGCACCATCTCGGCTCACTGCAACCTCCACCACCCGGGTTCAAGCGATTCTCCTGCCTTAGCCTCCCGAGTAGCTGGGACTCCATGTGTGTGCCACCATGCCCAGCTAATTTTTTTATTTTTAGTAGAGTTGGGATTTCACCATGTTGGCTAGCCTGGTCTTGAACTCCTGGCCTCAAGTGACCTGCATGCCTTGGCCTCCCAATTGCTGGGATTACAGGTATGAGCCACCACACCCGGCCATGAGGGTGTTTTAATCCTTTTTTGTGTATACTTATAGTGTAAGTCATTGTGAAGGAAAGGGAAACAAAAAGAAAAATGAAGGACTTAGTGCCCCAAAGTTAATGTTTTATCTGAGTATAGTTTTCGGTATACTAGCTATATGTATCAACTTGTTGATGCTTTAGTTTCCTCATCTATAAATGGGACTCATAAATACAATAGTCCCCACCTCATTGGATTATTGTGAGCTATAATTAGGTAAGAAATGAAAATGCTTCAAAGTACCTGACACATAGAAACTCTTCGTTAAAGGTATTTTTATTGCTAGTACAAGATTGCAGGATCTAGGCAAATAATATAACAATTAAATGTGCAAATCTCATGAAGGTAAACTACCTTTCTGTTCTGTAATATTTACCCAAATAGTCAAGGCTCAGACTTGTTAAACTGTGGAGTTACTAAAGAAGGGGGGATTTTCCAAATTGTAGAAACAAGAGTAGTCAGATTTTCCCATCCCTACTAGCTTTCTAGGTTAAATTCAATGATGTGAAAACAAGCATAGGGTAGAGTCCATATGATATTCATACAGGAAGAATGTCCACTGGGGAAGCTCTTTCGGCCCTCATTCACCACGTCCTTATCCCCTGTACACATCAAGTCAGAATGGGCTAGCCCATCAGGGAAGCAGCGGTAGAAGAAATCTGGGCGTGGCCTGGAAGAAAGCAGCATGGTTGGAACGTAAATCATTAACTCCAGAAATTATTTTTCAGTTGTAGCAGACATTAATAATCCTGTTAACTATTGGTCAAATAGTGCCCCAGGCAAAATAAGGTAACTGGCTTAGTATAGTCACCACACTAAGAGAAAAGCCTTTCAAGGTGAGCATTTAAATTAGGGGAAAAACGCCCATTCCAGCACATGATTACTTTTTAGGGCAAACAGCAAATGACACTGCAGCTTCAGGAGGTGCTCAAGAGGACACTGACCGACTGCTGTGGCCGTTGGTGGGAAATGCTGTTCAGGCAGAAAAGAGCCCAGGTGTCACCTGGAGGACTGAGGTATGGGGAAGGGAGTAAGCGTTGAATGACAAAAGAAAAATCAGAGTGAAGATAAAGGAGAAAAGAATGAGAAAGACGTGTGGTGGACACCATTAACCTCTCTGTTCTGGTGGGTAAGGGCTGAGGCAGATGCTGGGGTGGTTAGCTGTTGTCACTTACCTCCCTACGATCAGTTTTATTGTGTTGGTAAAGACGCCATTCAGAGCCAGGGCAAGGCTGGCAGCTGCAAAGCAAAGCCATTAGTTGAAAGGATCTGTCTAGGAGGAAAGGTATGGTCATGGCCTCGTTATGAGAGCAGCCGTGCTGTTTCTGAGATGGATAGAATCCAACCAGGCCTGGGCACAAAAATAATTAGGGTCCTCAGTGATCACTCTTTTGTAGCCGAGAACTTTTGTACTAGGCCAAAGACATTTCTGAGGTACAAATAACCCAGTGCATTTAGGCACAGGGCTGCCTGCCGTGTAGCCTGCGTAACCAAGTCCCTGCAGTGCTATTTTCCTCTCCCGCGGGGATAGAGTTCCTTTAGGAATGCAGAACTCAGTGGCCTCCACACAGGCTCACCGTGGCTGAATCCCACAACGACCTCCTAGGTTCCCAGCACGAAGAAACCGGCCCGAAAGGGCTAGCGCTCACCCAGGCAGGCTTGTCTGCTGTCTCTTGTGTCTGCCTTCTTGAGAAATTTGGCCAGGAAGATCAGAGACAGTGGAGAGAGAAATGCAATAACCTGAATCAGAATGTCAGAGGTTAAAAACAATCCAAAAAAAAGCCACACTCGTGCTCCTACAGGAAAGAGGGATGTGACACAGCAGGACTCACTGGAGCTAACATAAGGTCTCTGAGTGCGCGTAACCGGGCGCCAGGCAGCGCCACCAGTGAACAGCAGCGCCCGTGCGGCTCGGGCCCCGGTACCTCAGGCTGAGGCACAGAGCGCCCGGGAAAACGTTGTCTCAGCCCAAAGAGGCTCGGACACCCTCCTCTCTCAATCAGGATCTTAAACACTCGAGCCCTAGGAGGCGGAACCCAGCGCACAGCAGCGGAGTGGGCAGTGGGTCCCTACAAAGGCCGTCTCGGGGTGGAAAACGCACAGGTGCCCGCGGGAAGCCGGGTCATGGGGAGGGAGGAAAGACGATCTTTCTCCACGCACAAACATCGGCTTGGTGGGGAAATACTCCGCCTCCACGTAGGGGTTCCGGTAGAGCCACATCTCCTCCGGCTGGATGAGTCTCTGGAACGGGGGGAGCAGCTCCGTCACCCTAGAGGGGAACAAAGAAGCGCAGAGCAGGTCGCCTGGCTTCCTCCCCGCTTCCCCACTGCCCGACCCGCCGCCCCGTGCCGCCCGCCTGCCTGGGAAGCGGGGCCGCCCGGGCCCGGCCGTGGATCTTTCTTACAGGAAGGCCGCGAACAGCGCGAGCCGCACGCCCACTTCGGCCCCAAAGGCCACCGCCGCCGCCGCCTTCCCCATCCGGCCGCGAGCTCCGAGCGACGCTGCGCTGACGTGGCCACCTCCGCGGGGAGGGCCGGGCCGGGAACTGGGCACCGCCCCCTCTCCCAGTTGCCCGCGCTCCGGCGGCTCCCCAGGAAGACGGCCTGGCGGCTGTGCCGAGGGCATCGTCTGGCAAAGGGTACGCAAAGCCAGCGGAGCTGCCCTCTGGTGCGTTCAGCAGGGAGCCAGCGCCCCAGTTCCAGCCGAGTAGGTCGGCGTACGGTCCATCATCAGCAGCTCGTCTCCACGGCCCAACCACACCACCGCGGGGAGCAGCCTTCTCCCGGGACCTCGCCTCTAAATGGAAAACCAAACAGCCCGCTCTCAGATCCTCGTTCCTTAGCAACACAGCCGCATTCTGCAGGAAGCTACACTACCTGAGGTTGGCTGGATTGTGTCATTTAGTCCTCCCACCCAGGATGGCCTCCTGCCCAGAGTGTTGTAGCAAAAAATTATTGGCAAAGAACAAGCCCACATATTTAATTTGGAACATACAGGACAATTTATTGAAGTCAATCTCAAGCAAAATCTGAAATCAGTGGAATGTCATTAAAAACCTTTCCAAATTAATCCTCACGGAAGCAAAAAACACATTGGAATTCCAAAGTATTTGTAAAATAAAAAAGGCAACATCTCAGTAAATATAATGTACAAAAATTATATGTTCCTACCAGCACACACATCAGTAAAGAAGCTTAAATATTACAGGCAACCCTAAATACACTATAACTAGTCAACAATAAGCTATCTATATACAGGTTAACCAAGCTTTACACGTTTCACACTATGCAATAAAACATAGGCCAATCAACAAAATCCTCAAAATATTATATATCTTGAAGTCTATGTGGCAACATCAAGTCATTATACAGTAATGCCCTAGTGGAACACCCCCAGGGAAAATTAACACTAATCCCTTAGTGTCAAGAGCTTCTAGCCAAGTCACAGAAACTCAAAAGAGATTGACTTTAGTGAATATTGATGCTTTGTTATTAAAGACTCAAGTCTCAAGTGATTTAGGCAAAGTAATGGTTCACAGGATCTACAAAGTTTATTACAGATAAAGTACAGAAATAACCAATCTACAAAGATCATTATCATAAAGAACACGAGAAAATGAAAACGGAGTCTGTAGGTATCTGTGTTTGTTGTGCAATATCACTCAAATGGGTACAAATGAGTTTCTCATATCAATTCCAAATATACACATACCCTTGTATATAAAAAATGATATTAGCCAGTTGTAATACTCATTTAGCATCTTGATTATTAGTGGCAATATAATTATCTTAACATAGGGCATGTAACAGGACAAATGAGATAAAATAATGACAACCAAGTAAGTTTTATCCAGTCCATTTCTAAACTGACAAGAATACCTTATTCAATACCTTATATAGGTCATCTGACAGATACTTGAGGGCTGTTTGCACACATCAAGTGTGTTGGCAGGCAGGGAGGGGAGCAGTAAAAGCTGAGGGTGCTTTCTCACTAACTAGCAGATGCAGTAATGCCACATAAGAAAACTAAGGACTGAATAAATGACTTTGGCATCTATTCTATTTTCCCTTTTTACTTACATGTAAATTACTTTTACAGCCTACTGAAGGACAGGCAATTCTCATCCCCCTCCCGCTTCATACATACGTGCCACAAGCACCCAAACTTGTCACTTATGCAATGGACTGACCAAAACAAAACAAAAAACAGAAATGTTTTTTGAAAGACACGGATTACCCACATTTTGGGAGTGTAACGTAAGTGCAATTTTTTGTTTTGTTTTTTTCCCTACATAGACATAGTAAAAGGAAAGAAGATGTGCTTGGGGAGAGGGTTGACAAAATGACAAAATAAAGAATGTACATAAAAAGTATTTGTAAAAATGCTGGTATCTCATGCAGGAGTCTCTTCCTCAAATGTGTTCAATCAATCTGAGCTATCTACTGTGAACACTCTCCCATTTGCAGAACTTCACCTTTAATCCACGCTAAAGAGGATAAGAGACTAGGCTATTTATTTTCAAAACAGTTTACAAAACAATGCTTTCTACTTCATAAATGTAAAAAGAAACTAAAATAAGGAGAATCTGAAGAGTTTCAAGTACTTAAAAAACCTGAATTCAATGAGGCAGAGGTCTCAATGTTAAAGTGACTATTTCGTACCTGTGGTAAACATTATCCCCCCCCTTACCCTTTACCAGGAGAAAGGGGGTTCCCTTTCTCCTGGTACCCCACCCCAGGTAAAAGTTGGTGAGATTTCAGTATATACACATTTCCAACTTTTCAGTATTTGTTAATTCATTGCAAAGCTGTCTAATTATAGTATTCCCTAGTCCATCTGAAAATGGAAGCAAGTTCTACTTTTTGTTTTACAAATAACCAGAGACCAATTCTAGGTGGCCCTAGGCCAAAGGAAAGTGTTTCCATTCATCAATTCATGTCTGCACCAACTTGGACAACTGGGGGAGGCTGGATGCATCAGCCTTGTGAAAAGTAACTTTAGTCTACGCTGCCCAGAAATAAAGCAACTTTCCAATGTCCTTTTTCTCATATGGAAGTATAGAATGTCAGCTTCCCAGCTGTGAGGGCTCCATAGCCACTGTTTTCTTATCTTGTTAAGAGGACATGGCATGTGGCAGCCAACACCTTGACTTCAAGGTGAATGCTAAAGGAAGAGCTTTGTATTTAAAATGAAATGAAAGACAAGCAACAAGTCCTGGGCAGTCCAGAGATTGTATTCTCTACAGATGGCCTGTTTGCAAACAGTAGGTCTGGGTTTGACCTATTGGAATACACCATGCAAGAAACTACTCAAAAAGGAAATTCCACTTCATGAACCAGGAAAGTTGTCCAATAGCCTGTCCCATCTGAGGGTCCTTTACATGATTAGATACTCAATATCTCAGTTCCACAACGTTATTTACAGACATGTTTTCAAATATTTTGTGTAAATGGCAGAAGGGAGCTGGGAGCAGTCCCCCTGCCTCCATTACTTTTTTAGCTTTCACATATGTTCTTGACTTGTACAGAAAATCCCAAATTTTAAATGATTCCCCAACTCAGCCAGTTCTATAGATGAGGCCAGATCATTTTTGAGAATTAAGATAAGAGTGGGAACTTGTTAAAACAAAAATGAAAATAAAACCCACCTCACTCCTGTATCTCTCCCTGATTAGACATTAAAGAGGTGAATCACTGCCTCTGGCTGCTTCAGCCTTCCAGGAATGAAGAGCCATCCACCTTGCCCTTCTCAGCCAGCCACAGGCAGCTCTTCTGATTCTTCCCTCGCAGCAGTGGCGGTCCAGCCCCTCCCTCCCCTGCACAGTGCCTGAGAAAGTTTCCCAGGATTTCATCTTTAGCTCTTACTGATCCAGTTTCTGAAGCTTTAGGCTGATTATCAAAAATCTTATGTTCACTTCTTCCTTCAACAAATTAACATGTGGTTAAAAAAAATACCACCATTAGCCCATGCTGCTTTAAGTTATTTCATTGTTGGACAAGAATAAAAACCAGCCACTTACACTCTGACCACATATAGATTTAAAAGTTAACAAATACCAACTTCAGACTATGAGTGAGCAATGTCTTTTGGAATATTTCATTGGTGTATCACAGGCACAGTGCATGTATACTCATGCACACATAAAGGACAATTTTCTCTTTCTGCATCTATAATCTGCAACTTAAAAATATATCAAATAGGTCAACATTGACGCTATGGAGGTGTGAGGAGAACTCCTTGGCACCAGCATGACTAAAACCGCTTTTTAGACCATTAAAGAACATTCATGGCCAAAGACTTCAGAACTATGGTTACCTTTTTTTTTTGAGATGGAGTCTCGCTCTGTCACCCAGGCTGGAGTGCAGTGATGTGATCTTGGCTCACTGCAACCTCTGCCTCCTGAGAAACTGGGACTACAGGTATGTGCCACCATGCCCGGCTCCTTTTTGTATTTTTAGCAGAGACAGGGTTTCACCATGTTGGTCAGGCTGGTCTCAAACTCCTGACCTCATGATCTGCCCACCTCGGCCTCCCAAAGTGCTGGGATTACAGGTGTGAGCCACTGCACCTGGCAGCTATTTTGTTTTCTACTCTGATTTCTGAAATGGTGAAACAATCCTATTAATCATAATTTTTTTTTAATTTCAGCAGAGCTCTGTTACAGATATGAAAACAAAATGTGACACAATGAAGAAGCTGCATAAAAATACTGAAACCTAAGGTATCTGTAGTATATAGGATGTACCCTGGCTTACCATAGAAAAGTCTTTAGATAGTAAATAGCACTAAGTCTAAAAGCAAGGAGATAAGATTTCATGTTGGATACTGTTTCAAGAACTGTATTTGGAATATTAAAGGAAATCCTTATGTTAGTAAGTTTAAAAAACCAAACATCATATACAAAATAAAATTTTAGTATGATAAAACCTAGCTTTTCTTATTTTTTAAAAGGACATCAAACTATATAATTGCTCAAGAGCAAAGTTTAGTGTTTTGGTGAGCTGTATTTCATGTTACTTGTAGCAATTATATTTGGTGACATGGATCGCATTTTCCATTTTGCTCTTTCTTTTGGGACCATATCTAATCAACAGAAGTACTGGAAGCCCAATGAGTCACCGCAGAATTAATTGCTGGAGTCAGGCAAATGGCAGTTTAGGAGCTTCAGTAAAAGAATTGTAGTGTTTTTTACAAGAGAAAATCCAGTATAATTGCACATTTACATACAAAAAAAAGAGGCACAAAACAGATTTTCACCCTCTTTCCATAGAAGAGCTCTAAATTGATAAGCAAATGGAACACTCAATACAGCTGAAGGAATGTGGTAGAGCATCTACCCTCCCTACCTTCATAAGGTTACTAGGTACTTGAGGGAAAATAAATGCTACCAGGTACCAGCAATTGTAAGCAGTCAAAATTCACAGAGAAAGTTAACATTCATTCAAGCTAACCCTAGACTTCTACTTAGTACAGTGTTACAACAATGTCTGACATTACTAATTATTTTCATACAAGGAATACTGGAATATACATATTCCTAAGCATTAAAAGCAAGTGAGTTTGGTGAGCAGACATCTTGGTATACTCGCATCTATAAGAGTCAAGCATCACCATCAACCATTTTTGCTAACACTGACTTTCTTGGGAGTTTTCTCCAAGTGCTTCCTAAGATGAAGTGTGTTTGTGTGGCTCTTATGCACCCTGTAAAAGTAGAAGTTCTTCCCCTTACTCAATGGGAGCAATCTTAAGTACTGGATAATAATAGAAATTCTTTACATGTAACCTGGGGATGCCCCTACTACTTTCACCCCCCAAATTAGGAACTCAACCAAAAAGATCTATTCAAATACAATTCAAACTCACTTGTGTGGTTTTACCAGGAAACATGACTGAATGGTCAGATGACAAAAGAAATGTTTGAGTAGGAGAGGAAAACAGAGACAAAAAATAAAATGCCTGTAATTCTCTCCAATTAAGACCAGGGTCTACAATAAAATTGGACAGAAAATGGTGCTTATATGATCCAAATTTTGGTTTATGCCTTCATCCCCCTTTAGCTGCCTTAATCAGTGTCAGGAAAATAGGAGTGACCATTCCAACTATGCTTCATATCCACAGAAACGCACTTCATCCAAAACCCAAACCATCCATGTCAATGGAAAACGTTTTAAAAATCAGTGAGCACATCCATTCCTTTTTTTCCTTCCACCAAGGAAACACACCATATACCCTTCTAGGTAAAGTTACCATAGTACAAAGCCCACCTTGTTTAAGACCACAGAGGTAAAATCCACCGAGGCATTGTTTTCAAGAGGCCAGATTTAATACTTCCATAGAGCCCTTCTCTAAGCCTATGAAAAGCATTTTGAAGGGAAAGAGAAGTGAGCCTACCTACTGCTCAGTAAAGAGGTATATAAAGCTTATCATACCCTTTCCTAGAGGGCTTTCTCAGATTCCTACTTAAAACACACACACACTTGATTAGACTATTGAACTACACTTCTTGAAATTCCTAAAAATGAAAATAAATAAAGGAATGATGGCTACTTTTGCTTTATACAACCAAGGAACACATCTTAGACTTTAAATTTATCTCATTAACAAAACTTACTTTTCTCTTTGTTCTTATTTTAACAGCAAAAACATTTCTTTTTCAAGCTGCAATGGCACTGAAGCACAATAAAAGGCAAGAAAAGACCAAGGGAATTTAACCCTCCACAAAAGAATCCCAAACCAACCAAATCAAACAAAAACCAGACACCACCAACTGCTTCTGCCTGCATGAACTGGTTTCCCATTTTTGCTTTAATAAGGCAGTTCCGATGGCAAAGGCTGTATGCACTGTAGCAGTCTCTTCTTTTTAAATGCATGATCTATTTGCTTTTTTCACTTAAATAGAAAGGAGGGGACACCACACATTTATTCTTTTACTTCTTCTCCATGATCTTGTGATTCCCATTTACATTTTATCTTGCTCCAGTATTCTGGTGACACAGGAGCCATGGGGTCATGTTCCGAGCAGCAGAGGCGGCCTTCCAGTGCAGAGGGAACCAGGGCCCCCTTTTCATGATCTTTACAAAATGAATGTGGACAGAATTCACAGAAGGAAACAGCTGCACTGCTGCACTCATCGCACTGATGCCACGGACACTCCCACTTTCCTAATTCGGGGAGATGGGGAGGAAGAAGGAGAAGTGCCCAAGTTAGTGCCTGTCTTGATTACCCATGAAAAACCCAGGTTCCTTCTTCTCTCATTGGAGATGGAATTCAATTGAATACAACTCCAAATTTCAACCAAACATAGATCTGGGTGTACAGTTTAGGATGGATGTGAGCTACTGGCCAAAACCCAACGCCACAGGTACCCACCTACGGGAACAGTATACAAGAAACCAATCCTTGAGGAACCACAAGGTATCCCAAATGTGTAAGGGGAAAGATTTTTGCCAGCGTAATTTTTCGCTATTGTTTGTTCTATTCAACATTTCCTATCCCATGGCATGGAATATATTGTGAGTTACACATAGTTGGCAAAGACACAAATTAGGGAAAGGGTCCTGAAGGTCCAGCTTACCATATGGTGGCTGAGTCAGGTTAAGGCATAGGAGGTGGTATGCTTTGGGACAGTCTTTTTTGTCACACATGACCAGCTCTCCACCATCTCCACATTGAAAACAGTAATCTTCATGCATCTGCTTTGGTTCTGTTTTGATCTTTCGTCTCTTCTGTTTTAACTTAGCATTTTTTGCCTTCTCTTCATTTGTTGACGCACATGCCGACTGGCAGGAAAGAAAGGATCATAGTTTCAAACATCACAGACAGTGCATGAAGCTGGACACAGGAAAACCCTGCAACCTTGCATTCATTTAAATTCATCTGTTGTACAATTACCTAAAAACATCAGGAGGCCTTATGCTGCAACAAATACTATAACAAAAATAAAGTTTTGTTTTCACTGACTTAAAAATTATTTTATTTTTGAGATGGAGTTCTCGCTCTGTTGTCCAGGCTGAAGTGCAGTGGTGCAATCTTGGCTCACTGCAGCCTCGACCTCCTGGGCTCAAGCAATCCTCTTGTCTCAGCCTCCCAAGTAGCTGGGACTACATGTGCATGTCATCATGCCTGGCTAATTTTTGTAATTTTTTTTGTAGAGACAGGGTCTTGCTACATTGCCCAGGCTGGTCTCAAACTTCTGGGCTCAAGTGATCCTCCGCCTCAGCCTTTCATTGACTTTTTTTGGAGACTGAGTCTCACTCTGTCACTAGGCTGGAGTGCAGTGGGGCGATCTCATCTCACTGCAACCTCCACCTCTTGGGTTCAAGCAATTCTCCTGCCTTAGCCTCCCGAGTAGCTGGGACTACAGGCACGTGCTGCCACACATGGCTAATGTTTTGTATTTTAGTAGAGACGGGGTTTCACTGTGTTGCCCAGGCTGGTCTTGAACTCCTGAGCTCAGGCAATCCGCCTGCCTTGGCCTCCCAAAGAGCTAGGATTACAGGCATGAGCCACTGCGCCTGGCCTTCACTGACTTTTGAATAGGGTGCTTTTTATTATTTTTATTTATTTAGTTTTTTGAGATGGAGTCTCGCTCTGTCGCCCATGTTGAAGTGCAATGGCGCGACCTTGGCTCACTGCAACCTCTGCCTCCCAGTTTCAAGCGATTCTTCTGCCTCAGCTTCCTGAGTAGCTGAGATTACAGGTGCGTGCCACCACGCCCAGCTAATTTTTGTATTTTTAGTAGAGATGGGGTTTCACCATGTTGGTCAGGCTGGTCTTAAAACTCCTGACCTTGTGATCCACCGGCCTCAGCCTCCCAAAGTGCTGGGATTACAGGCGTGAGCCACCACGCCCAGCCAGGTGCTTTTTATTTTTAATTGCAAGGGTAGTGGTAAATCCAAGCAACTTTTAGACAACCTGTTAATTTTTTTCATTGAGATATAATTCACATACCACATAATTCGCCATTTTAAAGTGTATAATTCAGTGGCCTTTAGTATTTTGTGGGTTTTTAAAAAGTTTTAAATTAGCTTTTTGCTAATTTCATATTCAATCTGAAATGAAATACATTCTCAGAACCTAACAGACCTTACTGAAACAAGCTTCCTTGGAAAGTCACAGTCTAAATGTTCGATAAGCCCAGCTGATGACCCACAAACTAATCCAGGTGCCCAATTGCCAGCAGGTTCCTGAGATGGTCACAAACACACAAACAGACTTCTTTTTTTTTTTTTTTTTGAGATAGAGTCTTGCACTGTCACCCAGGCTGGAGTGCAGTGGTGCGATCTTGGCTCACTGCAAGCTCCGCATCCCGGGTTCACGCCATTCTCCTGCCTCAGCCTCCCGAGTAGCTGGGACTACAGGCACCCATCACCATGCCCAGCTAATTTTTTGTATTTTTAGTAGAGATGGGGTTTCACCGTGTTAGCCAGGATGGTCTCGATCTCCTGACCTCGTGATCTGCCCGCCTTGGCCTCCCAAAGTGCTGGGATTACAGGCATGAGCCACCGCGCCCGGCCAAACAGACTTCTTAACAGCCCTACTCCTTATCGCCTGTTGACTGGGGGCGCTCCCCTGCAAGACTGACCTTTGGCCGCACTCCTAGAAAACCACTGCAGTTATCTGCTCCACAGTGGCACTCCGTTCTGCCGTTGCCCAGACAATCTAGGTTATAATTAAATGTTAACTCCATCCCTGAAACACAGGAGAAATAATTATTCAAACTCGAGTCATGGGGAAGAGAAAAGCTCTCACAGGCACACTCCCCTAATGAAAAAAAGAGACATCATTTTGGCATGAAGGCGTTTCCCTTGCCAGTGTTCTACCTCATTGATAACAGTGATGGTAAAAAAAGAAAAGGAGAAAAACATCCCCACCCAGGAACAATGACAGCAAAACTACACATCCTCAAAAGAAGTCATGTCCTTTTCACAGCAGTGGTTGAAACCAAAGTGATAGGGTCTAAGAATCTGCAATCTATGCTCAGGAGACTAGGTTCCAGTTCAGCCTTCTTTTCTATAGCTAACTCACACTAGTTTCTAAATGAACAATATGACCATGGAATTGTAACAATACTATTTCCAGTAATTACTGCCTTATATTATGATCAAATAAAGATCCAAAATGAAGGTTTACTGCATACACCAAAGATCCAGGGACTCAAACTAGGGCCTCCTAAGCTTTCTTCTAGCTGGGCTTAAACAATCCACAATGAGTTCTAGAAACACAGTTTAAATCTGTTTTAGCTATAACATTTCTCTTCTCACCAATTTTTCTACAAACTAAACAAAGGAGAAACCAAGTTTTATTGTTCAGATGCTGGATAGGTAAGGAAAAATGAAAACAGCTTTGGCTTCAGAGGCTTTTATGTCTAATTTGAAACAGAATGATCTTTCAAAGTGAAAACAACAACAAAAGATCCCAGCAACTAAGGAACCAGCTGCTGTTAACACAAGCTCATTACTGTTAATATGTTTTAAAAAGAAAACAACAGCTAAAACATCTGGTTACACTCTATGGACAGCAGCTAACTTGGAGAATTCGTTCAGCAGGACTGCGGACACAGAATCCTGTCAGACCCGCTCTTACATAAAAGTTCTCACTAAATTCCCTTTTGAGGTTATAGATTTTTACCTCTCACTGGCAGCTAACACTCAGTTCTAAATATAACTCTCCTTTTATTTGAATACGTTTTCTAAATATAACCTTCCTCTTATTTAAATAAGTTCTTGGGCATCAAGCCTTGAAGAACCATGTCCTAGCTCTATAGGATATTCTTTCTTCCTAGGGAGGAAAGCATGGGGAACGAGTCACTTTTTTACCTGCAGGAATATCACAGAGAGCAAATAGTCCCACTCGAACATCTCCATTCACTGTCCACTTTTGTGTTTCACAGTTGGGATTACAACTGTGGTTCATGAAGCGAGAATAATTTCCTTTTGGGCCGGCATCAATTATACGGTCCTTCAGAAAGAAAAGAAAAGTACCTTTTACATAAATTAAGTCTCTCCCAGAAACATCCAACTCAGTCAAGGATCACAGGCAGCAGCATTTTGCTACCAACTGGTGTTTGACAACTGACAGATCAGGAAATGTGAGGCTGCCTGGGTAATTTACTAAGTTCTCTCCTTTATTTGATGACCTTCAAGTCAAAGTAATTAGGATAAAGTGGGATTTAGTTGCTTTTTAAGTTTGCTTCTAGAAACAAATAGACCATGGAATAATGCTATTTAGAAGATTAGTGGGCCAGAGGTTTAGGAATGGTATTTTCTGATTAGAGATCTCAAAGTTCTGATAACTGCTCTGTTGTTTTGCTGTCAGCCTTCCTTTTCTGCTCCAAGCAGGAAGCAAAACTAGTATAGGAGGGGATACATGAGAGCTTAGGCCAGAAAGAAGAAAGAAAAATGAGAAACAAAACTTGGAGAGCTGTCTGATGGAAGGACTACTGTGTAGGATATATTCTCCAGTGCTTATCTGTTTGCTCTGTTTTTACTTAAAGTTCACAATACATTGAAAAGCTGAATATTCAGGTTTCCTGAATTTGAACTCTAATAATCTGGATAAGCTCCACAGAACTGAGCCTCTCAAGTGCTGTCACGGTGGCTGAAGGGGCCACTGGCAGGGAGGATAGGGTTGCAGGAGCCAGATCCCAGCAATCATAAAGAACGACATTTTAACTGATGTTTATGAAATATGTTTATGAAAGTTGTACAACTTTCAAACAATGACGTATCAGTTAAAATACTTTTAAGCTCCATTTCTTACTTTAATGATATTCTGAATCTCAGTTATAGAGATATGATAGCCTAGAACACAGGAAATATGGGTACTAGTCTTGGTTCTTAAAAGTGTAACAAAATAGTCAACAAATCACTTATCATGGCTGGACATCAGCTTCTTGTCCTCTGTAAATCAGAGAACTGACAAAAAAATTAACTGAGATAATGGATGTACTGTGTATCAAATAGGTCTTACAACTGCAGAGATTAAACTAGCAGCTTTACTGTCATTTTTCTTATGACAGCGCTCATTATTTTCTTTTTTTTTTTTTTTGAGACAGGGTCTTGTTCCATTGCCCAAGCAGGAATGCAGTGGTGTGATCACAGTTCACTACAGCCTTGACCTCCTGGGCTCAAGTGATCCTCCTGCCTCGGCCTCCTGAGGAGCTGGGACCACAGAAACGTGCCACCACACCTGGCTAACTTTATTTTTATTTTTTGTAGAGACAGGGTCTTCCTATGTTGCACAGGCTGGTCTCAAACTCCTGGGCTCATGTGATCTGCCCTCCTCAGCCTCCCAAAGTATTGGGATTACAGGTGTAAGCCACCATGCCCTGCCGAAAAGTTTTAATATACAGAACAATTTGGAGTTTTGGCTCCAGTAGAACTTTAATAACGGTGGTTTATAACTTAGAATCACAGAGTTGATTCTCTCCTTCAGTAATAAAGAAACTGAGGCCCAGGACTTTTTTGACAAAGAGCTCAGACTAAAATCCAGATATGCTAACCCTGCTCCTGGTTTTATTTTCACTCACAGTGCTGTCTTACATGACGTGCAAAGCTTCAGTATCATTCATTTTTTTACTCTGGTATAATTGGCACATTATAGTAGGCAGCACACTAGCTACTGCAAATCATTATGCTCTGCCTGAAGAAAAATCAAATTAAAAGAAACTGAGTTCAAATTAAGACTATGAAACAAAAACAAAAACAAATCCCTTTTTCTTACAAAAAAAAAAAGCAATTTTACCTTGGTAACAGTTAACATATAAAAATTAGTTACACTGTTCTCGTGGGCTCGCTTGATTCGCAATCTGCATTCTTCTTCATCAATTAATTCACCGACGTATTCATTTACAAATTCACCCTGGAGATAAATGTGCAATATGTAACTTAAAATCAGTGTATTATATAAAGCATTGCTTAATGACACATGTATAACCCAAAATAATTAAAGAGAACCCTGAAAATATAACTTCAACCCTAGAAAGAAATGGTTATTTATTCATAGGCATTCAGGTGGCATTATTTTTCTGGTATAAGTGCCTCAGAAGGTGACAATCTGCTTGCCTTTTCTTGCTGACAATACTATTTTTATAGTCCAAGTGACAACATGTGGGGCATTGCTGGGATCTGGGGATAAAGCTAACTCTAGCCTTTGAAGCTATATTATAACAGAATTTTACTAGTTGGTGGCTATGCAGGTTTCGGGGTGAGACCTGGAAGAGATCTGAATCTGAAACAAGTGAGCTCTGTTTTTGTTTTTAAGCTTCTTTTCAAGTAATTACTGACATTCAGAGGAAGTGGCAAAAATAGTACATGGGAAATCTTGGGAACATTCACTCAGTTTCCCCAGTGGTAACATCTGACATAACTACAGTACAATATCAAAACCAGAAAACCGACATTGGTATAATCCAGACTTTACTCAGATTTTACCAATTTTACATGCATACATTTGTGTGTGTATATAATTCTATGCAGTTTTAGCAGGCGTAGGATCATGTAATCACCACTGCAATCAAGACACAGAGCTGGTGCCTCACCACAGAGATTCCTTGTGATACTCACTCCTTTACAATCACACCCCTCCTCCACTCATCTCATCCTAACCCCTGGCAGTCACTCACCTGCTCTCCATCTCTAGAATTTTGTCATTTCAAGAATGTTTTGGCTGGTCGCCGTGGCTCACGCCTGTAATCCCAGCACTTTGGGAGGCCAAGGCGGGTGGATCACCAGAGGTCAGGCGTCCGAGACCAGCCTGGCCAACATGGTGAAACACTGTCTCTACTAAGAATACAAAAATTGGTCAGGCGTGGTGGCACATGCCTGTAATCCCAGCTACTCAGGAGGCTGAGGCTGGAGAATCGCCGAAACCCAGGAGGTAGAGGCTGCAGAGGGCCGAGATCGCGCCACTGCCCTCCAGCCTGGGTGACAGAGCAAGGCAAGACTCTGTCTCAAAAAACCAAAAAAACAAAAAAAGGAATGTTTTATAATGGAATGATATAGTACAGAACCTTTTGAGATTGGCTTTAAAGAAAAAAATCAGGCAGATTCTCTTGAGATCTACCCAAGGTGCTGAGTATATCAACAGGTTGTTCTTTTTAAATCTCTGAGTAGTGTTTCTGCCATTTGTTTAGCCATTCACCCATGGAAGAACATTTGGATTGTTTCCAGATTTTGGCTTTACAAATAAAGCTGCTATGAACATTCTGGTGAAAGTTTTCGTGTGGACATAGATTTTCATTTTCCTGGATAAATGGCCAGGAGTGTGTCTGCTGCACCATATGGTGAGTGTATGTTTCCTTATTAAGGAAACTGCCAAACTATTGTCCAGAGTTGCTATACCATCGTTATGTTCCCACCAGCAGTTCATGAGATCCACTTTCTCCACGTCCTGTCTGCATCTGGTATTGCCACTATTTATTATTTAAGCTGTTCTAAAAGGCATACAGTGATAAGCTCCTTTTAAAATAAGAGCAAATATTGTACATTCAACATTTTGTGTTTATAATTACATAATCATTAACCTTTTCACCTCAAAAGCACTGCTCATTCAATCTAGGTCAATATTCTCTATAAGGACTTACCAATCTTACTAATATATTTTAGAGGAAAATAAATGTCTTGAAAAACAAAAAGGTATTGGCTTATTTTATCAGATTTCTGTCCCATTCTCCCCATTCTCCCTCCCACCCCCCACCCCACAAATTTCCACTAGCCCTTCTCATAGCTCTTAGTATCACAGAACTGTTGGTAGTCCCTAGCTGAAGAGAAAGAAGTACTGCATCACGTTTTCTGATTGTGGAAAATCATTAGGAACATAAGCCAATGGTCTTTAAAACATTTAATCTTTTCTATTGATAAAAATAGATTATAATAAGGGAAAAGAAATGAATGGTTAAACTAGAAGGGCCCTAACCTCCCTGCCTCTTCCTTTGGTGGCATGTGGCGAGTGAGCTCAGCGAGAAGCACCGGTCTGCTTCACGGAGCTACATATGCTTCAGCTGCGGAGCAGTCACTACCAAAGGTGACCACTGGCTTTTTCTCTCTCTTGTTTTTATCTACTGTATAAGCTATGATATGGAATTCAGTTAGAAAAACAGGCCAGGTGTGGTGGCTCATGCTGTAATCCTAGCACTTTGGGAGGCTGAGGCAGGAGGACTGCTTGAGCCAGGAGTTTGAGATCAGCCTGGGCAACACAGTGAAACCTCATCTCTACAAAAAATAAAAAGCATCAGCCAGGTGTGGTGGTGCATGGCTGTGGTCCCCACTACTCAGGATGCTGAGGCAGGAGGATCACTTGAGCCCGAGAGTTCAAGGCTGCAGCGAGCTGTGACTGTACCACTGCACTCCAACCTGGGTGACAGGGCAAGACTGTTTCAAGGAAAAAAAAACAAACCAAAATTCATCTGTAACTGCAGCACCATAAACAGTTAATTTCCTTCACTTTTTCCTTCCAGTCCTTTCTCACAAAGGACATGGGACTGTTCTGCACATTTTTCTATTATATACACTGTCAGCCTCAAATAGCTTTTCCTGTATCCAGTTTGGACTTTGTTATCAGCTGATGAACAACATTTTGCACTGTGATATGATATCAAAGGGTAGCAGATTGTATTGCCATCTTGGCTGCATTGCCACATACTGTTACTATACTTAATGATGTTAGGGCAAATTTTCTGTTTTGAGACGGAGTTTCACTCTTGTTGCCCAGGCTGGAGTGCAATGGCGTGATCTTGGCCCACTGCAACCTCCGCCTCCTGGATTCAAGCGATTCTCCTGCCTCAGCCTCCCAAGTAGTGGGATTACAGGTGTGCATCACCACACCCAGCTAATTTTATATTTTTAGTAGAGATGGGGTTTCACTATGTTGGTCAGGCTGGTCTCGAACTCGTAATCTCAAATGATCCACCTGCCTCAACCTCCGAAAGTGCTAGGATTACAGGTGTGAGCCACTGTGCCCGGCCTAGGGCAAATTTTCTTTAGTGGAAACTCATAGAGGAGAATTTCAACCAAATCAGCTCTACTACTTCTTTTTTCACACATTGGGATTCAAGGTAAGATTTCATTTGAAGAAATAGTTTTGTGACTTTAAAAGCTTGATCATGATTTATTATGGTTTATACTTGTTAGTCTATGAAAATGAGTAAATACAGAAAAATTAAGTGCTGATATCAAATATGAGAGCAAGTCTCATAAACTTGATACCACTGTAAATAAAGATGGAAATATTTCAGATGTCCTGAGACAGATCTTTAGCCTCAAAGAGATGCTGACTAGACTTAAAAACCATTAACTATGAATTCAACTGTGAAAAAAAATTGTAACAAATTCATTAACTTAAAAAATGCTACAGATCTGTCCTGAAAGACCGCAGCAAAGAGGCTGTCAGTCAATATTTAATACCTTAAAATAGACCACAGCAAAAAGGCTGTCACTCAATATTTAATACCTTAAAATAGACCACAGCAAAAAGGCTGTCACTCAATATTTAATATCTTAAAATAGACCACAGCAAAGAGGCTGTCATTCAATATTTAATACCTTAAAATTTTTTCTGAGAAAGAAACAACTTCATAACAAGAAGTTCCCAGTTTGGCACACATTTTCAGGAATCTGTTCTGTGGAGAAAGAAGGGGACTGACTGTGTACATTCCATTTCATATTGGACTTCTTTCCTGTAAATACCCCGAATATCTTTTTCATGTTGCTATAATGTCTCTGTGATTATTACACTTTTCAGTGATTGTATATTTCTAGCTATTTTGTAAAAGACCAATTGTCTTACATCAGCAAACCCTCAAGTGCTAGCTAAAGAGCAGGAAAATCAAGACTGTTTAATAAGTTATCTTACAACACATTTCAGAATAAGTGCAACTACTATTAAAAGGTGTTAACACAATATTAAAGTGGATGGATTTCAGGATGGCCCCATAAACTCCAGTGAAATCATAGGCAAAAATTTGTATATATGATATGCATGGCACTAAAGTAATATAAAACATTTTGCATTATACAATGACATTTTAGATGTGGTTGGCCTTTGACCAAGCAGCCCAGTCCACATATCCAATACATCAGCAAATCCTGTTGGCTCTACCTTCAAAATGTCAGAAATCTAACCACTTCCCTCCTGGCTCAACTACAACCCCAGTGATTCCACGTCACCATTGTCTTTCTCCTGGGCGACTCTAATGGTCTCCCTTTATCGCTCTTTCCTCCTTATCATATGTTCTCCATACCACAGCCACAGTTATCCTTTCGAAACCCAAGTGTGGCAGACAGACTCTCAAGGTGGCCCCGGTGATGCCTGCCTGCTGGTGTTCATGCCATTTTGTCGCCTCCTCCCCTTGTTGCATGTGAGCAGGACCTGTGATTAGCTTCTAACCAACAGAATATGGCATGGGTGACGGGGTGATTATGTGAGTTTATGACATAAGACTTCAGTGTCCATCTTCCTGTAGTGTCTCTCACCCCTGCTGGCTGTAAGGAAGCAAGTGGCATGCTGGGAATCCCATGTGGCAAGGAACTGTGGGCAGCCTCTAGAAGCTGAAAGCAGCTCCTGGCCAACCACATAACAAACAAACACACACACACACACCCCAAAACAAAAACAACTGGAGTCTCTCAGCCCTATAGCTAGAGAACGGAGTTCTGCCAACAACTGTGCAAGCAGGGAAGCAGATCCTTCCCTAGTCAAGCCACAGAGGAGAACCCAGCCCCAGTCGGCACCTTGATTGCTACCTGGTGAGGTCCTCAGTAGAGGACCCAGTTAAGGATTGCCTAGACTCCTGACCCATATTAACTGTGAGATAATAAAATGTGTGTTATGTCTTAATTTGCTAACTTTGTGGTAACATTTGTGTGTGGCAATAGAAAACTAATACACCAAATCAGATCAAGTCACTCCCTAGTAAAATCCTCCAGATGTTCCCCATCCCATGGCAGATATGGCCAGTAAGGCACCATCCTATCTAGCCAGTGGCTGACCTTCTCACCGCAGCTCCTCTCTTTCCTCTCCTGTGGCTCCTCCCCAGGCACAGAACTTCCCTGCTGTTCCTGGAGCACACTGCAGCCTTTACAGCTGCCTGCCTCCAGTCTGACGTGCTCTTCTCCTGCACACACCTTCATGGCTTTCTACCACACACACGGCAAACAGCGCCTCCTCAGGTCTCCCTGAGCCAATCACTTGAAAAGGGCAATCCCTGTCACCAGCTAGCCCCTTTTCCAGCTTTATTTTTATTCACAGCAGTTAATGGCACTCGACATGTTTACTATCTGTCTCCTCAAGCAGATCCACTAAGGTAAGGGTTTCATGTGTCTTGTTCACTATTGTTTTCCAAGTGCCAAGAATAATACCTGCCACATAGGAAGCAGCTTAATACACATGTACCGAATAACTGAATTTCACTTCGAGCAATCTGACCTACAGAAATAGATGCACAAAGGTGGATGACCAAGAACATTCATTATGGAATTTAAAAATATTTATGTATCTATTTATTTATTGGGAATAGGTTAAATTATTTATTTATTGGGGAAATAGGTTATTTATTTACTTATTGGGAAATAGGTTAAATATGGTACATTTTACTATGACTAAAATAAGACTGTTAAAAAGAATGAAGTAAAATCTATATGTACTGCCACAAATGTATTTATGCTATCGTGTGTGAATGGGAAGAAAACGTCTGATACTTATGTTTAGAAAACCCTTAAAAAATGTATTATTATATATGTTTATAACTATATAGAAAACGTTATAAAAGGCTACCTATCAAACTATGAACAATGGTTATCTCTGATGAGGAGATGAAGAATTGAAGGGATGTAGGAAGAATTTCACTCTGCTATCTTTTTTGTATTGTATTGTATTGATTGTATTCTATGACTTTTCTTTACTACATTAGATGGCATTTTAAAATTACAAACCTGATTTTTTTTTTTTTTTGAGATGGAGTCTCGCTCTGTCACCCAGGCTAGAGTGCGGTGGCACGATCTCAACTCACTGCAACCTCCACCTCCAGGGTTCAAGTGATTCTCCTGCCTCAGCCTCCCGAGTAGCTGGGACTACAGGTGCCCGCTACCACGCCCGGCTAATTTTTTGTATTTTTAGTAGAGACGGGGTTTCACCATGTTAGCCAGGATGGTCTCAATCTCCTGACCTCGGCTGTGACCACTGTGCCCGGCTGATTTTTTTTAAAAGGTAGAAAAATGTCAAGAGTAATTTTAGGTTGGACACAGTGGCTCATGCTTATAATCCCAGCACTGTGGGAGGCCAAGGCAGGAGAATTGCTTGAGTCCAGGAGTTTGAGACCAGCCTGGGCAATGTAGTGAGACCCTATCCAGCTACTCGGGAGGCTGAAGTGGGAGGATCTCTTGAGCCCAGGAGTTCAAGGCTTGAGTGAGCTATGAACACGCCACTGTA
Source organism: Homo sapiens (assembly GCF_000001405.40). Lineage (NCBI taxonomy): Eukaryota > Metazoa > Chordata > Mammalia > Primates > Hominidae > Homo > Homo sapiens. Next base: position 38,288,148 of record NC_000008.11, read on the forward strand.
TTCCAGCATGGGTAACAGAATGGGGACCCTGTCTTTAAAAGAAAATAAAAATAAAACAATAAAAAAAACAAGTAAAAACCATTTCACATAGAAATTACCAGTGTCCCCTCTCTCCTTTTTATGACTAGCCACTGGACACTCAAAGTTTAAGCACATTTTATCACTATCTTCTTCCTACTACTCTTCTTTGCTCAAGAAGTACCAAACTCTCAACATGGAAAGTTTTAACATTTTACCACAAATTCCTGCTGATTTTATCCCTAGAACTATACCCTACTGAAGCATTCCTGAAAAGCCAGGTTCTGGTCTCTTCCACCCCCCACCACCATCCCATGCTACCTTCTTAATGCTCCTTTTGGTCCTGAGGCCCCAGCCTCTCCGCTCCGTTTTGATGATCTCTGCATCAGGGTATAGTCTCTTTGTAAAGCACTGGTTCTGACAACGATCTCCAGCTGGGCACACCTGCGGGTGGCATTCATACTGCAACATTCTGTTCAGGCACTCCGATTCCAAGCCACAAGGGTTTTCATCAGCTGGCTTGCAGTTACAGCGGGGAATCTCTGACAGGTCAGCAACCTGGATCTGCACCTTTCCTATTACTTTGTTAGCCTAGAAAACAAAATCGCAAGCGAGAGAGAGGCAGCAGGTAAGTCATCTGGCAATGTGAACAGGAACATCTAAAACATCCACGCTACTGCCTCGTGGTGCTACTCCGAGAAAGGTTGTCTTTCCTGATGAATAAGCTGAGATTAATAACCATCTCTTTTGTCATTTAGTTGACAAAAATATCAAAGCCTCATGTGAATTTTCACTTATTTATCCTGGGTATTTCTACTTTCACTAGATGGAAATTTCATAACTGAAAACAAGAGAAAATACGCTTGTTTGTGGGTTCTCTGAAATAAAGGGAGTAAACACCTATATTCTCATTTGGTGGCGGGATAACCTGGTAGAACAAGAACAGGATTTCACATAAGACATGTTGCTACTAGGTATGAGAGGACTTATCAAAGACCTAATTTTCACAGCACAATAACTATGGCTCCCATTTGATGCTTCCAACAGAAGCTCTGTTTTACAGAAGACTGTGATAATTAGCAAAAGTTTGCACAAGTCAAAGAGGGTCTTTAACTACTAAAGAGTAATGCATTTCGTCTCATCTATTAAATAACAATGCTTTCATAGTAAAGACTTACTTTGTTTCTTATTTTATTTGGCAATCCCAGGCCAGAGATAAAGACTTACTTTGATGTGTTTGTAGGGAGGGGGTTTTCTTGAGTTTTTTTCAATCTCTAGGGCTTCTTTACTTTCTCTTTGTGCTTTCAATTCCTGGAAACGTTTTGCAGCTTCTTCCAGTGCTGCCAATAAGATGATACAAAGTATGTAAATACCAAAAACCAAAGGAAAATTGATGGGATAGTAGTTTTACGCTGCCTTCCCAATGCTTTGCATCTGGCCTGAGATTTTTCTTTTTAGAATTATTTTCTGGAAGTTACTGTTTACCACCAGGATGGGGTAACAAAGAAATAGGATATAACTCACTGAACACTATGCTCTGTGCATGCTGTAGCCACAGGGAAGAGGCTCTACTTCAATGATCAGAAGTCTCCAAGTGACCCTAAGAGCAGCTTTTTGCCTTGTAATAGATTTAAATTCATTTTACCCTTACCAGAAAGCCAAACTTGCTGGCAACTCATTGCAAAAGCAGTTGTAAGGCTTTTCATGGCAAGTCTTTACTACTCTTCTGTTGCAAAGGAACTTCACTTGATTAAAAAGACTATTCTCAGGCTGGGCTTGGTGGCTCAGAGCTATAATCCCAACACTTTGGAAGGCTGAGGTGGGCAGATCGCTTGAACCCAGGAGTTCAAGACCAGCCTGGGCAACATGGTGAAACCCTATCTCTATAAAAAGTACAAAAATTAGCTGGGCATGATAGTGGGCACCTGTAGCCCCAGCTACTCGGGAGGCTGAGGCAAGAGGATCACTTGAGCCCTGGAGTTCAAGGCTGCAGTGAGCTGTGATCATGCCACTGCATTCTAGCCTGGGCAAGAGTGAGACCCTGTCTAAAAAAAAAAAAAAGACTATTCCTAGAATAATCTGTGTTTATAGAAAGACACTGAAGAAATTCCTTTCAAATACACAGCACAGTCTACAATATTGAAATGTATTTTAAACCTGGTTCTAATGTGACTGGAAGCTTATGGACACAGGATCATAATGTCTAGTGAAAATTCTCTAATACCAGAAATATTAGGGAGGTGAGGAGATGTTGAGAAACTGACACCGGAGTTGTAGTTTTGAGTCACTGTAAACATCATCCAGCTTACCCTTTTTGAAGGTCTTGTTAATACTAGTCTGCCCTTCAGCAAAGCTTTTGTCTCCTTCAACATAAGGGAACACTCTGCCCTGGTGTACCCAGTAGTAGTCATGAGAACCAAAGAAGAATACAGGGAAGTCCCCCAAGTCATGTTTAAGGCCCTGGATGTTCAGTGGCACAGACCTGGGGTTGCAGATCTCTGCTGGCCACCATCTGAAAACAAAAGCAATTTTAGATCAAGAGGGCAAAAACGAAACAAAAAACCACTATTTACAAGATTGGCAGAAGGGAAAAAAGTTTTTGTATTTTGCAATTTTCATTCAGATTCTAAGAACATAAAATACCACACATCATTATAAAAAGTAATTAATGAAATAGTGAACACAGACTAAACAAATTAGGCCCTAAACACCTGATCTACTTTCTTTTAAAAAATATTTCATATTTATAAAATATATATCATGAAAATGTTCTAAAATGTAATAATACTGAACCTACTACCCAATGATATTCCAAACCTAATTTCAATCCTAGAAAAGTCATGTTTCCCCCCAAACTTAATACTGAGATTATCTTTCAAGGTATAACAGTTTATTTCTAGTAGTCAATGGAATCATTTTGAGAATAAACTGATGCTATCATAAAGAATGGCCACTCCCATTCAAATCAGCATTTAGTCTCGAGTCAACCTGGGCAAACACCTCTTGGTCAAATGTACTAGGTTTTATATCACTTTGTATTTCAGAATCTAATTCATCTTAGATCATAATTAAACATGGAATAGTGGACAGAATGAAAATATAACTGTTTCAGGCTATGATAATTGAATACTACAGCAGTCACTAAATGAAACCATCTGTGAGGAAATCTGACAGTTTCTAGCAAGCAGACAAGTTAAGAATTGAATGATGAAGCTAACAGTCAGAAAATGAGGCCAACCTCATGGGCTTTTGTAGTAAATATACATAGACTTAAATTTTTTGAATCTCTTATTTTACATATGCTTAATAAAACAATTTTTAACACATAACTGTATTATTGAGAAGATAAATGATGACATGATTGCACTCCCAGATTTATATTGCAGAACTTGATAAAGTGTCACCTGAAAGGTACTCTGCTGTTCATCTAAGAATTGAAAACATGGGTAAGAATCCATGCGCAAATTGTAAACAAAACAAAAACCAATATTTTCTGTGATTGATACTTGGTTCGTTCTCAAAGCAGGCTCTATTTATTTCTAAACAACTTTAAGGTAATTAAATATGTATACAGTTACTGCCTTCACTAACGTCAGTTAGGAAGAGTCACATGTTCTGCCTGGGTTTGTTCCAGGTCCTCATATTTTCCCCCAAGAAGCAACACATTGGAATAACTAGTTATTGAAAATAAACAGCTTCATGCAGCCCCACTGGGCCTGACTGGAAAGAAATACATTAAGAATTAGTTCACGGATGGAAGTCTTTCCAAAACATACAAGAAGAATCTGACCTAGATATAAGATCTCACTGGACTGTGAATTTAATTGGAGCACTGTTTTGGGTTTCTTTAAAATGTAATATAATTAAAATTTAAGTGTTAAAATAAATCAAAGACATTTTTATATCCATAACTTTAAAAAAATTGAAGTTTATTTGAAGATCTGAAGGCTTCTTACATTGTTTTAGATATTTCTTATCTAGAAATGTCTTAAATGTATTAATTTTCAAACTGTGCACCCTTCTCCATGCCAGAAAGATACATATTTTTCAATTATGAAAGCAGTATGCACTTCTTCTAAAAATTAAAACAATGCAGAAATGTATAGTAGAAAAGTGAAAATGCCTCTTCTTGTAATCTCATCCTTGACACTATTAACATTAGATGTATTTCTTCCCAGGTATTAAAAACATACTGTATTGGCCAGGTGTGGTGGCTCAGGCCTGTAATCCCAGCACTTGGGGAGGTTGTGGCGGGCAGATCACTTGAAGTCAGGAGTTCAAGACCAGCCTGGCCAACATGGTGAAACCCCGTCTCTAATAAAAATACAAAGATTAGGCCAGGCACGGTGTCTCACGCCTGTAATCCCAGCACTTTGGGAGGCCAAGGCGGGTGTATCACGAGGTCAGGAGATCGAGACCATCCTGGCCAACATGGTGAAACCCCATCTCTACTAAAAAAAAAAAATACAAAAAATTAGCCAGGTGTGGTGTCGGGTGCCTGGAGTCTCAGCTACTTGGGAGGCTGCGGCAGGAGAATGGCGTGAACCCGGGAGGCAGAGCTTGCAGTGAGCCAAGATCGTGCCACTGTACTCCAGCCTGGGCAACAGTGTGAGACTCTGTCTCAAAAAAACAAACAAACAAACAAAAAAAACAAAGATTAGCCAGGCATCATGGCATGCATCTGTAATCCCAGCTACTTGGGAGGCTGAGGCAGGAGAATCACTTGAACCCGGGAGGCGGAGGTTGCAGTGAGCCAAGATCGCGCCACTGCACTCCAGCCTGGGCGACAGAGCGAGACTCTGTCTCAAAAAAAAATACAAACATTAGCCAGGCGTCATGGCATGCATCTGTAATCCCAGCTACTTGGGAGGCTGAGGCAACAGAATCGCTTGAACCCAGGAGGCAGAGGTTGCAGTGAGCCGAGATCGTGCCACTGCACTCCAGCCTGGGACAGAGCAAGACTTTGTCTCAAAAAAAAAAAAAAAAAGAAAAAGAAAAAGAAGTGGGGGGAGGTTTGATTTCAATACCCCAGATCTCAGCTAAAAATGAAGTTCTAAAATTTAAATGGGTAAACATGTCTAACATATGTAAAAGAGAGAGAACAGGCTGGGTGCAGTGGCTCATGCCTGTAATCCCAGCACTTTGGGAGGCTGAGGCCGGTGGATCAGGAAGTCAAGAGATTGAGACCATCCGGGCCAACATGGTGAAACCCCGTCTCTACTAAAAATACAAAAATTAGCCAGGCGTGGTGGAGCGTGCCTGTAGTCCCAGCTACTCGGGGGGCTGAGGCAGGACAATTGCTTGAATCCAGCAGGCAGAGGCTGCAGTGGGCCAAGATCACACCACTGCACTCCAGCCTGGCAACAGAGCGAGACCCTGTCTCAAAAAAAAAATTAAAAAGAGAGAGGGAGAACAAACATAGCTCTTGCTAAAAAAATTACAGTATATTTAAAATTTTCTAGAAATATATTTTAGAGCCGGGCACAGTGGCTCACATCTGTAATCCCAGCACTTTGGGAGGCCGAGGCGGGCGGATCAGCTGAGGTCAGGAGTTCGAGACCAGCCTGGCCAACACAGTGAAACCCCGTCTGTACTAAAATTACAAAAATTAGCCAGGCGTGGTGTCAGGTGCCTGTAATCCCAGCTACTTGGGAGGCTGAAGCAGGAGAATCGCTTGAACCTGGGAGGTGGGGGTTACAGTGAGCAGAGATCATATCACTACATCCCAGCCTGGGTGACAGAGTGAGACTCCGTCTCAAAAAAAAAAAAAAAAAAAAAAAAAAAAAAAAGAGAAATATATTTTACCTAGGATTCTAACTGAAAAGCAGAACTCTATTGTGCTATCTTGAATAGTATCTATTTTCTTTGTAAAATGATAAATATATGCCTCAAAATGTAGAGTTTTTTAGTTTAATTGTGTTTTTTTGTTGTTGTTTTTTTCTGAGACAGGGTCTTGCCCTGTTGCCCAGCCTGGAGTGCAGTGGCACAATCATGGCTCACTGTAGCCTTAACCTCCTGGGCTCCAGCAATCCTCCAGACTTAGTTTCCCGAGTAGCTATGATGCTACCACACATGGCACGCCACTATGCCCAGCTAATTTGTATATATTTTGTAGAGACAGAGTTTTGTCACGTTGCCCATGCTGGTCTTGAACTCCTCAGCTCAAGCAATCCACCTGCCCCAGCCTCCTACAGTGCTAGGATTACAGGCATGAACCACTGTACCTGGCCAAGTTTTAAAACTGTATCACTATACCTGTTCAGCAAAGGCTCGTTGAAGCCTTAAAGGAGAAAGTACTATTAAAATAATGGTACTCACATACTTCCTGCTTCATTCCCTTAAGACTAAAGCCTCTTAATGGAATAATCTCTCCTTAAATTCTAAAAAGTTTTCTCTTTACACATGGTTTAGGGCTAAAATGGACGAGATTCAGGGGCAAAGAGCTATTTTGACCAGAATATAAACTTGATTTTATTAGAAATCAGAAATCAACATATATCTAATTAAGACACAAAGAAAATATCATCTCTGGCCAAGTGTGGTGGCTCATTCCTATAATTCTAGCACTTTGGGAGGCTGAGGCAGGAGGATCGCTTGAGCCCAGGAGTTCGAGACCAGCCTGGGCAATATAATGAGTCCCCATCTCACTATATTTATTCAATTTAAATTAAAAAAAAATTTTTAAAGTTTTTTTTTGGCCGGGCGTGGTGGCTCACACCTGCAATCCCAGCACTTTGGGAAGCCAAGGCAGGCGGATCACAAGGTCAGGAGATCGAGACCATCCTGCCTAACACAGTGAAACCCCATCTCTACTAAAAATACAAAAAAATTAGACGGGCATGGTAGCGGGCGCCTGTAGTCCCAGCTACTCGGGAGGCTGAGGCAGGAGAATGGCATGAACCCGGGAGCCGGAGCTTGCAGTGAGCCAAGATCGCGCAACTGCACTCCAGCCTGGACGACAAAGCAACACTCCGTCTCAAAAAAAAAAAAAAAAAAAAGTTTTTTTTGGAAAAAAAAAATCATCTCCACTGTCCATATAAGACCTTTTATTCCAAAATCTAGTAGTACATAGCCCATTAGTATAAAACAACTTTCAGGACTTAAAAACAAAAGTTGGTGGGCATGGTGGCTCATGCTTATAATCCCAGCACTTTGGGAGGCTGAGGTGGGCAGATTGCTTGACTCATGAGTTTGAGACCAGCGTGGGCAACATGGCGAAACATTGTCTCTACTAAAAATACAAAAAACTAGCCAGGGGTGGTGGTGTGAACCTGTAATCCCAGCTACTTTGGGGGCTGAGGTGGGAGGATGGCTTCAGCCAGCAGGTGGAGGGTGCAGTGAGCTGCGATACCACTGCACTCCAGCCTTGGTGATAGAGCCAAACCGCCTCACAAACAATCAACCAACCAATCCCAAAGAAAAAGAAAAAGAAATTCAATAATGAATTAGGAACATAACCTTCCCAACCCCTTAAGAACCCAGCCTCAAAACATGGTTCTTTTCTTTTTTTTTTTTAAGGAAGTAGGTCCATGCTGTCTACCTATCTATCTCCAAGTCACTCTGTATCCAGAGTATGAAACTGGTCTGCACAATGATTGAATACTTCCTCTTTGTTCTTGGAAAAACTTGCCTGTAATTTCCCAATTTGACCCAAACAATCTGCTTGTAATGTAGTTTCTTGCCAGCTTTACAGTCATTACAATTCCAGCAGCCTTCTGGCATTTCTATGCTTAGGCATTCCGGGTGGAAGGAAGCTGGGCACGATTCACAGCAGAGCAATCTTCCACCTTGAAACAAATAAACAGTCTTAATAACTGAGAAAAGAGGAGAGAGAAAAAGAAAGAAAAAGGAGAAAGTTATCTTTTCAGCACATTAAATTTGTTTCAAATTGGGGGAAAATAACAAAGGGACTGAGTCATATCTACAGTGATGGATTAAAATAGCAAGTGAACGTATTTAGCTACTTTTCAGGGTTTCAGTGGCCAGAAACTCAGAGCTTCTGAGTAGTACCAAAAGCATCCATGTACTCTTTACTCCTTTAAACTATGGGCTACTGAGGTATCAGTTTAGAAGCTAAACTCTTAACATATGACCAAATTGAAGCATAAAATCTTTTGACTGAGTAGATTTGAGAGGTTTTTCAAACATGTAAGTAGCAACTTTCTTTTCTCCTTCAGAGGTAAGAAAGAAAGCAAGTCATCGTTGTATTTTAATCCAGTGCCATGGTTAACTAAATTCCTTTACAATATAATTAGCAAGCAAAAAAATAGCCAATAGGTTGATCAGTACTTTTTTCTTTCCATAAAGAATACAAAAAGCAAAAGGAACACAGAATCTCAAATTGGTGATTATGTTATCATTACCTTTTGGTGAAGATTTACAGGCTATACAGCAGTGGTTTGCAACTTTTTCATCACCAAGGATTCCCTTTTCCCTCCTCATGAACCCACATAATTTCAAATATTTTATCAACAACCAAAAAACCTCTCTTTCTCTCTCTCTCTCCCTCTGTGTGTGTGTGTGTGTGTGTGTGTGTGTGTGTGTGTGTGTATGTGTGTGTATTCTCTCTATATATATACATATACAGAGAATATATTTTGAGACGGGCTCTATCTTGCCCAGGCTGGTCTTGAACTCCTGGCCTCAAGCAATCCTCCTGCCTCAGCCGCCCAAACTGTTGGGATTACAGGCGTGAGCCACCATGCCTGGCCAAAATCTGCATTTTAAAAGTAACAATTTCTCCGATTTTTATTAACCAAAGAAATATATAACTGCCAATCAGAGATTCTGATCCCAATAACAAAACTAGTATTATCCCATTAAATTGTTAAAATCATAGCCAAATTTTAAAAACTCATGCAGTTTGATTCTGTACAAATGTGTAATTGTTAGATTTTCTGAAATATTAAACATAGTTCAAAAATTTTGTTTACATAAGTCTCTTCTGACTTCATATTGAGAACCACTGCTTTATAGCATAAAATTAAGTAGTTATCAGTATAGAATGAAGTACCATATGCAAGGAGCTAATTCCAAGTTCCCTATCAAAACTCTTTCCTTTTAGATACACAAAATACTCTCTGGATTGAGACCAAAACAGGTGTGGCAAACAAAATAGTTGTAAATGCTAAGAAATATGAAATTCTGGGAGGAAATTAGGTATTTCTAATATGTATTTCAATACGTGACAGCGAATGTTAACCACTGAAGATGAAATATAATAAAGACAAATATTTATTGAAAAAAATTGATCTTTTCATTGGAAAATCAGGTCTATAACCCATGAGTGTACGAAGATTTAAAGTCTCATAAGCAAAAGGGTAAGAGCCCTCTATGCAACTTTATCAAATCACATGCTCCAACCTTCTGAGGGCTTGCTACCAATTTTCCAGAAAATCTTGTCTTCCTATAAATTTTCAAACTTCTGATTAACATAAAAACAAAAAGAAAATCCATATACAACCCATGATGAATTAAATCACTGTATTTCCTCTGCTTAAAAGCTTTTACTTCAATCATCAAGATTTTTTTTCTGGGACTACATCTCAGTATAGATTAATTGATTCAATTTACCAACCTAGAGATCAGATGCCCAAGTGCTCTACACTTAGGGAGGGAATTTGTCTATAAATTTAAAGTAAAATGAGATTATTCATTTTTTTTTTCCATCAGAAAGGAATGACCAGCAGGGAGAAAAGTCTGCAAACAGCTTTAGAGGACATGTGATTATTAGTACTGACCTAGAAAAGTCAGGCTGGCCATTTTTAACATTATGGAATAGTTCTTAATTTTAAGTCTTATTTCAGAGGAAATACAGAGCCAGAATCATCAGAGAAAATCATCATGATAAAGATGCTTAAAATACACAAGGGAAATAAAAAAAAATGTGAATGGTCCACCTTGGTGCTATGCAAGAAAACTAGGATACAAGAGAAGTAAGATATGGTTCAAGTTAAGCAAACAGAGGGCTCAAAATAATTTCAATTCATGTCAAAGTTAATACTGAGTACTGAAAACAAAGTAAGCAACAATTGAATTAATCTAATTTTATATAGGTACCAGCAAGAAAATAAAGCATTTCCTAAAATGTCTCAGGCAGAATAATTATGGAGTAAGTCAAACCTATGTTCATTTTTTTGTTTTGGAAGTAGGCAGTATTATCAATAAGGTGATATAATCTGACTGCAGAAAACAGACAAAAAAGCCAGTACTCTCTCCAATACTTCTAATATGTTCCAATCGACTTGCTTAGTCTCACTTTCTTTTAGTCATGAGTTGCCACTTCAGATGTCTGACAAAGAGCAAAGATACATCAAACAGGCAACACAAAGAATTTTTTCAAAAGCCCATTTCAAATACACCTACTGTGTGTGTGTGTGTGTGTGTGTGTGTGTATAGAGTATATTAGTTATGAATGAAGTTTTCTTTAAAGATTCTGAACTTGGCCCCAGATCATAATGGGAATGTACACAGGAAAAGGCCCTCACCTTTCAAGCTCATTTATTTTTCCCAGTGGGATAATAACTCCCCAAATAATACATCATTGTTAAATCATTTTTATAACAGGTAGGCTATGGAAAACTAAACACAATATAAAGTTTTCTTCCATAGGTTAAATTAACTGGGAGAACAGAAATATCCATTTAGCTCTTGGTACTGTGTGGATAATTATCCATCAGCAATTCAGCTGGGCTGCCTTCCAGCATCCAGTATTAGGGGTATTCTCCCCAACCAGCTTCCCACCAATGTCTCCTAAGGGAAGGGCAACTAGTTTTCATAGCATCTTAACCAAACATTTAAGAAGCCCAATGACAGAACATATTCTAAAAGCAAACTTTCAAGTATCAGTATCTTAGTTTCCCTCTTTTAATAACCTACCTTGTTATTTAGTTGAAAGTTAGTAACAAATTATACCCTATCTTTTCTATTCCAACTTGAATGATAGTTTCACACCAGGAAAAAGAGAAAGAACATTTAGAATATGATTCTATATTTATACTGACCAAAATCCTAGTCTTCCTATTTTAATAACTTATAAATATGGAATGTGTAAAAATTTATTCAAGGGAAGAGTATGTAAAAATGTGCAACAATGGAATTATTTTAAGCCCTTTTTAATAATTGTGCAGCCATATGAAGAAACAGTCACAACCACCAAGGCAGAATTTACCAAAAGCAACAGATGGTGCTTGACAGGCATACATTTCCCCCCTATATTGAAAGAGAAAAAAATAGGAAATGCAAAAATAAAAGCAAGAGAAACTATTTTGATTATTACCTTTCTCACATTTCTTTTTGGAAGCTGACGAAGAAGGAATCATAGGTAATTTCATCAACTCAGCACGATTTGATTCATTCAGTAGGTAGTGGGACTTATAGGCATATGAACTGAACATGGGGTCTGAATGGTCCTGAACTATCAGCCCTATACGAAACAAACAGAAAGAGATGAGCTGCAATGAAACTACCCATGATTCCATGAGGAAAAAATAAACCAACACCTATTATGTATGCTTCAAAGCTGGGGTGGGGAGGGCGAAAATGAGAATATGAAGAAAAAAGAAAGATCTGACAGAAAGGTTTTCTACAGTTTTCAAAGGGAGTCTGAACTACTCAATTCCTTATCCCTATATATTATAGAAACCTAAATTCTGCAGAAGAAAACTTCAAATAATTTGAAGATATAAACACTTGACATCATACAGAAAACCCCTTAGGGAAAACAAAGCTACACTGCTTCGTATTTGGATGTACAATGACGACAGCCCAAAGAACAAAATGATATTATATATCATGTAATGAGATAGAAATAAGAATCATTTACATAAGTAGACCCTGATCTACCTTCAATATATCAAGTAGCACTTTAATGCAGAATGGAAGTCTCTCCTTTTTTCTATTCATATCTTCAGACATACTCAAAGAAATCCTAACTTTCTCTGCCAGATAATGAAACTCTTCTCTATCAATATGGTACATGTTTTATTTCATTTTATATTATATATATATTTTTTGAGACAGAGTCTTGCTCTGTCACTCAGACTGGAGGGTAGTGGTGTGATCATGGCTCATTGCACCTTTGAATTTCTGGGCTCTAGCGATCCTCTGGCCTCAGCCTCCCGAGTAGCTGGGACTACAGATACATGCCACCACACCAGGCTAATTTTTAAATTTTTTTGTAGAGATGGGGTCTATAATAGCTTTTGTGCCCAGGCTGGTCTCTAACTTCTAGCCTTAAGTAATCCTCCCACCTTGGTCTTCCAAAATGTTGGGATTACAGGCATGAGCCACTGTGCCAGGCCTGGTACATGATTTTAAAGGAGCCATAATTTCCTGAACTTTACTGAGGTAATGCAAACATTTTCATTTTTTCCCTGCCACAATATAAAAGGATTACCAACTTAAGCGTTAATAAAAACAATCTTTTTGATCTACCAATTACAGCTATGCTACTTGGAGGAAAACACTAAAGCTACCTGTGGTTCCCTCTTCTTTCCCTTACCCCTCCCCCAGTTAATTCATGATGTAGCTATAAGCCACTCCTAAACCTAGGCAACTGTGAGACCAGGGGACATTTCTCTATCCTCTATCTTGGTTACTGGATCAGTGTATAATGATGTAGGATTTACAATACAAATTACGGCAGCAGTTTTATTTAAGAGATCATTTTGAAGGGGAGGGAAATTACCATTTACTTTTTTCTGTGGGCATTGTCTTCATACTCTACACTGAGACGAATTCAAGAAATATCTCTGACCTAAATAACAGAATGGAACTTGAAATTACTAACAATATGACAATCTTCTTTTTGTTTTGTTTTTTTGAGACAGGGTCTCGCTCTGTCACCCAGGCTGGAGTCCAGTGGCAGATCACAGCTCACTGCAGCCTCAACCTCCTGGGCTCGAGTGATCCTACCACCTCAACCTCCCGAGTAGCTAGGACTACAGCCATTTGTCCCCATGCCTGGCTACGTTTTTGATTTTTTTGTAGAAACGAGGTCTTGCTATGTTGCCCAGGCTGGTCTTGAATTCCTGGGCTCAAGCAATCCTCCCACCTCAGCATCTCAAAATGCTGGAATTACAGGCATGAGCCATGGTGCTCAGCCAGAGTCTTCTAATAAAAGTTATATGGGCTGGGCATGGTGGCTCACGCCTGTAATCCCAGCACTTTGGGAGGCCGAGACAGGCGGATCAGCTGAGGTCGGGAGTTTGAGACTAGCCTGACCAACATGGAAAAACCCCATCTCTACTAAAAATACAAAAGAATTAGCCAGGCGTGGTGGCACATGCCTGTAATCCCAGCTACTTGGGAGGCTGAGGCAGGAGAATCGCTTGAACCCAGAAGGCAGAGGTTGCAGTGAGCTGAGACTGCACCATTGCACTCCAGCCTGGGCAACAAGAGCAAAACTCTGTCTCAAAAAAAAAAGTTATATAATGTTGAAATGAACTTTGTACATTTAATAGAGGGAGATGGAGTAGTGTAAAGGAATATGGGCTTTGAAATAAGAAGGATTAAGTACAAATACTAGTCCCTCCATTTAACAACTTGTGTGTCATTAGGTAAATTATTTAATCTAGGTTTCAGTGTTCTCACCTGTATACTATGGAGAGATAACTTCTTAGGGAAACTGTGGCAATTCATTCAGATAATGTTTAGTAAAGTTTGACTTACATATGCAAAATAAATTGCTATTATTTACTGTTAAAATGAAAAGAAAACTCCAGCCTACATTATCCATTTAAAATTACCATTACAAAGAAAGGCATAGAATGTTAAGTAACTTATTTTACACAACCCTCTAAGATGAAAGGAGATGCTAAAGAATGTGCACTACACTGAAAAATGTCCGCACACTTCTTGTGACTCCACGATTAGGTGGCATGTGGAAGAGGAGTGATGTCAAACCCTGAAACATTTCAAAAAATATTTCCAGACATTGTAGTCCTTAAGAAATAGCTTAATGATTTTAAACACCCAATAACCAAGAACTAAGAGAAAATCTATGTGGAGGGAAAAATTCTGTATAAGGCAAGAAACAAGCAAAACAAGCTAAGTTTTCTAATACCCAAACAGAAATGACTAAAGTGCTCCTTTCTGTGTGTGGATTTATTACAGTTATGTCTCCTTAAAAAAGGTGACCTTTATAAATACTTATAAAAGAACACATATTATTTACTTCTGAAAGACTTTTGATTTAAGCCTTCCCAGCATCTGATCTATTTAGAGTAAGTCTTTGTCAAATGCTAGAAAATAAAATGAAGGTTATGTTTACCATACAAAGTTTCACAGTTAAAATATGTGGGAATTAAATAATTTTGCTTAAACAGGCATTTAAATTCAGTAAATATTCCTGGATAACCGTCAAATTGTTAAGATGTAAATACAGATTCTGTTGTTAAACATGGGTTTTCCCTCCACTTACATTATTCTCAGAATTTAATCAAGTTATGTAAGTTAAATTTAACAAAGTGGCTAGAGTTTCTATAAGCGTACAATTTTCTAGCTGTCCTAAATTGAAAATACTATATTTTGTTTCACAACTCACTGCAGTCTTGAACTCCTGGGGTCAAGTGATCCTCCCTCCTCAGCCTCTCGAGTAGCTGGGACCACAGGCACACACCACCATGCTTGGCTAATTCCTTTATGTTTTGTAGAGATGGGGTCTTGCTATGTTGCCCAAACTGGTCCTGAACTCCTGGCCTTAAGCAATCCTCCTGCCTCAGCCTCCCAAGTGTTGGGATTACAGGCGTGAGCTACTGTGCCCAGCCTGAAAATACCTATTTTAAAGGTATCCCAATTATTGAATGAAGTAGAGCAAAAGAGAATATTAATTAATCTACTGATGGCATTTGATTCAGAATGTGCCCCAACATAAGCCAACATAATAGTTATAAACTTGATATTAAAATGCGGGCTAAATTATGCATGCTTATACACTGACAGGAAATGTCAGTGCCCAGCAATGGTAGCATAGAGTTTGCAAAGCAATAAGAGACTTTATGTTATCACTGCCACTCATCCGTTTAAAAGACTCTAAAGCTAAACATTCAACTGATAATACAATAATTTTTTCTTCTAATCATTACTTTCTTAGGAATGCAGAGATGGGAAAGGCAATGAGTGACACCTTTTTATTTATTATTTGCCCACCTGTTACGATATAGCAGGAAACATTTCAGACCTACTCCTCCATGATACCAGCCAGGTTTCAGAGCAGGATACATTTGACACTGCTGTAGTTAAGAAAGACACAGTACTTCCTGCTCCAAAGGCAGACAGTCACATGTGCTTATAAAACAGGCAAACAGAAAGTAGTGTCTACTACAGACCCTGCTAGCTACTCCACAAAGGACTACGATTTATTTAATCTTTTACTGCCTACCTCCAAGTAATGTTTTCATAATGAGAGACACAAAAGCAAAACCACCTAAGATCTATCATACTACCTAAATTCTATTTTAGAAAGTTGTTATAGTACTTTCACCAAATTAAAATAACTGTCTCCTAAAGCAAAAGCAACCAACCAAACAAAAACCACTTTCATGTTCAGTATGGTCTAAATAGAATCTAACAAGCATGATGGGCCTTAGAGGCCTTGAGAATAGTTCAGAGGGAAAGTCAGAAAACTTTGCACTTAAAAACAAACCAAAGCAATATTTAGGGATATTAGTTAGTTTTTATAATGCTTACTAAGTACCAAAAAAGTTTTATTATAATATGGCTTGAGATAAAGCCAGATATTCTGTATAACATTCAACTAAAGAAGTTTGATTTTATATTTATCATGAACCCAAGTTCACTGACCCCCGTAGGGCTACAGTATTGTTTTTAGTTGATCAATCTCTTGGTGTACTTAAACGTCAACAGCTGGCAACAAGAAAGCCCACATGGCTGGCTCTGAACTAACACCACCACATATGCTGCCTTGGCTGTGTCCCATCAGGCCCTCCTCAATGCCAGACCAAAACATTATGATAAAATACAGCATAAACAACTGAAAAATGGATGTGCTAGTTTTGCCTTCCAAGTGAAATCTCAATCAGTTGAAAGTTCTGGTTTAAGATTATGAAATGGGAAGGATCTACTTTGAATAGAAGAGTTGTTTGCAGAAGGGAAAAGATTAATCTTTTAATGCTCCAAACAGAAAAACTAAGAACTTAACTATAATTCTGTTATTTTTAGAAATGCAGATTTTAGCTTAACTTATGGAAGAATTAGTATTCTAACACTTTGGACATCTAGCATTATAAAAGTTACTGGAAATGTTCATCTCTCTCAGGGATATATTACAGTGGAATTCTGCACTGGGTAGGAGATTCTACTAGATGGCCTGAGTTCTTTCCCAATGCTGAGACTCTATGTTAATGGAGAAATATGCCAATGACCTCAAAAATAAATGAAGAGAAAAGTCAGACACTCACCTCTGGCACAAACGAAACAAAAGCCTACATTTACAGCAGAAGAATTACTGCTCCGTTTGGAATGATTACTACAGATGAGAATGTAGGAGGATACTAACATGCTTCCGGCCGCAATGCAAGCATCTCCAGAGTGATAGGCAACTGGACATCTTAAACATCTCATCATGCGGCCTGTTTAAAGACAAGTCAAAAAGGAATCTAATAAGGCATCAGCGGGACATAAAAATAAGTTTCTGGAGTTGGGCTTTTTTGGGTCCCTCTGAGATGCTAGTTACAGTAGATGGAAAGCATTTTTTTCTTCCCTAGTCTGGCTCTGTCATCCTATGCTATATGGCCCCTAAATGTAAGCCTAATAGTCACGTAGAGATCATCCAAAGAAAAAATTATTTGTTCCAATGCTGCAGAGACGGTGGTATCCAATATGGCACCTACCTGAAGGACTTTCAAGGGTATTTTGAACACATGGAATTTTCTTCTCATGGTCTGAATTTAGAATGTAATCTCTACTTAACATGTACTGTGTATGTACTGTGGCTGAACTGTTAAAGCTAGAGATACACAGAAGAAGAATGCCTTATGTTGTTTGTAATATATGCTTGATAATGTTATTTGCCACTGCCCTTAAAACAAAAATCTTTGTCTCCTTCTTCAGCTGTTTTACCTTTACTTGCTTTGTGGATATCTTTCTCCATAGAGCAGGCAGAGCAGCAGTGCTGAGGACAGCGGAATCCTTTTGATTCAAAGATGGCAGTGGGGAATTTGCGGACACAGGCTTCATGATAAAATTTCCCACAAGCACCAACAGAACAACGCTTCACATCTTTACCAGACACTTTACACGAAAAACATGGGTGCTGCCCTGGAAAATTGGTGAGGAATACAAATTAAATAAAATTGACTAAAGCATATTCAAGTAGAAGCAGCTACAGACATCAAACAGCTACTCCTAAAACAGACTCTATTACTATACTTAAGAATTTAATGCACAAAAAAAATTTAAAATAAATGCTAAATTAAAATTATGTTTTAAATTTTGCTAGAATAATTGATTATCAATTTGGAGACAGAATACTAAAAACAATTTAGATCTCCAAAACTGATTCCATAGAAAAGCCAGAACAGAATTTGTTTGACATCTGGTAGCAGACAGCAGCAAAGTTTTCCCCACATAGAATAAATAAATTACCAAAGGAAAGTCTGATTCCATTAGATAATCACTGATTATTTCTATGTGCAAAATATACATAAAATGAAAACTCACAATCCTAATAAAAAAGAAAATTACAGCTAGACATATCTTATTCGAACTATAGAAAATCAAGGATAAAGAAAATATTCAAATTATCCACAAAAAAGACAATTACTTTCAAACAGAGCTGACTGAAAGAGAAAAATGGAAGCCAAAAAAACAATAGAATGATATTTTCAAAGGGCTGAAAGAAAATAATTACCAAACCAGAATTCTATACCCAGTGAAAATATTCGTCAAGAATGAAGTGAAATCAACATTCGCCAGGGAGAATTAACAAAACCTAGTTCTTTGAAAAAGAATAATAAAACTGATACCTCTGGTAAGAATAATAAAAAAAGGAGAAAGATCCTAATATTAATATCAGATATGAAAAATGGAACATCACTACCAATCCTACAAACATTAAAAAGATAGTAAAAGGATATCACTATATTTTTGCTAATAAATTTGAAAATTTAGATGAACGGACAGATTCCTAGAAAAAAAGAACTTACGAACAATGGCACAAAAATAAACAGGACATATGAATAGTTCTGTAAACTATTAAAAGAAATTGAAACTATAATTGGAAATCTTTCAACAAAAAAAAATTTTAGGCCCAGATGGCTCCACTGGTGAATATGTCCAATGTTCAAGGAGGAAAATAATGCCAAATATGAAAAAACTAAACAGGAAAAAAAGAAGAAACAAGTAAAAGACAAACAGATGTAGGGAAATATGCAACAAAAATGACAAAAGATTATGTTTTGTTGTATAAACAGTTTACATATGGAGAAAACGCACACAACATATATAAGCAAAGATAATGGAATAAGACTTACAAACTACAAATCAATATAGAAAAAAACCAAAGCAGCCTAATGTAAAAGTGGGCAGAGGATGTAAATGGGCAATTTACATAAAGACAAATAGGCAAAAGAAAATTAAAATGTGTTCATCTTCACTAGTAATCAGGTAAATGCTAACTGAAACCAGTTATAAAACAGAAAAAAACGGCCAGGCGCGGTGGCTCATGCCTGTAATCCCAGCACTTTGGGAGGCCAAGGCGGGTGGATCACAAGGTCAGGAGATCAAGACTGTCCTGGTTAACAAGGTGAAACCCCGTCTCTACTAAAAATACAAAAAAATTAGCCGGGTGTGGTGGCGGGCGCCTGTAGTCGCAGCTACTCGGGAGGCAGAGGCAGGAGAATGGCGTCAACCCGGGAGGTGGAACCTGCAGTGAGCCGAAATCGCGCCACCGCACTCCAGCCTGGGTGACAGAGCGAGATACCGTCTCAAAAAAAAAAAAAATAAAATAAAATAAATAAATAAATAAATAAATACAAAAAAACTTAAAGAGTTTGATAATACCAATTATTATTTTTGAGACAGAGTCTCGCTCTGTCACCCAGACTGGAGTACAGTTGTGTGATCTTGGCTCACTGCAACCTTTGCCTCCTAAGTTCAAGTGATTCTCGTGCCCCAGAATCCAGAGTAATTGGGACTACAGTGATAATACCAATTATTGATAAGGGTGTAGGGGGCTGGCAGGAGTTTAAGTTGGAAGCAGCTACCTTAGAAGGCAACTGGGCAATATCCATTAAAATAAAAGTACATTCACTTTCTGCCTAGAAATTCAATTTCTCAATAACTACACTGGGGAAGACTGAGAGTAAATGTTAAAGGATGTTGCCTGAAACATTGTTTGTAATTGCAAACAAGTGAAAGTAACTCAAATGTCCTTCGATAGGGGAAGAGTTAAATAAACTATGACTATATGTATACTAGGGCACTATGCAGCAATTAAATAGAATGCATCTGTATTGACATAAGAAGAGCTCCGACAGAACAATGGTATGACAGATTTGTACTAAAACACACACACACAGACACACACAAAGGTTTACAGGGCTACACGTCAAACTGACAATGGTTGTCAGGACTGGAACTAAGTAAGGGCCTAGGATTAAGACTGATGATCGAGGGTAACATCAGCAAGAACAGTAATTATAATATTTTCAAAACAATGTGGTTATGTTTTACTTGTGTAATTAGAAATAAATTTAAAATATTAACAAATGATAAGAATACTTTTAACACCACAAAACATAAATGGATAAGACACATAAACAGATAATTCACAAGAGTCAATAAAGATACAGAAAGAAATGTTTAAGCAAAGAACTGCAAATTATAATAACAAACTTGTCAAATGTTTATTGGTCATCTGAATATCATCTTTCGAAAGTGTTCAAGTCTTTTGTCCACTTTTCTTATAATGCCTGCTAAAAATCTGAAGGAAAAAATATAAGGGATAGTTTTGCTTTTTTACAGAAAGTTAGGTGAACTGCATTATTGTTCTTTGATTCTGGAAGTACCCAATCTTTACAAATTTGCTGAATTATAAAAGTTCTTTAAAATGAGTAGTTGAAACTGTGATGTTCACTTTTTAAATTGTTTTGCAGAAATAAAGTACAGTAAGGTGGGTTTTTTTTGGTCCCATTGTAAATATGTAATTTCAAAGTACATTTTTTCACCACATGGTTAAGGCCAATAAAGTACATTTTACCATGTATATAGATATGAAGGTAATTATATATTTTAAAATAACTTTTAAAAGTTTTAAAAATTAAAAAAATATATTTAAAAGGTAGGAAGTTTGACTTCACAGATTGGTTTAATAAATAAACTACTCTCTGTAAAAATAAAATAGGACTTCAGATGGTCACAGTGGCTCATGCCTGTAATCCCAGCCCTTTGGGAGGCCGAGGCGGGAGGATCACTTGAGCACAGGAGTTCAAGACCAGCCTGAGCAACACAGTAAGACCCCATCTCTACAAAAAAATTAAAAAATTAGGCAGGTGTGGTGGTATGTGCCTGTGGTTCCACCTGCTCAGGAGGCTGAGGTGGGAGGATTGAGCCCAGGAGGTCGAGGCTGCAGTGAGCTATGATCATGCCACTGCACTCCAGCCTGGGCGACAGAGCAAGAACCTCTCTCAAGAAAATATAAAATAAGCCTTCATTTATGTAATGATCAAAATAAGCCTAATATAAATGAAAATAGTGAAAACTAGTGCAAATGTTATGCTAACAGAGAGCTGAACTATCAAACTCCTTTAAGACTTAGGTTAGAGCTCTAACATGTGAGTGCTTTCCATACTCTTCCTTTTCACTAGGAAATGGCTTTCATTAAGAACAAGTCAGTCAGTGGCTAGGCACAGTGACACATGCCTGTAATCCCAGCACTTTGGGAGGCCAAGGTGGGTGCATTGCTTGAGTATGGGAGTTCAAGACCAGCCTGGGCAACATGGTAAACCTGTCTCTCTACTAAAAAAAAAAAACAAAACAAAACCAAAAAACTAGCTGGAGGCTGGGCACAGTGGCTCACACCTGTAATCCCAGCACTCTGGGAGGGCAAGGCAGGTGGATCACTTGAGGTCAGGAGTTCGGGGCTAGCCTGGCCAACATGGCAAAACCCTGGCTCTACTAAAAATACAAAAATTAGTCGGGCGTGGTGGTGTGTGCTTGTAATCCCAGCTACACGGGAGGCTGAGGCACAAGAATCACTTGAATCTGGGAGGTGGAGGTTGCAGTGAGCTGAGATTGCGCCACTGCACTCCAGCCAGGGCGACAGAGCAAAAATCTGTCTCAATAAATAAATAAATAATTAATTAAATAAAAAGCTAGCTGGGCATGGTGCTGCGTGCCTGTAGTCCCTACAGCTAATCAGGAGGCTGGGGTGGGAGGATCACCTGAGCCTGGGAGGTCAAGGCTGCAGGGAGCTGAGACTGCACCACTGCACTTCAGCCTGGGCAATGGGACCAAAAAAAAGAAGTCAGTCCATCGGTCCAGAGTCAAGGACCATGGGGGAAGTGGGGAAAAACAGAATAAGTAAAACTATCTGTTACAGAACTCTTTTTGGAGACTTATTCTATTGTACATTTTATTCAAAAGGGCAAATAAAGATGCTTTCTTTCCAGAAATCACGTTTGACTTAAATAATAGAAAGTGGTAGTATAAGAACATATTAGGTATGTACCTGCAATACTTCTTACATGTGAAGTGTTTATCTTTTGTAAACAAAGGAAAATTGCCTAAATGACCTTAAACAATGGTTTGAAGAATCACAGTTCTCACTTCTAATATGTTAGAAGTGTACCAAATAGGTACTAAACTAATTTTCATGTCATTAATTAAAAGCACTTAATTTTTTTAATAATTGTGGTAAAATATATATAACATAAAATTTAACACTTTAACCATTTTTAAGTGTACGGTTCAGTAGCATTAAGTACATTCACATTGTTACCACTGTCTGCCTCCAGAACATTTTCATCATCCCATACTGAAACTTGGTACCCATTAAAGAACTCCTCATCTCACCTCCCCTACAACCCTGGTGACTACTGTTCTAAGAATTTGACTATTCCAAGTAATTCATATAAATGCAATCATACAATATTTGTTGGCCTTTTATACCTGGCTTATTTCACTCAGCATAAAGTCCTCAAGGTTCATCCATGTTATGACATGTATCACAATTTATTTTTAAGGTTGAATAATATTCCATTGTAGGTACATACTACATTTTGTTTATTCATCCATCAATGGACATTTGGGTTGTTTCTACCTTTTGACTACTGTGAATAATGTTGCTATGAATATGAATATGACAGTACAAATATCTGTTGGAGTCCTTTTTTTTTTGAGAGAGAGTCTCACTCTGGTTGCCCAGGCTGGAGTGGAGTGATGCCATTACAGTTCACCGCAGTCTTGACTTCCTGGGCTCAGGTGATTCTCTCACCTCAGCCTCCTGAGTATTTGGGACTATGGGCACACGCCACCATGCCAGGCTAACTTTTTTTTTTTTTTTTGGTAGAAATGAGGTTTTACCATGTTGCCCAGGATGGTCTTGAACACCTGGACTCAAGCAATCCGCTCGTCTTGGCTTCCCAAAATCCTTGGATTACAGGTGTGAGACACTACGCCTGGCCCCTTCTTTCAGTTCTTTTGGGTATATACCCAGAGTGAAATTGCTTGACCATTTGTTATTCTGTTTAATTTTTTAAGAAACCATCATTGGGTTTTCAACAGCCACTACACCATTTTATATCCCCACCAACAATGCACAAGGGTTCCAATTTCTCCATAGTTAAGCCAACATGTTGTTTTCTTTTTTCTTTTTTTTTTGATACTATTCATTCTAATGGGTATCAAGTGGCATCTCATTGTGGCTTTGATTTGCATTTCCCTGATTACTTTTTTTTTTTTTTTTTAATAGAGACAGGGTTTCACCATATTGCCCAGGCTGGTCTCAAACTCCTGAGCTCAAAGAGCTCCACCTGCTTTGGCTCCCCAGTGTGCTAGGATTACAGGCATGAGCCATTGCACCTGGCCCCCTGATTACTCATTATATAGAGCATATTTTCATATGTATATTGACCATCTGCCTATCTTCTTTGGAGAACTATCTGCTCAAGATCTTTGCCCAATTTTGAATTGTTTCGTTTTTTGTTTTTGTTTTTTTGAGATGGAGTTTTGCTCTTGTTGCCCAGGCTGGAGTGCAATGGAACGATCTCGGCTCACTGCAACCTCTGCCTCCGAGGTTCAACGATTCTCCTGCCTCAGCTTCCCGAGTAGCTGGAATTATAGGCATGTGCCACCATGCCCAGCTAATTTTGTATTTTTAGTAGAGATGAGGTTTCTCCATGTTGGTCAGGCTGGTCTTAAACTCTTGACCTCAGGTGATCCGCCCAACTCAGCCTCCCAAAGTGCCGGTATTACAGACATAAGCCACCACACCTGGCTTGAGTTGTTTAGTTTTTTATTGCTGAGTTGAAGGCGTTCTCTATATATTCTGGGTATTAATGCTTTATGAGATATGTAATTTGCAAATATTTTCTCCCATTCTGAGGGTTGCCTTTACATTATGTTGATAAGACCCTTTGGTGTACAAAAGTTTTTAATTTTGATGAAGTACAATTTGTCTGTTTTTCCTTTTGTTGCCTGTGCCTTTGGTGTCATGTATATGAAATCACTGCCACATCCATTGTCATGAAGCTTTTCCTCTATGCAATTTTTTCTTCCAAGAGTTTTATAGGTTTAGCTCTTACATCTTTGTCTTTGATTCATCTTGAATTAATTTTGTTTATGCTGTTGGGTAAGGGTCCAACTTCATTCTTTTACAGGCATATATCCAACTCTTCCAGCATCATTTGTTGGAAAGACTGTCTTTTTTTCCACTGACTAGTCTTCACACCCTTATCAAAAATCATTTGACCATATATGCAAGTGCTTACTCCTGGGCTTTCTATGCCATTGGTCTATATGTCTGTCTTTATGCCAGTATCACACTGTTTTGACTTCTGTAGCTTTGTAGTATACTTTCAAATGAGGAAATGTGAGTCCTCTGACTTTGTTCTACCCAACTGTTTTTTATTAAAAATTTTTTTTCATGCTTACTGATAACATCCCATACTTAACTGTTTTTAAAGCAAATTTCCCTCTTAAATTTTCTAATAGATGTGTACCAAATTAAATACACCTAGCCTCTGTTGGAAGAATTCTCCTGGATTCTAGAGTTAGGAGAGAAGCCCTAAGAGTGTTTTAATACTGAGATATATGGTCCTTCCTATCAATATCTTAAATCAGGGATTGCATACTTGATATACTTTGGATATTTGTCCCCACCCAAATCTCCTGTTGAAATATAATCCCCAATGTTGGAAGTGAGGTCTGGTGGGAGGTGTATGGATCATGGAGGTGGATCCCACATGGCTTGGTGCTGTCTTTGCGACAGTCAGTGGGTGCTTGTGAAATCTGGTCATTTAAAAATTGTGGCCCTCTCCCTCAACTCTCTCTCTTGCTCCTGCTTTTGCCATTTGAAGTGCCTACTCCCACTTTGCCTTCTGCCATGATTGTAAGTTTCCTGAGGCCTCCTCAGAAGCCAAGCAGATACTGGCACTATCCTTTCTATACAGCCTGCAGAATTGTGAGCCACTTAAACGTCTTTTCTTTATAAATTACCCAGTCTCAGGTATTTCTTTATAGCAATGCAAGAAGTCCCTAATACAATACTTGAATGCTTAAAGGGGCCAGGCAGCATATATAAGTGACTGGAATGACTGAATTTTAGAAAAAGGAATAATGGGGAATGTGAGGAGCCAGGATTACATGCTCTATCCGTGTTCAAAAATGAAAATGCATTCTGAAGGCCAAATAAAACGATGTGCAGATAATATGACCCCGGGGCTGCCAGTTGGCAAACTGTTCACAAGTTTTACTGCAGAGTCTAAATGTGATGAATAAAATATTTTATAAGGGGAAAATTTTAAGTTATATGTTCTAAACAGCTTCCATAGCTTAGTTTATGTACATGTGTGTGTGTATTTGTGTGTGTGTGTATGTATGTGAATGAATGTGTATTGGGATATATGACATATGACTTGTGATGTCCATCCTATTCACCAGGGCAGTAGAAGACCATGGTAAAGAAAAAATAAATCTGGAGTCCAGCTGCCTGGGTTTAAATCACAGAGTCATCATGGGCTATCTTTGTGACTTTGGGGAAGCTATTAAACTCTCTAATCCTGTTTCTCCTTCTGCATAATGGAAATCATAATAGTACCTATCTCATCATGGATCAAATGAAATAGCAGGAGAAAATGCTTAGTACTTGTAGCACCTAACATTTAGTAAGTCAGTGTTCAGTTAAAAAAAAAAATTACTTGGGAGGCCAAGGCAGGCTGATCACGAGGTCAGGAAATCGAGACCATCCTGGCTAACATGGTGAAACCTCGTCTCTACTAAAAATACAAAAAATTAGCCAGGCGTGGTGGCAGGCACCTGTAGTCCCAGCTACTCGGGAGGCTGAGGCAGGAGAATGGCGTGAACCTGGGAGGCGGAGCTTGCGGTGAGCCTAGATTGTGCCACTGCACTCCAGCCTGGGCGACAGAGCGAGACTCTGTCTCAAAAAAAAAAAAAAAAAAATTACTAACTTTTTGTCTGAAAGATTTTAGGAGGCATACAATCAAATAAGAAAAGATAAAATAAATATCTGTAAGAATCCAAATAAAAGGAAAAGAAGGAGTAGAAAAATAATAAAGAGTCAAAGGTAAGATCAGCATATCATGTACACTTGCTATCTGATTGGCTTAGTTCCTCATAGCTAAAACAAAGCAAAACAAAAAACACATCAACATGTTTCCTAGAAGCACCACCATGTCATCTCCAGTTATTTTTAATTTGCCATGTTGTGACAGATTAAACAACTACGACTTGCTTTCCATGATATTAACCAGAATTATGGCTACAGAGAGAAGAAATATAAACTAGCATATTTATTTCTCTACAAATTATTTTAGTAGGTGGTAGTCTATGTATAGTGAGATAAGAAATAAATGGTGAATCCCAAGTTTAAAAAATGATTTCCAGTAGCTCCAAATTTCCACTAGAAATATAATCACTGTAGTTATGCACTGATACTTCTTCCAGTCTCTTAAAGAACTTTAAACCAATTTATTGAGCCCCCAAAATCTCAAATCCATCTGAAAAATAACTCAATTAACATACTTTATATAACTCTTTAGATAAAACACAAATTCATCTTGGTAATTTGACAGGTTTTATGGTAGAAGGCACCAGTAGGAGGAAATTTAACTACTTTTTAAATCTTGAAGCCAAATCTTAATTTGTTGAAATACCTTTGGGAAGAGAGGAGGAGGGCTAATAAAAGTGATGGGAACAAGATGTCCTAGGAGAGGTTGTCAGTGCACATTCCTGGCACAATCCCATTCATCTTTTCATGACTATCGAAATAAGTCATCTTACCAGTTTTACATTCCATGCAGATGAACTTGCTATCAGGAAGTGATGCCAATCCCAGGCACTCCAGGTGAAAGTGTTTGCAGCACTCTCCCTCACAAGGAATCAGAGAGTCACCAGAGCTTTCACAAATCTGTAATATGGCAAAAAGCAGTGGTTCTCAAACTTTGGCAAACATCAAGACCACATGGGCGGCTTGTTAAACACAAATTACCGGGTCCCTCACCCACAGACTGTGATTCAGTAGGTCTGGCGGGGGCCCCAAGAATGTGCATTTCTAATATGTATCCAGAAGATGCTGATATTGTTTGTCCTTGGCCTTCACTTTGAGAACCAGAGAACTAGACAATTACAGTATTTCCAGATACAATATGGTATAAAGTTTAAAGTCATACTTGATCTTTTAGGATTCCTTCTTTGGGATCTGCATATTTAAGTTTTCTTCACAGGGCAAAGCAGTATTTTTTCAAGAACGGTAAAAATACACTGAGAAAGTTATTACTTTAAAATTTTGAATTTAAGAAAGTTTTTCCAATCAGTCATCTGCCATTTACTTCCAATTAATTATAGTATATCACACTAAAGATTGGCATGTGGGTAAGTATTCCAACTCAGAAAGGGAAAAAAAGAACCACAAAGAGGTTTTATATCTGTAGCTTTAAAGTAATATCATAATAATTTGGAAACATATTATCCTCTTCAACAGGAGTTAAGTCTATTACTGGCAGAATATAATAGCAATTATTTCAAGCCATAGCACCAGTTACCTGCCTACCTGACATACAGTGTCCTTCTTACTCATTCCAGTGCCTCTTCTCGACAAACTTGAATCCATGGACTGCACATCAGAAACGTCTGCATCTGCAGTAGCTGAAGGGCTATCTACTTGCTTTCCAAAGCCTACCTACATAGAAAACATAGCATTTTTAAGAAAAACAAAATGAAAATTCCCTCCAAGATAAGATGCTATGAAAATCCTAGTAAGACTTGCTCAAACATTAGATCTTGACACAACCACCTTTTTCCTTCCTTTCTTTCCAAAATCCACAGATATCATAGGTCTGCTGTTTTGGGAAAAACTGTAGTTAAAATTACAAACAAACTATAGTTTTGTTATATAACATGAGAGCAAAAGAATTAAGACACTCAAAATAAACAAAGTGATTTTTTTCTATGAGTATTTTTAAAATGTCCTGATTTCCCCAAATAAATAAGGGAAAAGCATTATGTTCAAGAAAGAACACTTTGTCCAGACCCTTGCACATATTTACCTGCAGGTCACTCAGTCCTCTAGAATCGGAGTCAGATGTGTCTCTGTATGCTGAACTAGTCATTTCTACATCAGTTGAGGCGCGACTCCTTTTCTTTAGAGGTTTACAGGAATCTGAAATCTCGCTGGCACCTTAATACAACACACTGAAATTAATCCTAAAATAGTACTTAAGGTTTGTTTTAATTTTTTTGTGTGTGGGAGAATATTTTCTTTTCTCAAACTCATCTTTAGTGTGGAAAAAGCATAGCTCTCTTTGTAACACTGAAATAATGAGTCAAAACTTCAGAACTTCTGACCTTCCTGGTAGTGACTGATTTAATTTACAACCGCTCTATCAAAACATTTAATTCAGTTCTCCTCTCTAAAGCTATTTTCAGTCAACAGAGCCCACGTTCCAACCTAAAAATCAATTCTATGAAAATTGCAGGATAGCTGATGGATTTGGAGCAATTCAAAGAACCATTCAATTTGGAGGGGGAAGACATAAAACCCAACACACTGTGTAGCTTACAAATATGGTTGCAGAGACATCTCCATCTTGTTTTTATTAGGGATGTGACAAATCTTTGATTTGTATTCGATTCGTACACGGATAGTGCCATTTTCCCCCAAATTTTGCAATTCAGTTGATTATTGCCCCCCAATAAAATTTGGATGTTCATAATTGTTCATCTGAGACTTCCTTGGTGAAGTGGCATTTATTGTGACCATTAACAAGCGCTGCAGCACATCTACATATGTCATGCCATTTAGAAGGCACATTGCTGAGGGCTGTAAATGGACAATCAGTGTTCAAGTGCAGCCAAATCACGTAGAGCTGGATGGGAAGGCCTCTATGTGGAATTTGTGCGGGAAGAAATAAATAGGAAAAAAAAGGCAGAGAATAGTGTGGAATTGTTTTTTTTAAAACTGTGTGTAATACAAATCCAGCCAAAACAATAGTGCAAAAAGTTACAAAGCAACAATCTCTTGGGCTAATGCAGTATAGGCTATACAGAAACAGCCACGATGAAATGTGCAGATCAGGCACGGTGAATACCAAGGAACCAAGGAGACGGTTAATATTTCAACCCACAGTTTGTGTTTTGGATTTTTTCCCCCAAAATTTCCATACAACAAACAGACATCTAGATCAACCCAGCAAGCTATGGTGGAAGTGTGCAGTCCAGAAGAGCCCATGGAGAAACAAGTCTCCTGAGGCCATGAAGATCCGCAACAGGCTGAGTGAGAGTAGCACTTGGAACATAGCCACGTTCTGTGGTGGAGGAGGTGGGCCTCGTTAGACTGCTCAGATTACTGGAACCTCGTTATCACATCCCATTCTACAAGTTTTTCACTGAATGTTTCCTGACATCTATAAATGAGGGTGCCTGCCCATGTTAATGCTGATTAAAAAACACAAGTACACAAATCTATCTCCTTCATTGCTGGTGTATGGACCCAGAACACCATCACAAAATATTTCCTTGGCCTAAAAGATCACTGGATTAACAAGGAGTTTTAACAGAGGAACAGGAGTGCTGTACTGAGAGGCTTTCGAAGGGAAACACAGGTACCGCCATTTCCGATGAGTTTCTGAAAATGCTAGAAAAATGACAGACTGCCAAAGACAGCTGTCATGCTGTTCTCCATGATAACGGCACTAATATTAAAAAAAATAAGAACTTTTAATGATTGTAATGTATACAGTTTGGGCTGTTTGGCAAACCCCTGCAGATGTGCATTAATGATGCTTTATTTAAAAACAAAAAACCAAAAACAGTCCATGTTGAAATTGATCAGTGTAAGTTAAATGGTGGTTTTTAGGCTGGACCCATGATTTAAGCTGTACCCATCCAGCTCAAACCGAAAAAAAAAAATCATTTGACTGTTAAAGCAATTGTTCAGAGTCTTGAAGAAGAAACCAGGCAGGAAAATGCCAATAATGATGATTGGCGAAATCAAAATCGAAAACAAAGAAACTGTTTATCAAGCCGCCGACAAAGAAATCTTGCATGGAGACTACAAGTCTGGAGTTTCTGGGATGAAATTGTACAGGAATCTCAGTCCACAGTTTCCTCAATCGCTGCGGAGACGGAGCTGTCACTGAATCTGACAGAGCCCTGCACTCCCCGGTCCGCCGACCCTGTGGAATGGTGGAAACACAACGCAATCAGGCCTCCTAATCTCGCAGCGATCGCGATGTCTTTTCTTGGAGCTCCGCCAAGCAGTGTTCCCTCCGAGAGGCTGTTCAGTTCTGCTGAGGATCTCCACGGAGACCATCGCTGCAGACTTCTCCCCGAGAATGCAGAGAGGCTGTTGTTTTATTTTATTTTTAAATAATGCAATTTGCCCAGAGTAAACTACAGGTATTAAATACAGTTTGATCTCACCAAAAACGCACGAATCATGCTATGGAGTTTGTACTGTAGTCAAATTGCACACAGAAAATACAGATATAAGTTTAAGCTTTCTTAAACTTTGTGCATATCTCAAATAGATTCGCATAAGGTCATCTAATAGTGGCCATAAATGCTATGAATCATTTTAATTTACAAAAAGATTTTACAGCACTGTAAAAATAAATGTGGCAAGATTTTTTCAATCAGCTTGTCTTGTCTGATTTGTCATAGTCCATGTTTGACAAACATGAATAGCTACTATTCGGTATTCAGTCGAATACCAAAAAAAGTGGATTCGTCACATCCCTAGTTTATAAGCCAGTGAAACCCCAGAATCTTATGGAGAAAAGTTGGAAACAGTATCAAGTCTACGTTGTGTTCTCCAATTTACCAAAACAAGTAAGACTTTTCACGTGGAGGTACAGAATAAGATCAACTCTAAAAGTCACACACACACACGAACACTGGGGAATACTGCAATTTCACACTGAAGAGCAACAACGATTTACAGAGACAGACAAAAATACATGAAGTACAAATAATTCTTAAAAATTGGTTTTAATCAAGGAAATGCAAAGCAACATTATAATATTAACTCACCTTTCTGTAATCCAGTCTTCACTGTAGCCTGAGGAACTGTTTCAACCTGTTTGGACAGAAAAATACAGCATTAACAAAGAATTTTTTTCCCTTTTAATTATTAACAGAGGGAAAAGATACTTTCATCAATCTAAGCAATGATGAGTGATTAATGTATCTGAAATCTGAACTCAGTCCCATCTTTTGGGTAAAGTTCTCTGTCTCAAGATCAGGGAGGGTTTAAATCCTAGCTGCCTGTGCTGAATATCAAGTGACAACACACAGCCACATGCTCTCTAGCAAAGACTTTTCCCACCATTCCCTTGGTATATGAAGAGAACAAGAATACTTTCCTCAGTGTCTGGAAGGCAGGAGAGGGGTTGTTTCTGCAACCGGCCCCAATGTTGCTAAAAACCCCTCCCGCCCCAAAGACGTTAGGATAAATTTTTACTTACTATGATACTCAGGTTAATGTAACTCACGCCACTTTAAGACCCTTCCGCGCCTGCACTCACAGCTAAGTTGCTGGGAATCAGGACCCTCTCTGTAGAGAGTGCTACAGGGCTCCATACAGCTGGAAGCTCAATACTTTTGCTGCTAGTACAAACTTAAGAAAATAAGTTTGTGATATTGCAAAAGCACTTTCTTGAGTGTCTTATGAACAGTGTCTTGATCCTACATTAGGAGAGCGAGATCAGAAGTTATTCTGCCAATGTATATGTAAAACACGTGGTAATTTGAGGATTGAACCATTGGAATTAGAGAAAGGAGGCTGTTTGGAGGAGTTCCTGTTTAAGCTATAAATTGAATTTCATGTTTCTTTAAGATGTGGTGAAATATGAATGTTGAAACACATTTTGTAAATATTTAAGGATTGTTCTAAGCTTTTTAAAAAAAATTTTATTTTTTTTACAACAGGTAAAAAAACATACAACAGAAACGCTTTTATAAGATACAATTAGTAATACAAATATAAAATCTTCTAAACAATCACTGGTATTGTTCTACTACTAACTATAACACAGTGGCATTAACAATTTGTCCCACTTTTTATACTCATTCTGCTTATTAGTTTAAAACTGACTGGTCACAGACTGATTTTGGGAACCAGCTGGCAAAATCACAACTTCATTTTGGTAATGAATAACTATAGATTTTCAAGAGCTTAGAAAGATTTTTTGGAATATAATTTCCTAAGTATGAAATATGAAAGTTAATATGATAAATGAATGACAAATTAGTATACTATTTAAATTTTAGTTAAATATTCTGGAAAAACTGTTTCACTTGCTTGGTGATACCACAGAGCACCCACAAAGTTAGCTTTTAAATTTGGAAGTTTAAAATCATGAAGGAAATATTTTAAATAGAAAAGCTCACATTCTTCCATATAAATGGTTTAAAAAATATAAAACTTATTGGAACTAATTCTATTCAGAATTTGTTTTGTTTGCTAGCAGGTGTTTAGGCTGTAAGAATGGATATTCTTTAACAAAAAAATTAAGAAAAAATCTGATTGTGAGTTTAATTTAAAGAAGAATGGCTTCTAAAATTTTATTTGAAAAGTTGATTTAAATGTATCTTACTACATTGATTACACTGGTTTAATACACTTCAGTCAAAATGCAACCCCCCCACACACCTTTTTTTACCTAAATATTATTTATCTGACAACCTGATATCAGGTGAATATTCCACTGGGAAAATAACATTCCAAAAAATCTGCGATATTAACAGAAAAAACAGATCATCTATGAATATCTGCTTCTTAAATATAAGAATATAAATTAAATTGATTTGTTTAAAAAATAAAAAACAATATATACCAGCAGCTTAAACCAAAAATCAAACTTAAAAAAAAAAAAAGGAACTCAATGATGGTTCCAAATAAAAATCATAAAAACATGAAATCATTCTGCTGATAACAGAAACTTCTAAATAAATGTGAAGGATTTTTTAAGTCTTGCACCACTGGCTTCCCATCTCCTGAAACCTGTTTTCTGTGAAAATGCTTGAAGCAGAATCACAGGGATGGCTGTATTAAAACTGAGCACTGGAACCCACCAGGACAGAAGCGTTAAGATAGTCCAGAAAGGAAACTCAGTGTGGGGGAAAGTTTCTCTTTCTTTTAAGACAGGAATGTAAGCCACAACATTTACAAATACAATGTTTTAACTCTCTACATGTAGGAAGCCAACCTGCTCCTTTTTGATCTTCTTCTTTGGCACAACCTCAGTGGATTTCTCTGATTCAGAACGAGTTCTAATTGATCTTCTCTGTTGCTTCTTTTCTACTGAGCCTAAGAAATGATTTAAACACACAAACAAAAACTCACTTAAGGATACCTTGACATCTATGTAATTAAGATATGACCACATTCCTTGCTTTTCTTACCCATTACTTTTGGAATTTTAATTAAAATCATTAAAAAATGCTAAACATTCAGGAGCATATAAATTATTTAACAGATCAAATTGTAAAGGCTGATAAGCTGAGACTGGGATTCACAAAGGGTCCTAAATTATACAAATAAAGGGGGATTGGTTTTTTAAAAATTGAAAAGTCAAACTAAAACAGCAGACACATTAGTTTTAAAGGCACATAAACATCTTTAGGTAAATATAATTAGGGAATGAAGGGACTGAAGGATGCATAAAAATAAACTTTATTATCCACCTGATGTTAGAAATTATTGGTTCAAAATTCAATCAGTGCCACACATTCTGCATTTTAACAAATGAGTTTAATTAATTCTATACATAAAATGGTTAACAGTGCTTGTTGCACTTATGTAAGTTTTGCTGTTGTTATTAATAACAAAAGCAGGAAAAGCAGGGAAGGCAAAAAATGTGACCAAAACCTAATCATTAATTTGACTATCAAGGGATCTGTTATACTCTGGAAATAATTAGTCGTGGAAAACTAGTTGAAACAAATTATCAAGCTTTTTCATGTTAAATGGTAAAACAAACTATTAAGATTTTTAAAGAGTACAATTCTTTAAAAGCGAATTGAAGAAAACTCACATGGACCCCATTTTTGGAAAGGATAAAACTGAAATTGAAGAACACAACTTGAAAGAACATTGTCAGGAATGATTTCATTCTGTGAGCCTGAGGAGGAATGATACCTGCAGTGCAGCTGTTCTCCATGTTTTCAGTGCCTGGACCACCTACGTATTCCTTCCTAAATCATAATCACCTCTGGCTTGCCATAGGAAGAAGCCACTAAGACCTATAAAATCAGATAGAAGCTCTATCTATAAAGCCTTTCATATAACCTTTATATTTTCTGGTTTCATTGCTCTTGGCTATGTATAAATGACTTCCCTCACTTTAGTTCAAAGCCAAAATGAAGGATCCCACTACTTTGTTTTGTTTTTGGGAAGGAGCGGGTAGTTTGATAACAATATATTGTTTTAGAGCTGTGGTTAATCGATTTATAGTAATCACAAATAAAGGTATTGGCTCCTTTCTTTACTCTCACTCTTCTCCTTACACTGACGAAAATGTTTACTAAGACAGCAGATATGCTACCCTCCCAGACCAACCTGAGGATCCGAGATCCATACTTTAGTATTAAAGTGTCAATATTCAACTACTACTAGGAAGGGCAAAAATGAAAATGGAATTGCTTAAAAACGAACAAAAAAATATTTACTTGTGTTGAGGGTAATATAATCACACCATGAAGAGCAGATGAGATTTGATTTACTGTCTTATAGAGGATAAAGCAACATGATTTCTTAAAATTATTCTGAAAGTTACCCAAAGAACATATACATTTAAAACCATTGAAGAGTATTATGTTCATGTTCTAAGAAAGAGGAGGTGAGCATTTCTGGGTTTGGAAAATAACTTTGAAATCTAGTGTGAATACAAGTACAGTTCTTCAAACGACAAAAATGTGACAGTGCCAAACATTTTATATATCCCTGAAATTTACTAAGAAAAGGCTCAATAATTTCCTTAAGCAGTTAACATCAGCTGAGATGATGCAATTGGTTTCTGAAGGGTGAACAAGTTTCTATTTTGACTTTTCAACTACTGAAGTTATTTTCACAAAAAGCAAAATGGTCACTTAAAAAGACAAGGTATGCTTATCAACCACAGCTGTTAACCAAACTTCAAACAAGCTCAAAGCTTTAGAGCACCAGTCCCTAAATTAAGTTTTTTTTCTTTTCTTTTCTTTTCTTTTTTGAGACGGAGTCTCTCCCTGTCACCCAGGCTGGAGTGCAATGGCGCGATCTTGGCTCACTGCAACCTCCGCCTCCAGGGTTCAAGCGATTCTCCTGCCTCAGCCTCCTGAGTAGCTGGGATTACAGGCGTGCGCCACCATGCCCAGCTAATTTTTTTTTTGTACCTTTGTAGAGACAGGGTTTCACCATGTTGGCCAGGTGATCTCAAACTCCTGACCTTGTGATCCGCCTGCCTCAGCCTCCCAAACTGCTGGGATTACAGGTGTGAGCCACCATACCTGGCCCTAAATTAAGTTTTCAATCTTAATTTACAACCTAAATTCTACGTTCCTGCTTAAGCAAAAAACAACACTGCCTTTTTCCAGATATAAAGAAGTATAACCTTCCACTTAAGAAAAAAAGGAAATATTCATAGCAGAGATTAAATCTTACAATGAAAATACTATATAAAAAGAAAATGTTCAGGCTGGGCACAGCGACTCATGTCTGTAATCCCAACACTTCAAGAGGGCAAGACAGGAGGATCGTTTGAGCCCAGGAGTTCGAGACCAGCCTGGGGAACAAGGTGAGACACTCATCTCTACAAAAAATAAAAATAAAATAAATTAGCCAAGCATGGTGGCAGGCACTGGGTAGTCTCAGCTACTCCAGGAGGCTGAGGTAGGAGGATCTCTGGAGTCCAGGAGTTTAAGGTTACAGTGAACTAAGATCACACCACTGCACTTCAACTTGGGTGCAAGACCCTGTCTCAAAAAAAAAAAAAAAAAAAAAAATTCAGTAACTTTCAGAGGAGAAAGAAAAACAAGCTCCATCCAAAATAAAAGCATAATATTTGAGTTAAGATCAGTCTAATATAGGAAGAATTTACTTTCTCCTTAGGAAACTGCTGATTTCAAATAAAGATCCTCCTAGGTATCCCATTTAAATTCAGACAAATTACTAATCATTTAGTGTAAAGAGGTAACAAAACTGACATACCTAATTTGGAAAGTGGAGGCCAAAAGATTCTTTTAATATTCAAAGAAGGGAACATTCTCAATTATGGCTAATATGAAATCTTCTAAGTCCATCTACTCATTCCTTTGACATTGTAAGTTCATCTTTTTATAAAGTATTTTGAAATGATACAAGTTGCAAATGTAGTACTGGACTTTGCTATTCACTCCCTCCTTTCTTTAACTCAACTTTCCTTCCCAATTCCATATTGAAAAAGGCTGTTTAAAATGCCCCATCCAACATGTGCTGCATCTCCACTGGCATTACCTCTCCCTGTCCTGCAGCTCCCATTATTTTCTTTTTAAGAAAGCTAGCCCAAGTACTTTTGTGAACAGTGATTTTTTTTTACTTTGCTATTATAATAATTAGAATCTTATTTAAATTTCCCTTACAAAAATATTTACACTTTATGCCACTCAGTCACAGGTTTGCCTGAGTTACTACTGATTCAAGATTACCACTTCAGGTCTTAAGACTTTGATCCATCCAGAAAATTACTTGGTCACTGTGATATTGTGATATGATAAGAAACATATATTTGATCTCTGCCCCTGGTTCCTGGCACAGAGCTCCTACTTGGAATTTCCTGCATAATATAAGTGTTTTTTGCTCTAAAGAGGCAACTCTTGGTGGGTTCCTAGTTGGGGGCTAGTCACTAGAAAAACCAAGCTATGATTAGATGCTTTAAGCTCCACCCCCCCATCCTCCGAGAAGGGGAGTGGGGCTGAAGACTGAGTTAATAATTGATCATGCCTACATGATAAAGCCTCCATAAAAATCCCTGAGCTACAGGGTTTGGAGAAATTCCAGGTTGCTGAACACACGAAGGTGCCTGTAGGGTGGCATGGCCAGAGAGGGCATGGAAGCTCTACAGCCCTTTCCATATACCTTGCCCTGTGCATCTCTTCCATCTGGCTGTTCATCTGTATCTTTTGCCATATGCTTTATCATGAACCAGTAAATGTAAAGAAAGGGCTTGTCTGAGTTCTGTGAGCTGCTCTAGCAAATGACTAAACCCAAGGAGGGGGTCACGAGAACCTCCAATTTATAGCTGGTCAGTCAGAAGCTCTGAAGCCCCAGACTTGCAACTGACATCTGAAGTGGGGGCAGTCTCATAGGATTGAGCGCTTAACCTGAGGGATTGGACTCTAACACCAGGGAGATAGTGTGAGAATCAAATTGAATCATAGGACACCCAGCTGGTCAGTGTGGGAAAACAAAGAAACCCATATATGGGTCTATAAGTACGTTCAGAAAATAGTTTAACTTTTTTTTCTACTATAGTCGCTTCTTAGATTCAAAACAAATTTTTAAAGAACAAAATGAAACAAACTCCTTTCTTCTAAACTAAGATTCCAAATGAACACGCTAGTTAATACTTAACTCTTTTCTTGATGGCTATATGAAGCAAGCAGTATTACAGAAATACTACTAATATAATACTGTTACATAAACCAAACCCACCAGACATTCAATTGAAACTCTAAAATCCTTAGTAAGTTAGTCTCAAAAAAATTATGTTGGCTGGGTGCAATGGCTCACGCCTATAATCCCAGCACACTGGGAGGCCGAGGCAGGTAGATCGCTTGAATCCAGGGGTTCGAGACCAGCCTGGGCAACATGGCAAAAAGTACAAAAACTTAGCCAGGTATCATGGTGCATGCCTGTGGTCCCAGCTACCTAGGAGGCTGAGGTGAGAGGATCACCTGAGCCTGGGAGGTCGAGGCTGCAGTGAGCCATGATCGTACCATTGTACTCCACTCTGCATGACAGAGTGAGACCCCGTCTCAAAAAAAAAAAGGCCAGACGTGGTGGTTCATGCCTGTAATTCCAGCACTTTGGGAGGCCGAGGCAGGTAGATCACAAGGTCAGGAGTTGGAGACTAGCCTGGCCAACATGGTGAAACTTTGTCTCTACTAAAAATACAAAAAGTAGCTGGGTGTGTTGGCATGCCCCTGTAATCCCAGCTACTCAGGAGGCTGAGGCAGGAGAATCGCTTGAACCTGGGAGGTGGAGGTTGCAGCGAACCGAGATTGAGCCACTGCACTCCAGCCTGAGTGGCAGAGTGAGACTCTGTCTCAAAAAAAAAAAAAGTTAAACATTCCAAAGGCACAATCTTACTGAATACAGTCACTTCTCCTTTAAGCAAGAATAACATGGCTTGATTTTCAATTCATGGTGTCTGCTAATCAGAAAACAGGTTACATTAGGACAATTAGGCTCTAGGCCCCTCAGCTACTAGTATCTAGCACAACTAGGAATAATGACAAGAGCTTTGGCATCAGCCATTTGTTTCCAACAGGGGTAAAGGAGGAAATGGTATGTGTGTGCTAATAGAGTGGGAAAAGTAAAGCTGTTATTATGCAAAGAGAGATAGTCGATGGTGTATTTACTCAGATACATATAGAGTTTTATAGCTATACACTTTTAATTATAGAACCCTATTATTTTAATTCTTGTACAAAAAATAACTTGCTATGAATAAAGTTCTCTAGCCCCTAACCCACTTTCCTATTAAAGTAACTGCTTTTATATTTTGATTTTTAAATATAATTTACTTTTGATAACTAAGAGTTTCTTAGAAACACAGCTACCACATTATAGCAGAACAGAACAAGGATTTCTCAAAATGGACCTATATATACTTTTCATTCATACCAACCTGTAGAACCAGATGTTGCTTCAGGAGATGATACACTCTGCGTTGGCTTTTCATTTCTCTGGTTTGGTGTAGAAATTATAAGCCTGTCTTGCCCCCTGACACTTATTTCTGTTTTGTTACCAATTCCCTTTAAAATAAGGCAAAAGAAAAAACAACAAAACAGGTGATTACCAGGCAAGTGGCATCATGGGCTTATAAAGATGGCTTAAAATGATCATAATTTGCTTAAATTTTATATGGTCTTTGATTGCAATTAAGTTATCTTAGCCTTTATCAGAAATTTGATTAAGTGATCAAGATACTTTTTTTAAAAATTAAAAACAATTTTTTTTTTTTTTGAGAAGAAGTCTCCCTCTGTCGCCCAGGCTGGAGTGCATGGTGTGATCTTGGCTCATTGCAACCTCTACCACCTGGGTTCAAGTGATTCTCCTGCCTCAGCCTCCCCAAGTACCTGGGAATACAGATGCGTGCCACCACGCCCTGCTAATTTTTTTTTTTGTATTTTTAGTAGAGATGAGGTTTCACCATGTTGGCCAGGCTGGTCTCGAACTCTTGACCTCAGGTGATCTGCTCACCTTGGCCTCCCAAAGTGCTGGGATTACAGGCGTTAGCCACCGCACCCGGCCAAAAAAAATTTTTTTTTAAGATGGAATCTGGCTCTGTCACCTGGGCTGCAGTGCAGTGGTGTGATCTTGGCTCACTGCAACCTCTGCCTCGTCCCAGGTTCAAGTAATTCTGCCTCAGCCTCCCGAGTAGCTGGGACTACAGGCATGTGCTACCATGCCCAGCTAATTCCAAGATACATTTTAAAATGCACAGTAAGATCACGTGAGGTAGAGTATTTGTCTAAGTCTAGGTGATAAATGTCACTAAAAAATATACCTGTATCACTCAATTTTCTATAAAAACAAAATATTTTCTGGTCTTTATACATATCACAGTAAGAGAACTCTAGTCATTTGCATTTGGTAAAGTGCTCTATTACACAGAAAAAAATGCCAATATGTCTTAAGAGACAAGAATACCCCTAGATACAGAAATATGTCACTCATGGTGACCAAAATGTGACCCAATAAGTAATCCGAAGCAGAAAGAAGGCAGGTATAATTAACTTAGGTCTCCTTTTAGGTATTTTTAATGCAATGGAATAGAAGTAAAGAAGTGATTTATAAACATATATGTATTTTTTTGGCCAGGCACCGTGGCTCCTGCCTGTAATCTCAACACTTTGGGAGACTGAGGCAGGAGAACAGCTAGAGGCCAGGAGTTCAAGACCAGCCTGGGCACCATAGTGAGACCCTGTCTCTACAAAAAATTTTTAAAAGGTCTGGCACAGTGGCTCATGACTGTAATCTCAGTGCTTTGGAAGGCCAAGGCAGAAGATCCCTTGGGGCTGCAGTGAGCTATTATTGACCACTGCACTCCAGCCTGGGCCACAGAGTGAGACCTCATCTCTTAAAAAGGAAAAAAATAAATATAAATATATACATGCATATATTTTTAGAGTCTTCATTTTGAAAAGATCAGTTTTATCTTGAATTTCCTTTAAATAGCATTCTTTGGGGTGGTAGTGACAAAGTTTGACTTGTGCATCAGAAGCAGTAAAACTAGCTCCAAGAATAAAGCCAATTTGTACTCAAAAAAGATGCAACATACTCATTTGCTATTTGAAAGATGAAAAATATTCATTTGCTATCAAGAGAACCAAGTGGGGACTGCAATTCAAGTTTTTGCAGGTAGCTTGGCCTTAACTGAAGTCAGCTGAACCTATGGGCAGACCAGGTTAAAAGAGCACCCTTGACATTTCTCTAGGAAGATGTATTACTAATTAAGCATTCCCCTGTTTAACTAATTAATCTGCATATGACTATATTAGGAAAAAATAAGCATAGAATTCTTTAATACACATGAATGAAATGCAACTAAATCAGAATCACAAACTCAACACAGTGGGATGGGATGGGATGGTAGTGAAGAGGTACACGGAATAAATACCTACCAATATTATGGAAGAGTTTTAAAGTCTTCAAGCTAAAGTATAAGTGCCCTAAATGGAGGCCCAGGACAAACTGATGAAGGCACACAGTTTGTAGAGGCTGTTTTTACCCCATTACCCAAGTTATTGCCACAGCTAATTGTTACAGAACAAACACAGTTCTGGGATTCTCTGAAAGGCAGTTAGATATCGCAAGCCCATAAGAATCTAACAAAATTGCTGGTGGAACCAAACAGGTCAGCAGGTACAATTATTACAGTGGTTTTTATAACAATGGTTAATTCATATAATTGACAAAAATGATTTTAATAAGAAGTACACTTTGCAACTAAGAAAAGCTAACTACGCAAACTAGAAACAGGCAAAGTGCCCAGTTTTTTTCCATGACTTTAGGGAGCTAAGCTCAATTTTGGCTGCACAGCTCAAGACTAATCTACTACAGATGGGAAAATCACAAAAGAAGGGGATAAAAAAGAAGAAAAACATAGCCTTTTTGCCTGTCTTTTTTGCCCACAGAGTACAATGACTGTATGTTTCAAATTCAGTGGGTAGAAAGGGTATTTAAATTATGCCAAGGTCATTGTTTTAAATGCCAAGGTTGACCACTTTTAAAATACCATCCCCCAAAAAACTCCACGAAAAAAGGAGGTACCTTTGTTGAATAAACAAATTGATCGATAAATTTCCCATCCCCTGTAGCATTCTGAAGAGCAAACACTTGTTCAATTTTCACAACTGGAGACATGTTACACTTCTGCAAATCCAGGCTCCCTTTGTGCATCGTAATGGAAGCTGGTAAGGATTTCCTTGCTGCCGCAGTTTTCCAGGCTATTTTAACAGGCGGTGGCTCTTCCTCTTCCGCACTTGTGTGCCGCCTCTGGCTATGTCTCCGAATTTCAGTACTTGAGAGTGAGGAGGCCACCTCCCCTGCATTGGTCTGTTCTGGCTGAGTATTCAGCACAGATCTTGGTCGTCGGGTTTTTTTAACTTCGGTTTTGGAGGCAACACTCTTTTTTGCTTGGGATAAAGCCTCTTCAGGCTGTTTATCAATGTAAATAAAAGTATACTGTTCTATTCTTTCTTCTCGAGTCATTTTCAATGCTTTCTCTGCATGGGCAATGCCAATATCCCACTGAGCACGTTCTCTCTGAGGTCGGGGTTTCCGAATCTTTAAAAAAGATAGAGATTATCAGACATGCTTTACTCTAATAGGTACATTAAAATTGATATGTATTTCCCATGTGATCCTGTTATCTTTTCAGGTCTACATAAATATCTTCAGGTTCTTTGGTCAAACAAGTGGAATGTTCTATCTCCATAATTCTGATAAAAAGATATTCGATAACATGAGGATCTACTCTCTTTTATATCCTTCCTTTGCTGATCACTCTGCTGGACAAGGTCCCCAAGAGGGAGACATCCTTCTCCTCTCATATACATAAAAAGCTAGTGATAATGAGGGAAAAGAGAACAATGATTACAGAAATGGTTATTTTCAGTGGCTAATAAAACACTAACATTAAAAATGATACCCTGAAACTCCCAATTCTCTCCCATATCTCGGGCAGAGGGCAAGTCAGGGGTGCTACAGAGATCACAACAAAGCTACTGGCAGAGTTTGAACCACAATGCATGCAGGGACAGAATGAAGTGAAAGGACAGAGCCTCAAGGAACAAATGAAAATTAACAAGACAAAGGAGAACAGGCATGGATGAGAAAAAAGGTAGACCTGAATTATAGTTTCCATAGGTCTCTAGGTCCAGAGTCAATCAGAAGACTTTGGATTGGCAAGAGGGGTAAAAATACTTTGAATAAAGATGTGTGAGATGGCCAGAGCAATTAGGAATTATCCAGGTGGCTAGACTGATGTAGCCAGAAATTAGTTAATAAAACTATGAGATAGCATATGTCAAATATTCATATATAAATCTGTAAAATGTAAGTCTCATAAAATTAATCAAAATTCTGTGATAAAATTTAGTTTTTCAAGTGTAAAAAATGACAAATTTCTGAATCATAAGAGACCCACACTAATTTAGTTGAGTTTAAACTCTTAACCAGATTACCAAGAGTTCATGTCAAAATTCTAAAATATCCACCACCACATCAAATATATTTCCTGATTCCATCACTTGTGTGATCTCGGTTGAACCAGTTACATAAGCTTTCTGTGCCTCAATTTCTTCATCTGTAAAAAGGGGAATAATAGTATCTACCTCATACAGGTTGTTATGAATAATAAGTGAGTTAATATATGTAAAATGCTTAAAAGCATACCTGTTTCACAATAGGCACTCATTAAATATTTTTAAAAGTTTACTTTCATAAAACAATTTTGTTAAACAAGAATGAAAAGAAATTATGGAAACATGCTGAAATAGAAAAAAGAGTAAAAATCCCTGGCAAAAATCCACATTTCACTAGCATCTGGTACACTTATGCACATTAATGAAACTCACAATAGAATTCAATATTAAGCAGGTAGCTAAAGTTTTTAATAGTACTATACGTCGTTTATATGACATATAAAACTCATTGGTGTACTTACAAACTTACTAGTCATTTACCATTACGATTAAAACAGCTGAAAGGGGTTTAAAAAAAGGATTCTAATAATTATCTGAATTCAAGTATGAAAAATTCTTCTAAATTATTAAGTTCTTTAAAAACCATACTAGGTAAATAATATTAACATGTTAGTTACCTTTTGTTTCTCAGAGTGATTGCTGGCTTGTTTGGTTGCCTCAGCCAGTAATTCTTCATACTGTTTATGACCTTTATACTCTCGTACCCGTTTTTCATGAACCCACGCCCTCTCTGGCTGGTTGCTAAAAAACTGGACATGATATTCTCGGGCACCTGTAAGTAAAAATTCTTATTAACCATTTCAGAACATAAGCATTCACATCTACTTTGCCAAAAATGGGAATCTAACCCAGGTTCCTCAGTATTACTCCCACTAAAACTTGTATGTTTGGATTGTCCAAAGATATGTTCCAATACCCACCAGTTATAGAACTAATAGCTACTGTAAAAATCACCACAAATAATTGATTGCACCACTGCACTCCAGCCTGGGTGACAGAGCAAGACTCTTGTCTCAAAACAAAACAAAACAAAACAAAACAAAATAACATTCTTCTCATTAACTTTTTAACAAAATAGTCATTTTTCATAAAAATATAATTAATGATAGCATGTAAGGAGTTCTTGTTGTTAGAGACATGGTCTCACTCTATGGCCCAGGCCGGACTGCAGTGGCATGATCCTAGCTCACTGCAGCCTCAAACTCCTGGGCTCAGGCAATCCTGTGCCTTAGCCTCTTGAGCAGGTAAGACTACAGACATATGCCACATGCTCAGTTAA
The DNA here is from genome assembly GCF_000001405.40 of Homo sapiens. Lineage (NCBI taxonomy): Eukaryota > Metazoa > Chordata > Mammalia > Primates > Hominidae > Homo > Homo sapiens. The sequence continues at coordinate 38,332,093 of NC_000008.11, forward strand.
TTAATAAATTTTTTTGTTGCTTTTTTTTGTAGAGATGGGAGTCTTACTATGTTGCTCAGGCTGGTCTCAAACGCTTGGCCTGAAGTGATCCTCCTGCCTCAGCCTCCCAAAGTGCTGAGATTACAGGCATGAGCCACTGGCCCCAGCCTATGATAGGTTCTTATTTTTAAATAAATCAATAAATATTTTGAAATTTTCTCAGCTTTAATTTCTTTTTTTCTTTAAACTGAGATGGGGTCTTGCTATGTTGCCCAGGCTGGTCTTGAACTCCTGGGCTCAAGCAATCCTCTTGCCTCAGCCTCCCAAAGTGTTAGAATTACAGGTGTGAGCCACTGCGCCTGCATCTCAGCTTTAATTTCTAAATTTAAATAACATTAGATATAACCCACGTAAACAAAAGCCTTTTTGAGTCCTCAAGTTTTAGGAGTAAAAGGGGTCCTGGGACCACAACATCTGAGAACTGCTGATTAAGGGCAATGCTACTCTGAAATTGGTTTGACAAACAAGCCAGTCTGGGACAAAAGTAAGTACAGAAGTTGAGTAAGCATTGAGAAGCTCTGACAGCAATTTGACATTGTTATGATATCTAGACACATGATCAAGAATCTTGCACTAGGTGTTTTTTCAGGGGAAGGGCATTCTTTTTTTTTTAAATAATTAAGTTTGGTTGTATTTTACAGAGGTATTAGTACATAGTAGACTAGACATTTGAAAAAAGTAAAAAAAAACTGATCTTTTGCGAAAAATAGTCTGAAAAATACTGTTCTAGAGAAAAAGTATTAGATCAATGGAGAAATGCAGGAACTGATCTTTTCAGAGAACCCAAAGTAATTAGGAAGAAAAAGGCAACAGTGGACTCAGATTTTCATATCATCTCATCTGAGAATAAAGACCCAAGCACAAATCTAATTATAATTAGTCAAAGAAGATTTATCTGAAATCCAAAGGGTTTTTGGGGGGAAAAATAGAAATATAACCTAAACTAATAAGTGAATTTCAAGGACAGGGTAGTGGGTACAGGTATTCAGATTAAAAAAACATAGTACATAATGTTTCCAAACATCAGAGTTATTTCTTCAGATATGAACAGATAATCCCAAAGGACTTAACATAAAAGCCGAAATTTATAGATAACACAATTTCATTTTAATCTGTATTTTCAACTTCTTCCCCCATTAAATCATTTACTAGAGAGGAAACAAGACAAACATTTTGCCTATTTGTTAGCACTTTGTTTCCTGACACCTGGAAAACTATGAAATAAGACTGAAATAAGAAGCTACAGACCTGAAAAGTCAAGAAACAAGCACATCTGTCTCTGACTGAAGAGCTAAATTTTTAATGAGTCCTAAATAATAAAATACAACTTAAAATAGAATTGTGATCCAAACATCTTTCAACATGCTCTTACAAATAATTATTACATCTTTATGTGTGAAAAACTGTTAAGTACATTTTCCAGTGCTAAGAATCTAATAAAAATACTGACTAATGGCCGGGCGCGGTGGCTCACGCCTGTAATCCCAGCACTTTGGGAGGCCGAGGCGGGTGGATCATGAGGTCAGGAGATCGAGACCATCCTGGCTAACAAGGTGAAACCCCGTCTCTACTAAAAATACAAAAAATTAGCCGGGCGCGGTGGCGGGCGCCTGTAGTCCCAGCTACTCGGGAGGCTGAGGCAGGAGAATGGCGTGAACCCGGGAAGCGGAGCTTGCAGTGAGCCGAGATTGCGCCACTGCAGTCCGCAGTCCGGCCTGGGCGACAGAGCGAGACTCCGTCTCAAAAAAAAGAAAAAAAAAATACTGACTAATAACAATATGGAAACCAGTGATTACTATATATGATTAAGATAAATTTTACAAAGTTGCTTAGATAGAAAGCAACACAGGAGATTCACTCATTTCTCTGGGTATCTCCCATGTATACATGCAGTATATGTGCTATTAAAAAAGTAATGATCAGCATAAAATGCTTAATAGGCATCATGCGTGGAACATAATTAACAGAATTTTTAGGCTGTGTTTTTTTGGTTTTCAGAAAAACTGTCAGAAAACTACTGCATTTAAAACTATACTATATAGCCATAAATGGAATATTATTTGGCAATAAAAAGGAATAAAGCACTGATACCATGTTAAAACATGGATGAACCTCAAAAACATTATGGTAAGTGAATGAAGCCAGATGAATAGGTAAGTCTACAGAGACAGAAAGTAGTTACTGGCTGCTTAGCGGGTAGAAATGAGGGTGACTGCTAATGGATACAGGATTTTTGGGGGTTGATGAACATGTTCTAAAATAGATTGTGGTGATGGTTGCACAACTCTGTGAATGTACAGATTTTTAAATCAATGAACTGTACATTTTAAAAGGGTGAATTGGCCAGGAGCAGTGGCTTACGCCTTTAATCCCAGCACTTTGGGAGGCCGAGGCAGGCAGATCACAAGGTCAGGAGTTTGAGACCAGCCTGGCCAACACAGTGAAACCCCGTCTCTACTAAAAATACAAAAAAAAAAAAATTAGCCGGTGTGGTGGTGGGTGCCTGTAATCTCAGCTACTTGGGAGGCTGAAGCAGGAGAATCGCTTGAACCTGGAAGGCGGAGGTTGCAGTGAGCTGAGATCGTGCTACTGCACTACAGCCTGGGCAACAATCCATCTCAAAAACAAACAAACAAACAAAAAAAACAGGTGAATTTTATGATATGAGAATTATATTTCAATAAAGTTTTTAAAACTACTATAGAAAAATAATTTAAATTTTTATTAAAATATATAGGTTAAAATATATGCATTTCTTAACCTAAAATTTCAGACTTCTGGTAGTAATATAAACAAAATCGGTTTTTCCAGCACTAAAGTAGGAAACTGCCTGGGGGTACCAGGCTAGAATTTTTTTTTTTTTTTTTTTTTGAGACCAAGTCTCACTCTGTCACCCAGACTGGAGTGAAGTGGTGGATCTCGGCTCACTGCAACCGCAACCTCCACCTCCTGGGTTCAAGTGATTCTCTTGTCTCAGTCACCTGAGTGAGACCTTAGAGGCATGCGCCAAAACGCCTGGCTAATTTTTGTATTTTCAGTAGATATGGGGTTTCACCATATTGGCCAGGCTGGTCTTGAACTCCTAACCTCAGGTGATCCACCCACCTTGGCCTCCCAAAGTGCTGGGATTACAGGCATGAGGCACCTTGCCCAGCTGAGATTAGGTTAATTAATAAAACTAAATGTAAATACTTCCTTTGAAATACAGATGAGACATAAATTGTGCTTTCATTTGTATCTTGAAAAAAGCTGAAATCTGCAGGTTTTCATAAAGTAATTGAATATGAAACTCTTTATATAATCTCAACAGTATGCTTTCCTCAGGGGACAGAAGTGAAGATCCAGAGTTCTGACATGATGTAACTTCTTAGAGAGTTCTGGAGGCCTAGATGTGGACATGAATTGTTTTATTTAAGAAAGCATGGTCTTCTTGGAAAATCCTTGTCTTTTCTTTTCCCACTCATATAACCATAGATTATTAGAGGGGTAGGGTACTTCAGAGATGACTAGTCCAATACCCTTCTTATATAAATGAAGGAACTATAATAAGACTGCCTCCTCCAACCTCTGTAAATGATGACTAGGTGAATTTAACTGCTTTCCCTGTAATATAAGGCAGTGTTTAGGAGGAGAGGTTATGAAATTAAGATTTCTTTGAGATTCTGTTTACCTATTTAAAATATGGGATAATAAAAGTACCTACTTCACTGTGTTGCTGCTATGAGGATTGGATAAGAAAATATATAAGAGAACTACTGAACACAGGACCTTGCACTAAAGCAGACACCCAACAATGCTGGTTTTTCACTTCTGCCTCGCTGACACATCCCGTCTCCTAACCTTTAATCAGCAGGTCACATTGACAAGACGAAAAATGGTTGAGCCAGATGGCCTTCTATACTGGGAGAGATTCTTGGTTATGCAGCACAAGAATCACAGATATGGCTGATCCTATCACAAATGTGCCTTGCCAGACATAAAGAGATACTTTTTCCCTTCAGAAGAGTGAACAAGGACCAAGACAGATGGTTTAAAGTAAAAGAAAAAGAAACAGGTACAAACTTGTCACAGACAATGAGGAACTCTACACATGACAAGAGTCAATTCACAAAGTTAACACCCAGAAGTAAGTTCCAAGCTCAAACCTTTCTTTGGCTACTAAGCAAGTTCATTTCAAATGCTAGAATCTCAGCAATCTACTCCACATCATTCTTTGGTCAAATCCCAGAAAAGGAGTAGAGAAAAGTTAGAATTGTCTTTCTTAATTTTTATTAACATTCCTAAGGTAGGATTCTATATTATATAGCAACCTTCAGGCTACATGTCATATCAAATTTACAAGGATGCCCCAGTAAATTTACCGATTCAAGAATGGAGTGTAGAGGAAAAAAAAGCATCCTGCAAAATTTGCCAGGATGAAAAGTACTTGTCTGGGTAAAAAATTACTATCCATAGCAGTCAACGATGAAATAAAAATGTTCAAAGAAGGCTTGGCGCAAATGCTTATTAAGTTCATATAAAACATCTGATCGCTTGTCCATATGCTTTCTTTAGGAAATATGAGGTCATATTTTCAGTCAGATTAAGGTCTTTAAAAAAAGCAAGTGTAAGCAAATTATAAGCAAATGTAGGGTATCATAAGGGAAACAAGGACTGCATTAGCCATAGAAGCACTCTGCAATTTAAAATGACTATCAGTATTTCACTGGTTTTAAAAACTGATACAGAGGCCGGGCGCAGTGGCTCACGCCTGTAATCCTACCACTTTGGGAGGCCGAGGCAGGTGCATCCCTTGAGTTCGAGAGTTCAAGACCATCCTGGGTAACATGGTGAAACCTCATCTGTATTAAAAATACAAAAACTAACCAGGAATTGTGGCGGGTGCCTGTAATCCCAGCTACTCCAGAGGCCCAGGCAGGAGAATCACTTGAACCCAGGAGGCGGAGGTTGCAGTGAGCTGAGATTGCGCCATTGCACTCCAGCCTGGGCAACAGAGCAAAAACTCCGTCTCAAAAAAAAAAAGAAAAAAAAAAAATCCACAAAACTGATACGGATATGCACATTTTTGTATCAGATTATATATTACGTGTGTATTCTTATATTCACATACAACATTTAAAAGTCACTTTTATTTCCAACCTTTTACTTAGTATCTGTTTATGCCTTTTCTTACCTCTTGTGTTAATTTTAGTATGAACCTCAAGCTGGGGATCACTTGAAACCATACAAGGCCACCAAGGATAGGTTCCCACCTTGGACCACACAAGATCGCCAACCTGAAACTTAACACCAGTGGACACTTCCGTTGTTGGAACAGAAGATAGTATTGGCTGAACCTACAGGAAAGGGTCAAAAAACTTCATCAGAAATTCAAAAAAAGAAACTATGTATAAAGTACATTAAAAATGCTAACAATGTAATTTTATCTTCAGTTATACTTTGATACAGGAAAGTGTCAAAAAACATCAGAAATTCAAAAAAAGAAACTAGGTATAAAGTACATTAAAAATGCTAACAATGTAATTTTATCTTCAATTATACTTTGATACAGGAAAGGGTCAAAAAACATCAGAAATTCAAAAAAAGAAACTAGATATAAAGTACATTAAAAATGCTAACAATGTAATTTTATCTTCAATTATACTTTGATACAGGAAAGGGTCAAAAAACATCAGAAATTCAAAAAAAGAAACTATGTATAAAGTACATTAAAAGTGCTAACAATGTAAATTTATCTTCAATTATACTTTTCTCTGATGCCTCCTATCTAAAACTAGCAAAAGGGAAGGAGGAAAAATATTAATAAGCCCCACCCCAAATACTGAAGATAGGATTGATGGTTTCTGTTGCCAAATTATTAACAAGGCATGTTAAGAATACACATGATCGGCCAGGCGCGGTGGCTCACGCCTGTAATCCCAGCACTTTGGGAGGGTGAGGAGGGCAGATCACAAGGTCAGGAGATCGAGACCAGCCTGGCCAACACAGTGAAACCCCGTCTCTACTAAAAATACAAAAATTAGCTGGGTATGGTGGCACGTGCCTGTCATCCCAGCTATTCGGCAAGCTGAGGCAGGACAATCGCTTGAACCCAGGAGGCAGAGGTTGCAGTGAGTCGAGATTGCGCCACTGCACTCCAGCCTGGGCAACAGAGTGAGACTCCGTCTCAAAAAGAAAAAAAAAAAAAATACACATGATCAATTGAAAAAAAAACAGGTCATAGTTTTGAAAAGGAAAATGATTCACTGAAAATATCCACCTATCAAACCAGCTCCAAGACTTATTTCAATATAATTTCTGAAATTAAGAAGCGTAGTACCAATACAATTGTGTTGCAATTCAATCACTGTGTTTCACCTTCTTCCACCATATTTGGTTAGACAGTATTCAGTAAAACAACTTACTGGGGCTTCCTCTTTTAGTACTGGTTCTTCCCTTGGTTTTTCTGATACAGTGTCAACCCTCTCATTTGGTCTCTAGGTGAAAAGGTATAGGTAAGTAGAATAAAATGGCATTAAATAAACAAACAAACAAAAAACAGTGACATACATAAAAAGAATCAAAGAAAACTAAATAAAGAGAATAAAGGGCATTTATTAACTGAACAATGTAAGGAGTAAGAATACAACTTACTCAATACCTAATGCTGTCTCAACATTCATTTTCCACCCCATATCATAGCTTTATCTCCTTTTTCTTATTTTGTTACTTTTAAAACTTAATTTCTAGGCCGGGTGCAGTAGCTCATGCCTGTAATCCCAGCATTTTGGGAGGCTAAGGCAGGCAGATCACAAGGTCAGGAGTTCAAGACCAGCTTGGCCAGCATGGTGAAACCCCGTCTCTACTAAAAATTAAAAAAATAGCCGGGCATGGTGGCGCATGCCTGTAGTCCCAGCTACTTGGGAGGCTGAGGCAGGAGAATCACTTGAACCCAGGAGGCGGAGGTTGCAGTGAGCCGAGATTGTGCCACTGCACTCCAGCCTGGGTGACAGAGTGAGACTCTGTCTCAAAAAAAAAAAACAAAAAAAAAACCCACTTAATTTCTAAATAAACTGGTAATTTTCTTTTTAATGCTCAGATTCTAGAAAAAATGGGCACTCTAAGATTACTAGTAAGATGTAACTTGAAACTTTTCTGAGAGCAATTTGGTTGTATATATGAAAAACATTAAATTTTCAGACTCTGACCTTGCAAATCTACTTCTAAGAATGTATATTTGAAAAGCACTGAGAGATGTAAAAAATATGGATAAGTATGAAGATATGCATACCATTGCTACTTACAAGAGCTAAGTATTAAACATAATCTAGATGGGCTGGGCATGGCGGCTCACGCCTGTAATCCTAGCACTTTGGGAGGCTGAGGCAGGTGGATCACGAGATCAAGAAATTGAGACCATCCTGGCCAACATGGTGAAACCCCGTCTCTACTAAAAACACTAAAAATTAGCTGGGTGTGGTGGTGTGCGCCTGTAGTCCAAGCTACTCAGGAGGCTGGGGCAGGAGGATTGCTTGAACCTGGGAGGTGGGGGTTGCAGTGAGCCGAGATCATGCCACTGCACTCCAGCCTGGTGACAGAGCAAGACTCCATCTCAAAAAAAAAAAAAAGGAAAGAAAGAAGTTTCTAAAACCCTTTAGGGAGGCAATTTGGAAGTAGCTATCAAAATTCAAGATATGTACACTCTTCCATCTAGCAATCACATTGTAGAAATTTATTCTATAGAAATATCCAAAACAAGAAAATCTAAGCAGAGGAATGGTAACTACAGTATTATTTCATGTCAGTAATCTGCATGTCTACCAATATCTTCCAATTTTTTATTTAAAAATATGTAATTTATACATGCCTTGAAAATATTTGGTACAATGTAAACAAAATTGATACCAGTAATTATCTTTTGGGAATGACATGAGGGAAATGGTGAAGGAAGATATTCTATACCTTTTTATTATTCGTCTTTTCTGTAAAAAAAAAACCAAATTACTTCTACAATTTAAAAGATTTTTAAAATATGTTACTTGTTAGAGAACAGAATTTAATTTAGATGGCTTAAAAAGAGGGTATAGCCATTAAAGTAGGTCTTCACTCCACTAAAAGAATATGATTAATTCTAAAAGCTACTTAAAATTCTCATTCTATTATTTCAAAACATTTAAAGACACTGTTGTGAAAACAAAGTTTTATTAAATTAAAAAAAGTATAAAAAGGTTTTTGTTTTTTTGAGACAGAGTCTTACTCTGCTGTTGCCTAGGCTGGAGTGTGGTGGCGCCATCTCGGCTCATTGCAACCTCTGCCTACCAGGTTCAAGTGGTTCTCCTCCTTTAGCCTCCTGAGAAACTGGGAATACAGGCCCGCACCACCACACCCAGCTAATTTTTGTATTTTTAGTAGAGACGGGGTTTTGCCATGTTGGCCAGGCTGGTCTTGAACTCTTAACCTCAGGTGATCCACTTGCCTTGGCCTCCCAAAGTGCTGGAATTACAGGTGTGAGCCACCACACCTGGCCTAAAAAGATTTTTAAGTTTTAGGAAAATGATATGTTCTATAAGCCAGACTAATGTCCCCAAACCCAAGTATCATTCACTTCACAGTGCCTAGGACGTTCCAGGCCCAGTTCTAGAAGCTATATAGGCTATATATAATAGTGAAACAAACAGATGTGATTCCTGACCCCAAGGAGTTTACAGCTGGGCAGGAGAGACTGACATTAAAAAACAGAAACACAAACATCCAGTTAAAAAGTAAGTGCTATGGCTCGGCATGGTGTGGCTCACACCTGTCAGTACTTTGGGAGGCCAAGGTGGAATGATCTCTTGAGGCCAAGAGTTCAAGACCAGCCTGGGCAACAGAGTGAGGCCCAGTACCTAAAAACAACAAATGCCTGTAGTCCCAACTACTCTGAGGGGCTGAGGCAGGAGAACCGCTTATGCCTCAGAGTTCAAGGCTTCAATGGGCTATGACTGCACTCCAGCCTGGGTGATGGAGCGAAACCCCGTCTCTTAAAACAACAACAACAAACAAAAAAAGTAAGTGCTAGGAAGAGAAAGATAAATAATAGTGTAAGTGTATATGTATTTTCAGATATGAAGGTCAGGAAAAGCCTCTCTAAGAAAATAAATTACAATCTGCCAGGCACAGTAGCTCACACCTGTAATCCCAGCACTTTGGGAGGCCAAGGTGGGTAAATCACGTGGTCAGGAGTTCGAGACCAGCCGTGCCAAGATGGTGAAACCCTGTCTCTACTAAAAATAGAAAAATTAGCCAGGCACTGTGGTGGGTGCCTATAATCCCAGCTACTTGGGAGGCTAAGGCAGAAGAATTGCTTGAACCTGGGAGGCAGAGGTTGCACTGAGCTGAGATTACACCAATGGACTGTAACCTGGGTGACAGAGCGAGACTCCGTCTCAAAAAAAAAAAAAAAGAAAAATTACAATCTAAGAATCAAAGGACGAAGAATTAGCTTAGTAAACATGGAGGAAAGAACATTCCAGGAGGAAGGAGTAGCATGTGTGAGATACCTGAGGTTAAAAACGGTACCAGCTGTGCACAGTGGTTCACACCTATAATCCCAGGACTTTGAGAGGCTGGGGCAGGTGGATCACTTGAGCCTAGGAACTGAAGAACAGCTTGGGCAACATGGCGAGACCCCATCTCTATAAAAAAAGAGCCAGGCGTAGTGATGTGTACCTATATACTCCCAGCTACTCGGGAGGCTAAGGTGGGAGGATTGTTTGAGCCCAGGAGTTTGAGGCTGTGTGAGCTATGATCACGTCACTGCACTCCAGCCTGGGTGACAGAGTGAGACCCTGTCTCCAAAAAAACAAAAAAAAAAGGACTTCCTTCCAAATCTTATAATTCAAATGTCTTATCTTTTTTAATTTTTTGATTTGTTCCAGATTGTTGGTGTTTCCTTCAGGCTGGTTTGAAACACCATCAAAATCACTTTCAAAGAATTAAAGTTTTTTACACAGTCATTTTAAAAGAAATAAGTGGCTAGGGAGCGAAGGATGCCCAAGAGGATTTATTCTAAGCTTTCAAGACTATATAAGTAAGAGAAGAAAAAGAATTCAAGTAAGGATGCTGCAATAATAGAGAGGGAGTATCTATTATAAAATGTACGTGAGCAAAACAGATATACCTGGTAGGCATTCAGAGACAGAGACAAGTTTAAGACATTAAAATTAAGTAGGGACAGAGATACCCTCTTTGGGTACTAATTCCACTGCTTTGTCAGAAAGAGAAAACATCAGAGAAAAAGATGACAGTGAGTTAGCTCTCCTTAATGTTCAATTCATCTTAATTTTAAAATTATGATTTTGTGGGTATATACCACTTTTTTACATTTTTAATTGACTCCACATAAGAACACCTAAAAATTATGTTAAGAGTAGCTAAAATAAATTACATTATCCTAAATATTCCTTTACAAATTTTAGCCTAGTACTTTTTTTTTTTGAGACAGAGTCTTGCTCTGTTGCCAGGCTGGAGTACAGTGGCATGATCTCGGCTCACTACAACCTCTGCCTCCCAGGTTCAAGCGATTCTCCTGCCTCAGCCTCCCAAGTAGCTGGTATTACAGGCACGCGCCACCACGCCTGGTTGTATTTTTAGTAGAGATGGGGTTTCACCATGTTGGCCAGGAGGTCTCGATCTCTTGACCTTGTGATCCGCCCGCCTCGGCCTCCCAAAGTGCTGGGATTACAGCCGTGAGCCACCACGGCCTTCAGCCTATTACTTTTATTAAAACCCAAGACATTCATTAAGATGAGTATACTACAGGCCAGGTGCCGTGGCTCACGCCTGTAATCCCAGAACTTTGGGAGGCCAAGGTGGGTGGATCACTTGAGGTCAGGAGTTCAAGATCAGCCTGGCCAACATGGCGAAACCCCGTCTCTACTAAAAATACACAAAAAAATTAGCTGAGTGTGGTGACGCACACCTGTAATTCCAGCTACCTGGGGGGCTGAGGCATAGGAATCGCTTGAACCCGGGAGGCAAGAGGTTGCAGTGAGCCGAGATCGTGCCACTGTACTCCAGCCTGGGTGACAGAGACTCTGCCTCAAAAAAAAAAGATTAGTAATACACATCAAATCTGTCAGAATTTCAAAGCCTTAATAATATTACTTATATAAATTTCAAAAACATAGAGTAAAATCATAGTCCCTAAAAGAACAAAAAACTGATGTCAACATTAAAGTTGGAAAGAAAATTTTAAAGGTAATAAATTGTGCATTTTTATTTTACTTTCTGAATGACTTAAGTTTGTAACCTTAAAAATAAAAAATGTGGGCCAAGTGCAGTGGCTCACACCTGTAATCCAAGCAGTTTGGGAGGCCAAGGTGGGTGGATCACCCTAAGGTCAGGGGTTCGCGACCAGCCTGGCCAACATAATGAAACCCCATCTCTACTAAAAATACAAAAACTAGCCAGGCGTGGTGGCACACCCCTGTAATCCCAGCTACTGAGGAGGCTGAGGCAGGATAATCGCTTGAATCCTGGAGGCAGAGGTTGCAGTGAGCCGAGACTGCACCACTGCACTCCACCCTGGGCAACAGAGTGAGATTCTGTCTCAAAAATAAACACATAAAATCAAATAAAAAATGTGTACAATAAAGAACATTTTGCATATAAAGAGTTTCTAAGAATTTTAAGGCCTAATACTCTGAGGCTAGAGAACCAAACCTGCTACCTTAGTGTTCACGGGACTGATCCAGCCACTCTGCTTTTTATAAGGGGATATGGCAAACTAAGGGTTAATGAGACTCTGCCTTAGTGGATTAGCCCACTGAAGTGCTGATAGGAGACCAGTGACTGTTTGAATAATAGGGCCTACGCTCACATGCCTGAGGCATTCCACCTGCCAAGGAGGAAGACATGCAGAAACACAGCCACATATTTCTGATTTGGTGGGAGGAAAAACAGCTCATGCAGATTTTTAAAATATACAATTTCAGTAGTGATCTCAGGTCTCCTGCTGCCTAGATGTTTGGACACATTTTCATTGCTGAGAAGATATACTTAGGTTGTTCCAAATAACAGCCACTCTTCAGAAGGCCAAACAGCTTAGAATTAGGGGGAAATACTTACACATCAAGTACTAAGAAAAAAAGTAGCAGGTGAAATCTTAAGGTGTTGTGTTTTTTTATTTGTTTGTTTTTCAGACAGAGTCTCATTCTGTCACCCAGGCTGGAGTGCAGTGGCATGATCTTGGCTCACTGCAATCTCCACCTCCCAGGTTCAAGCAATTCCTGTGCCTCGGCCTCCCGAATAGTTGGGATTACAGGTACCCACCACCACGCCCGGCTAATTTTTAAATATTTTTAGTAGAGATGGGGTTTCACCATGTTGGCCAGGCTGGTCTTGAACTCCTGACCTTAAGTGATCCACCCACCTCAGCCTCCCAAAGGGCTGGTATTACAGATTGAGCCACCATGCCCGGACTTAAACATGGAACTCAACTATATGAGATTTTGTTTGCTCAAAAAAGAACCTATGAACCTATGAGTGAGCTTTTAAGGAACAACAACAACAAAGTAAAGTAAAAGAAAAAATCTATATAAAAGCAAATCCAGCTCCAGGAGATTTAAATCAGACTTTTTTCTCCAGGAATACATTTTTCATTATGTTTCCCTGAGGCATCTGGGGGAGGGAAGCTGTCCAGTGAAGTCAGTGGATGCTTCTTTGGGCTTCCTTTTCACTTCTCAGTTCTCTACAATGCTAAACACCAAGGGCTGGGACCCCTATGGACAACCAGTAGGCATAGGGTATTGACTATTAAAACACTTAAAACAACTGTCCTGAAGGAAGCACTGTAGATGTT